>NC_000010.11:131285549-131597030 GCF_000001405.40 Homo sapiens | reverse complement strand
TGTGCATGTGTCTTTATGGTGGAATGATTTATATTCCTCTGGGCATATACCCAGTAATGGGATTCCTGAGTTGAATGGTAATTCTGTTTTTAGCTCTTTCTTTGAAGAATCGCCATACTGCTTTCCACAATGGTTGAACTAACTTACACTTTCATCAACAGTGTATAAGTGGTCCCTTTTCTCCACAACCTCACCAGTATCTGTTATTTTTTTGAATTTTTAATAATGCTATTCTGATTGTTGTGAGACAGTATCTCGTTGTGGTTTTTATTTGCATTTCTCTAATGATCAGTGATATTGAGCTTTTCTTCATATGCTTGTTGGTTGCACGTATGTCTTCTTTTGAGAAGTGTTCATGTCCTTTGCCCCCTTTTTAATGGGGTTGTTTGTTTTTTGCTTATAAACTTGTTTAAGTTTCTTATAGATGCTGGATATTAGACCTTTGTCAGATGCATAATATGCAAATATTTTCTGCCATCCTGTAGGTTGTCTGTTTACTCTGCTGATAGTTTCTTTTGCTGTGCAGAAGCTCTTAAGTTTAATTAGATCTTATTTGTCAATTTTTGTTTTTGTTGTGATTGCTTTTGTGATTGCTTTGTCATGAAATCTTTGCCCATTCCTATGTACAGGATAATATTGCCTAGGTTGTCTCCCAGGGTTTTTTATAGTTTTGGGTTTTATATGTAAGTCTTTAATCCATCTTGAGTTGATTTTGGTATATGGTGCAAGGAAGGGGTCTACCTTCAATCTTCTGCATATGGCTAGCCACTTATCCAAGTACCATTTATTGAATAGGGAGTCTTTTCCCCATTGCTTGTTTTTGTCAGCTTTGTTGAAGATCAGATGGTTGTAAGTGTGCAGTCTTATTTCTAGGCTCTCTATCTGTTSCATTGGTCTATGTGCCTGTTTTTGTACCAGCACCATGATGTTTTGGAACACAACTCAAAATAATAAGAGCCATATGTGACAAACTAACAGGCAACATCATACTAAATGGGCAAAAGCTGGAAGAATTCCTTTTGAAAACCAACACGTGACAAGAATGCCTTCTTTCACCAATCCTATTCAAGTATTATTGGAAGTCTTAGCCAGAGCAATCAGGCAAAATAAAGAAATAAAGCATATCCAAATAGGAAGAGAGGATATCAGACTATCCCTATTTGCAGATGACATGATTCTATATCTAGAAAAACCCATAGTCTYGACCCAAAAGCTCCTTCAGCTGATAAACAACTTCAGCAAAGTTTCAGGATACAAAATCAATGTAGAAAAATCACCAGCATTCCTGTACACAAACAACAAGAAGAAACCAAGCCGAGAAACAAATCAGGAAGGCAATCTCATTCACAATTGCTGCAAAAATGAWAAAATATCTAGGAATACAGCTAACCAGGGAGGTGAAAGATCTCTGCAGTGAGAATTACAAAGCACTGCTGAAAGAAATCAGGTAAGACAAAAACAAATTTTTAAAAATCTCATGCTCACAGATAGGAAGAATCAATCTTATTAAAATGACCATACTGCCCAAAGCAGTGTACAGATTCAATGCTATTTTTATTAAGCTACCAATGACATTCTTCACAGAACTAGAAAAAACTATTTTAAAATTCATATGGAACCAAAAAAGAGCCCGAATGGCCAAGGCAACCCTAAGCAAAAAGAACACAGCTGGAGGCATCACATTACCTGACTTCAAACTATATTGCAGGGCTACAGTAAACATACCAAAACTTACCAGATGCATCAAAATCTGTGCTAGGAGGGTAGTTTATAGTGTAAATGCTTATGATAAACAAGAAGAAAGATCTTAAATTAACAATCTAACATTATACCTTAAAGAAGTAGAAAAAGGGAGAACACACTAAACCCAAATCCAGTAGAAGGAAAGAAATAATAAAGACTAGAGTACAGACAACTGAAATAAAGAATAGGAACATGGTAGAGTAAGTTAGCAAAACCAAGTTCAGTTCTTTGAAAAAATCACCAAAATTAATGAACAATTAGTTCGACTGAGTAAGATAAAAGAGGGAAGTCTCAATAACTAAAATCAGAAATGTAAGTGCAGACATTACCACTGATTTAACAGAAATAAAATGATTATATTAATAAGACAATAGTATGAATATTTGTATGCCAAAAAATTGGACAACCTAGACAAAATGGATAAATTCCTAGACATATACCACCTACCAAGACTAAMCCACAAAGAAATAGAAAATACGAACAGACATATAACTAGCAAAGAGATTGAATCAATGATCCAAAATCTGCCAACAAAGAAAATCCCAGGAGCTGATGGCTTCATTCGTGAATTCTACCAAACATTTAAAGAAGAGTTAACACTAATCCTTCTCAAAAGTTTCCAAAAAAGTTTAAGGTAAGGGGACACTTTCAAACTTATTCTTCAAGGCCAAGATTACTCTTTCACCAAAGCAAGACAAAGGTACTACAATAAAATTAAGCTACAGATCAATATCTCTGATAAATACTGATGTAAAAATCCTCAACCAAATATTAGTGAACAGAATTAAGTGACACATCAAAAAAATTATACACATGACCTCGTGGGATTTATTTCTGAAATTCAAGGATAGTTCAACATATGAAAATGAATTAATGTAATAACTACATTAACAGAATGAAGAAACAGTTCCCATGTGATCATCTCAATTGATGGAGAAAAATATTTGACAAAATCCAACACCTTTCCATGATAAAAAACATYCACCAAACTAGGAACAGAAGGAAACTACCTCAACATAATTAAGGCCATATATGGAAAGCCCATTGCTAACATCATACTTAATGATGAAAGATTGAAAACTTTTCTTCTAAGCTAAGACACAAGGGAAGAATGCCTACTTTTAAATTCAGCATAGTAATGGAAATCTTGACCAGATAAATTAGGAAATAAAAAGCATTAAAATTGGGAAATAAAAAGTAAAACGATCCCTTTCATAGATGATGTAATTTCATATGTAGAAAACCCCAAAGATTCCATAAGAAACATGATAGAACTAATAACAAAATTAGCAAACTTACAGAATACTCAGCATACAGAAATTAGCTGTGTTTCTATACAATAACAATGAACAACCTGAAAAAGAAATTAAGAAAGCAATTTCATTTAAAGTGGGACCAAACAAAATAAAAAATAGAAACAAACTGAACCAAGGAGGTGAAAGATGTGTACACTGAAAACTATGAAATATTGCTCAAAGAAATTAAAGACACTACAAAAATAGACATCCTTTGTTCATAGATGAGAAGACCTAAAATTGAAAGATGTGGTCTCTAGATTAAATGCAATTTATCTTAAAATTCCAACATCAATTTTTTTTTACAAAACTAGAAAAATCTATCCTAACATTCATATAGAATCTCAAGGGACCCTAAATAGCAAAAACAATCTTGAAAAAGAACACAGTTGGAGGTCTCACACTTCTTAGTTTCAAAATTTCTAAAAATCTACAGTATTAAAAACAGAGTGGTATTGACGTATAGACAGACACATAGATCAGTGAGATAGAATAGAGAGCCCAGAAATAAACTCTTGTATATATGGCCTTGTGATTTTTTAAAAAGTTGCTAGGACTATCCAATAGGGAAAAGGACAGTCTTTTCAACAAATGTTACTGGGAAAACTGGATAGCCACATGCAAAAGAATGAAGTTGTACCCTTACCTTACACCATATGCAGAAATTAAAAATAGTCAAAGACTTAGATATGAGAGTTAGAATACTCACAAGAAAATGTAGGGGCACAGCTTCATGGCATTGCATTTGGCAAGGATTTCTTGGCTACGACACCGAAAGCATAGGCAACAAAAAAATCAGATAATTGGAACATGTAAATATTAAAAATTTTTGTGAATCAAATGACACTGTCAACAGAGTAAAAGGCAACACACTGAATGGCAGGAAATATTTGTAAATTATATATCTGATAACGGATTACTATCCATATATAAAGAACTCTTGCAATTCAACAACCAAAAAACAACACAATTAAAAAATAGACAAAGGACTTGAATATATATTTCTCCAATGATATACAAATGACCAATAAGTACATGAAAAGATGCTCAACAACATGAATAATTAGGAAAATGCAAATCAAAACCACAGTGAGATACTACACAACTATAGAAACAATATGGTGGTTTCTCAGATTTCACATGATCCAGCAATTACACCTCTGGGTATATACCTCAAAGAATTAAAAGCAGAGCCTCAAAGAGATGTTTCTACACCCATGTCCACAACAGCATTATTCACAATAGTCAAAAGATGGAAGCAACCCAAGTGTCTGTTGACAGATGAATGGATAAACAAAATGTGGCATATCCACAAAATGGAATATTATTTAACCTTAAAAAGGAAAAATAATTAATCCCAGTACTTTGGGAGGCCAAGGCAGGCAGATCACAAGGTCAGGAGTTCGAGACCAGCCTGGCCAACACAGTGAAACCCTGTCTCTGCTAAAAATACAAAAATCAGCTGGGTGTTCTTGTGGGTGCCTGTAATCCCAGCTACTCGGGAGGGTTAAGCAAGAGAATCACTTGAACCTGGGAGACGGAGGTTGCAGTGAGCCGAGATTGTGCCATTGCACTCTAGTAYGGGTGACAGAGCTAGACTCCATCCCGGAAAAAAAAAAAGGAAAAAAATTATTATAACACATGTTACAACATAGGTGTCTCTGAAGATCATTATGCTAAGTGAAATAAGCCAGTCACAAAAGGGTAAATACTGTATGATTCCACCTCCATGAAGTAATTTGAGGAATGAAATTCAGAGACAGGAAGTAGAATGGTGGTTGCCAGCAGCTGGGGGTTGGGGAGAGGAATGGGAAGTTTAGTGTAATGGGCACAAAGTTTCAGTTTTGGAAGATAAAGAAGTTCTGTGGATGGATGGTGGTGATGGTTGCATAACAATGTGAATGTATTTAAAGTCACTGAACCATACACATAAAATGGTAAACCACAAAACAGAAAAAAAAGGCTGTGGTTTTATCACAGAAGTCAATGGCAAAATCTAACTTACTTAGAAATTTGCCATATAACCAAAAATTGAGTAAAAATGAGATGACTTTGGTTTTTCAAAAAACATAAATATAATTTATAATAATGTCTCACCTTCCATAGAAATTTAGTAAGGTAACTCTTCAGAACACAGATGTCTTAGTCTGCTTTGGCCGACATGTCAAAAAACCACAGACTAAGTGGCTTAAACAACCAAATTTTATTATCTCTCAGTTCTGGACATAAGAAGTCCCCAATCAAGGTCTGGCAGAGGCGGTTTCTGGTGAGGGCTCTCCTTTTGGTTGGTAGATGGCTGCTGCCTCACCATGTTCTCACACGGTGGAGACAGAGAGGTCTGGTCTCGCTCTTCTTATAAGGACACTAATCCTATCAGACTTGGGCCTCACTCTTATGAACTCATTTAACCTAATTTTCTCCTAAAGGCTCTATCTCCAAATACAGGTTTATTGAGGGTTAGGGCTTCAACTCATGAATTTCAGGGGGACAAAATTCAGTCCATGTCAACAGAGCATGTCATAGACAAAAAGCCTCTAACAAGTCAGAAGAGATGTCTCAAAGGCCACCATCACATGCCATGTACTCTCGGCCCCTCAGGGGTTGTTTAGTTTTACTCTGGGGTTCTCAACTCCTTATACACAGCAGTTTAGATTCAGGGGAATATCTCTATTGATTTAGGGAAAATCTGGTGATAATAATGGTGGTGATGGTGGTGATGGTGATGGTGATGATGGTGATGCTGGTGATGGTGATGGTGGTGGTGGTTATAATGGTGGTGGTGATGGCAATGATGGTGGTGGTGATGGTGATGATGGTGGTGATGATGGTGATGGTGATGGCGATGATGGTGGTGATGATGGTGGTGGTGATGGCGATGATGGTGGTGATGATGGTGTTGGTGATGGCGATGATGGTGGTGGTGATGGCGATGATGGTGGTGATGATGGTGATGGTGATGATAGTGATGGTGTTGCTGATGGTGACGGTGGTAGTTATGGTGGTGATAATGGTGGTGGTGATGGTGATGGTGGTGTTAGTGATGTTGATGACAGTGATGGTGATGTTGATGGTGGTGGTGGTGATGGTGGTTGTGGTGATGGTGATGATGGTGATGGCAGTGATGACAGTGGTGGGGGTTGTGGTTGTGGTGTTGGTGATAGTGGTGATGTTGGTGATGGTGGTGATGGTGATGATAGTAGTGCTGGTGGTGATGATGATGATAGTGATGGTGGTGCTGATGGTGATAGTGGTGGTGATGGTGGTAGTTATGGTGGTGATAATGGTGGTGGTGATGGTGATGATGGTGATGGTGATGATGTTGATGGTGATGACGTTAATGGTGATGGTGGTAGTGGTGGTTGTGGTGGTGGTGATGGTGTTTATGATGATGGTGGAGAGTTAGGCTGGAGTGTGCTCACTGTAAGACATGGTGAGCCATAGGAAGGAGTCTGGATTTCATGCTAAATGCAATAGGAAACCATTAGAGGACTTTAAAGCTAGGGAATCACTTGTTCTGATTCATTTTTTGACAATATTATTATGGTTATGGATATGGAGAATGCATTGTAGGAGGGCAGAAAAATATATCATGGATTCTAGAAAAGATGGATCTTTGTTTTGTTATTTGTGGAGAAACCACCACCAGGGAAATTTGGCTGTGAAATCTGATGAAGCACAATGAGATTGAATTTACAGAACTGCAGACTCCATCAAGGTCACCTCTAACTCACACGGAGCCTTTCTAAAGAGGGAAGTCACCTCCTGCAGGCCAGTGCTGCCCGCTGGGCATGGCAGGCAGGGCGCAGTCTGCATCTCACTCTACTTGTCCCCTTTGGCAGGCATCCTTGTGTTATAAACAAACCACTTTACACTGTCTGTGTACTTACCTAGGGCCTGCTGATTCCCTGATGGGAAACTAAGCATATTTTGCTAAAGAAAAATGATGGGGCAGGGAGCACTGGTGCCACCCCTGTGTGGGGCTGCCCTCCTCTCTCAGGGATACCCCATGCTGCAATATCCTTGCTGAGGGCAGCATTCTGGAGGGGAAAGAGCAGGTAGGACATATGCCTTTGGGGGTTGAATCCCAGGCCCCTCCCCCAGCAGCTGTGCGATGTTGCGAGTTACATAGATAGCTTCAGATTTGGTCTTCCCATCTGTAGCTTAGAGATGGTAGCATCATTCAGGGCTTTTGCAAGGACTGAAGAATTCAATATATAAAAAGCAGTTAGCAGAGGGGCCGGGCGCAGTGGTTCACGTCTGTAAATTCAGCACTTTGGGAGGTTGAGGTGGGTGGATGACTTGAGGTCAGGAGTTCGGGACCAGCCTGGCCAACGTGGTGAAACCCTGTCTCTACTAAAAATACAAAAATTAGCTGGGTGTGGTGGCGGGTGTCTGTAATCCCAGATACTTGGGTGTCTGAGGCATGAGAATTGCTTGAACCTGGGAAGCGGAGGTTGCAGTGAGCCGAGATCGTGCCACTGCACTCCAGCCTGGGCAACAAGAGCAAAACTGTCTCCAAAAAAAAAAAAAGAAAAAAGAAAAAAAACGGTTAGCAGAGGGCACTCAAAAATGAAGAGAAGCTGTTCAGGCTAACCTTTGTAAGCTAAACTCTGTTCAGCCTCTTCCACTTTCCTTTGGTGTTTTCTCTGCACCCTGGGCATGGTAGGCCACCGAGTCGTTCTGGGAGCGCGAATTTCACGGCATGGGTGTGGCTGGAGGGGTGCTCAGGTGTGCAGGGTTTGGAACGGAAGGTGCCGCAAAGGTACCACCTGGCGCACACCACGAAGCCATGATGATATCGTTCCTGCTGAGTCCAGAGCAGCCTCAGAACCCTTCACGAGCTGCAGACCCTGCCTCCAGCCCATGTCCCATGAAATTAGCATGTCCAATAAAGACAGCTCACCTCTCCTCTTGGAGCGGGTGAGAGAACAGGATCACAGAAGGCAGGTTCCGTGCAACAGGGAGTGAGGATGGGCACAACCTGTGAGCCATTTGTGAACACAGCAAGGAGACAGCTGTCCCACAGGCAGGCGAGGAGGCTGGCTGGAGGCTGAGCCCTAGCCAGAGCAGGCCTGGGAGGCACCAGGTGGATGGGGTAAAAGGGCGGGCAGGGTGAGAAGAGCTGGACTGGGCTCAGTAGGATGGGTCAAGGCTGCTGCCTGCAGGAAGGGAGATGACCAGGCTCGAGTTACAGGTGTTAATGGACAGAGGGTGTTACGCAGGAGGGTTGGCTGCAGCAGGCCAACACTGCACCCCAAACCCCGAGGATGGAAAGTTACTGGGAACTGTCACTCTGGCTTCAATCCACAGCCAGCAGCATTTCTACCCTGTGCATGTGATCACCAGCAGCACCGAGTGACCAAGGTGGAAAGGCAGCTTCTCACCTCTCCTATGCCTGCATCCTGGGCACCACCCGGTTTTCAGAACAGGGCCCCCAAGGTGGAAGCTGAGCTGGGAGCGTAGCTCGTTGTTGCCAAACTGGCCATGGATGTCACTTCTCACATCCCTGTTCCCTGGGCTCTCTCTGGAAAGTTCTTCTCAGTCCACATTTCTTGAGTGCCGGGTCCGGCCCAAAGAGGACAGCTGTGGCTTCTGCCATTTGTGAGAAGTCTGCATTCCAGCGGCAGATGCCCACCCACAGCAGCTGCAGAGCTTCAGGAGGCCAGGCTGGGTTGCAGGCATCAGAAGGAAAAGCCAAGCATTTTCTGCACAAAACAAAGCCACAGCCAGCACCAGCTTTGTCCTACTGGGAGAAACTACTGACTTGAGATCCAGCAACTAGGGGGAGAGGCCTCCGCTCTGGTTTTCCTGGAGTATCTCATATGGGGTGGTCGAGAAGCTGACTGCCTCAGGGGTTCCACGTCCACTGCAGCCCTGCCTCCCAGGTGAACCCTACTCCAAACCTGCCCAGCTCTTAGGCTTTTGCTTTTCAAGGAGCACAGGAGAGAAAGTGGCTGCACTGAAGCTTATCTGACTGTCAGCAGGAAAGAATAAACCACGGTGTGGCCAATGAACATGAGGGGACCTGAGAAATGGAGGGTTTCAGCAACTCAAAGGGAAAGGACACTTCTAAGCTCTGTCCCCAAGCTGAATCTAAATCCAAGAGACGTACACACCTTAATACATGGTTCTGAGAGAAATGGCAGTGAATTTCCAGTTTAGGAACTGGAGTTGAGTTTCATTACGTAATTTCTTTCTTCCAATCCCTAACAGACAATTTTTAGAAGCAGTGGAAACAAACAAACATACATTAATAAGCAAGAGGTTTCCAGGAGCCACGGAAAAGTCGAGTGCACTGTCATGCCCTGAACTTTAACAGTGGCTGCTGTTGCCTGCGTTTCCATGGCATGGCTGGGTCCTGCCCTGGGCCTTGGGAACTGATTTAGGGACAGGAGGGCAGTTGGTAAAATCCTGAGAATTCACATTACAATCCTGCAGTTTAAAGAGAACTGCACTCTGGGTGGTGAGGAGGCAGCCTAGGGGAGAAGCAGGAAGAAACCTTGGCAAGGAAAGGCCCTGGGACCTCAGGGCTGCAGTGGAGGGGGCTGGTGGCTCCAAGGAAATGGACCAAGCCCAGGTCTTTAAAGCCAACCAAAGCTGAGTTCCTGGAAAGACCTCACACCAGCCACCTCTCCCCATCAAAAGTGCCCAGAAGGCTAGTCTGGGCAGATGTGTGATCAGTGCTGATGACAGCCCCTCTACCTCCAAGACCAATGCTGCACCCTGACCACATCCCCATGGTCTGCTCCAGGAGCACGAGTCCCCCACACTCACCTTCACTTGCTCGCTCTGCTGTCCAGCCTGGATCTGCCTGCCCTCCCAACTTCTCCTTCCCTGAGCCTGTGCACTGGGCCCTCGGACATCCCCATCAGCCAACCCCTCCTCTCCCCTGAATGCCGCTTCAGCTGCTTGTCCTTGTTGACCCTTGGCTAGCTTTGATGGTCATTGCGTCCCCTGGGGCTCTCATTGGATAGACCTGGAGAGGCCAATGGCCTTGCTTCTTGATGGACCTTCCAGAACATTCTCTTCCCACTAATCCTGAGGGCCTTTGAAGCCTCGGCTCCCTGCTAAGGCACCTGTCACACTGCCTCGTTCTTCGAAAAGGTGAGCACCTGGCCCACTGCCTCGGTTGCCTCCATTGAGTGTCCACCATTCTCGACAACCCTCTTCCACCCAGGCCTCACATTTCCAGGACCTTCCATTTTCAGTGGTACCTCCTCCTGCCATTTACTTAAGGCTCTTCAGAGGAACAGAACCAACAGGGTGCATACATAAATCAACAAATGAATAAACGCACATACACAGAAAGGGAGAGACATGTCATGAGCAGCAGCTTGTGAGATTATGGAGGCTGACCAGTCCCAAGACCTGTGGCCATTGAGCTGAAGTTCCTGGAGGGCTGAAGGGGAGAGTTTCAGCTTGAAGGTCGGCAGGCTTGAGTCCCAGGAAGAGCCATGTTTCAGTTTGCGTCCAGAGGCAGGAAACAGATGAACTTCCCAGCTCCAGGCAGTCAGAAGGAGGAGCTCTTCGTTCTGGGAGAGAGCCTGCGTGTTGTGCTGTTCTGGTCCTCTGCTGATTGGATGAGGCCCACTCACACTGGGGAGGGCAGCCAGCTTCCTTCGGTTCTGATTCAAATACTATTCCCATATGAAAATCCCTCCATGGGCAAGTGCAGAATAACACTGAGCAAATATCTGGGCACCTGTGGCCCAGTCAAGTTGATGCCACCCTAGACCTTATACCGCATTTTACCTTTCACTGCTACCTGTGCCCCCCTCCCCCACCTTTGATCTCTGGAGCTCACTGACCCCACTGCATAGCACTGGCCTTTGCCCTCTCTTTGACCTCACCATCCAATTAGTGTCTGAGGTCACCCAGCAGCTTGGTCTCTTCCCCAGAAATTCTACTTCCATCTTTGCACCTAGCCATCAACCCCACCTAGAAAGACCCCAGCCCAGGGGACAGTTTGCATTCAGCCTCTTCCCCACCTGTGCCTGAAGCCCCAGTGTGGCTAGAAATGAGGGCCAGCTGTCCTGAGAACTCATCTCAGGTCTCCACAACGTCCTCCAGGCCCCAGAGATGGGTGCTTCACGCCCCCCACCATTGCTCCACACCTGCCCTCATTAAGCTTCCAGCACGGGCCCCTCTTTACCCTCTGCTCAGCATCTCTTCTATTTCACCAGGAAAACAGGAATGTCAGCAGAACACTGCTCTGCTTGTCACCTCCCAATATGCCACTCTCCCTCACTGGGCACATTCTGGTCCTCTGGGCTGTTTGTCATTCACCAATGACTCACTGCCTTAATTGTTAGAACTTTATGGTCATTCGTATTATAGAATAAGGCAAGACAACACCTTGAGTTTTCTTGTTCCTTTGCTCGTACAAAATCATTAAAAGAGATTATAGCAAAGCCAAAGCAAGAATTGAAAACCGATAAAGTGGTACAAAAGGTATTAAAGAAGAATACATAAATAAGATGTCTTATTGATGAAGCTGGAATAAACCTATCAGCAATCCTGATAAATGGGAAGGGTCCCTCCATACTCATGAGGCTGTGGCTCTCTGTGCTACAAAACTAAGTGCAAGTCATTGAGTTTGTAAGAGAAAACAAACAACATGAGAGATAAGGACGTTAGAAGAGAATTGTTTTCTTCCTAAGTCCATGTTCTCTAGAGGACAGTGTGGGGATATTATTAGTATTAGATTAAGAAAACTTCAAGGTCAACAACATTAAGCAGAATAAAGAGGCACATTTTATTTTGCTAAATGAAGATTTAAGTCTTTCTGGACTTTCTCAGTTTGAGAATTCCTCCTAAACCAAACCCTGAGATGAGGGTCTAGCGGGGCGTGGTTTATCTGAGAGACAATCCTGAAAGCAGGGTGAGGACAGGAAATGTGGACAGGGTTGGGGGAGGCCAACACACAGGCTTTATTAGGGTTCTTATGAAAATACGTATCATAAGCATTTGGCTTATGATTACAGAGGGTAACACACCCCAGGATCTGCACTTGTCAGGCTGGGGACCCAGGAAAGCTGACAGTGCAAGCTCCAGTCTGAAGCCCGGAGAAGATGGATGTCCCAGCTCATGCAGGCAGACAGAGTTCTTCCTCCACCTTTCTCTTTTATTCAAGCCCTCAACAGATTGGATGAGGCCACCCATATTGGGGAAGATGATCTACCTCCTGAGTCTACCAATTCAAATGCTAATCTCTTCTGGACACACACTCTCAGACACACCCAGAAATTATGTTTAGTCAGAGGTCCATCCAGCCAAGTTTACCTACAGCATTCACCATCACAGGGTGTATGGGGGTGAGCTGGGGGCAGCTGGGGCACGGTAGCCTGGGGTAGCTTGGTAGCCCTGCATGGTCCTGTTGGAGGGTGGACACTGGACTGTTTATTGACCTGACCCCCTGGCTGCGGGCTGTCCCTGGGGACGCTGGCTGCCTCACACTGATGAGCGTGAGAAGCTGCTCACATGGCGTCAGTGTACTTGATGAGCTGGGGATGTGCAGAAAGCTGTCCTGCACGGCTGCACAGGCCCAGGTGTGTGTGGATGTTGTGTGGGCGCTGCCTGCGTCTGCGCGGACCCGGGTGTGTGTGGATGTTGTGTGGGCGCTGCCTGCCTCTGCTGTCACAGCCACAACATCATCTGAACCCCACCATAGAATGTGTTGAAAACAGAAAGGAAAATGCTTCAAATAACCTAATGGGAAAATTTTTAAAAAAAAAACCATTGAGTTGAATAGAAATAAAATAGACAAAAATAAACATCTTAGGAACATTAGTAGAACTCAAGTGGTATGTAATGTGATGTAGTAGAAAGAGCTTCGTAATTAGACTAAGATTTGAACTCTCTACTTTCTGATGGTGAGATCTTAGCCAAGTTGCTTAACATCTGAACCTCAGCTTCCTCATTAAAATGAACATAAAGATGCCTACTTTAAAAGGCTGACATGCAAATTAAATTAAATAAGAAAATTCACATAAAGCACAGTAATAGCACTTGGAATTTGAGACATGTCTCAGTAGAATATAATCATGGGGATAGCTATTATTATTCAGTATTCAAAACTTTTAATCTTACAATCAGAACTATCCCTTTCTTTAAAGTTTCACTGAATTTTGCTTTAAAAATGTGATCCTATTAGAACTTAAAAAAAGCACAGCTAAAATAAAAGGACACTGTCACATTCCCAGATGATGAAGCACCAAACGCAAATACCACAAAAGGTGTAAAAATGATGATTTTCAAAGTGAATTTTATTTTGAGAACTGCTTTGTCATATATTTGTTTGTAATTTTTGTGTTATATTTTAAATTTTACAACTATTTCACAATTATGTGTTAGATTTACACTTTGATCTATGTACGGAACTCAAGAAGCTGGTGAAAAAAATAGCTGGAAATATAAATGTTAGATATAAGAAGAATTAATTAGTAAAGAGAAAGAGAGAAATTAATCATCTAGAGGCACTGAAAGTTTACAATAGTTAAATAAATCCACTATCATTTTTACTGGCTTAAAGATACATTGCAATACAGGGAAGAGAGAGCAGGCAAAATTAGAAATGAGGGAGCAGGTGTAATGACAGCATGTGAGCAGAGTTTTGTTCTTTTTTTAAAAAGAAAATGTTATGCAGAGAGAAATGCTATTGTATTACATTTGAAAAGTGTGAAGACTTCTCTGAAAAAGAGGATTTTTTTCAAAATTATACTAAAAATTTGAGAACTTGAAAAATTAACTAATGATAAACAGATTTTATAAATTTCATTACACAGTCACCTCTAAAAATGCCCCAGTTCCAGACGATAAAGAGAAAGTTCTTTCAAAATTTCAGGAAGCTGAGAATTCATGTTATACAATCTGTCCCCAAGAACAGAAAAAGATGGGAAGCTGACCAATTCATTAAAGATCAATGCACTTATGAAATCAATATTTAAAAAATACACTACTCTCTCACAATACTCTCTCTGCCAATCATTCACATAATGCACATAGTGTGACTCCACACCCACCCGTGTGCACGTATGCTTTGGAAGCATCACTAAGCTTATGTCAGAAGAAGTTAAGCCTTTGCATCATGGTATACACTAAAATAAATCCCTGAAATACTCTAGAGTTACATGTGGAAAAAAGACAAGCAAAACAGAAACATAGATAACTAGCTGACTTGTCTCAGAGCGACATAGCATTTGGGAGGAGAAAAAAAAGTTCTTAGAAAGTAAAAAGTGATAGAAGAATAGCAACAAGCAACAAAAAATCTCCAGGCTTTGCAACTGTCTATTGAACCTCAAAACCTAAGTTTTTTCATCTGCAAAGTGGGATTGTAATGGTGCCCCCCTTGCTAGATTGTTGGCGTAATGCCCGGCACAAGACTATCAGTAAGAGTCAATTACTTCCAAGGGTCAGAATCTGTATAACGAACACAACTTATAGATATGACAAATATTTCATTAATTTTTAGATTTAGAATAGTAAAATAACTAAAAATAACCTGTCTAAAGCAGAAGGATTAAATAAGCTGTTGAATTTAAAACAAGCATTAAACTATATTTTTGATGTATGTTAAATGACATAAGAAAAAACAAGTAATATGTTGCGTGAAAAAAATACTAAACAGCATTATTCTAATTTTATGAGTACATTTACAAACAGAAACACACAAAACTGGAAGGAATTATTTCTTGGGAGCAAGACTATCAAGTACTTTGATTTTCTTCAGACTATTTTACATTTCCTATATTACTGACAATGAGCATGTATGTGTTAATTTGATTATTAGATAAACACTCTAAATCTAATGAAATAGCACTGATGCAAGATTTTCATAAATGAGGACTATGATATTTTTATGTTAAAAATAAAAAATACAGGGGGTCCATTCCAAGATGGCTGAACAGGAACAGCTCCGCTCTGCAGCTCCCGGCGTGATTGATGCAGAAGACAGGTGATTTCTGCATTTCCAACTGAGGTACCTGGTTCATCTCATTGGGACTGGTTGGACAGTGGGTGCAGCCCACAGAGGGTGAGCCAAAGTAGGGCAGGGCATCACCTTCCCTGGGAAGCACAGGGGGTTGGGGGATTTCCCTTTCCTCACCAAGGGAAACTGTGACAGACTGTACCTGGACAAATGGGACACGTCCACCCAAATGCTGTGCTTTTCCCAAGGTCTTAGCAACTGGCAGATGAGGAGATTCTCTCCCATGCCCAGCTCGGCAGGTCCCATGCCCACGGAGCCTTGCTCACGGCTAGCACAGCAGTCCGAGACTGAACTGCCAGGTGGCAGCCTAGCTGGGGAGGGGCGTCCACCATTGCTGAAGCTTGAGTAGGTAAACAAAGCGGCCAGGAAGCTCAAACTGGGTGGAGCCCACCACAGCTCAACAAGGCCTGCCTGCCTCTGTAGACTCCACCTCTGGGGGCAGGGCATAGCTGAACAAAAGGCAGCAGAAACTTCTGCAAACTTAAATGTCCCTGTCTGACAGCTCCGAAGAGAGCAGTGGTTCTCCCAGCATGGTGTTTGAGCTCTGAGAACAGAGAGACTGCCTCCTCAAGTGGGTCCCTGACCCCCGTATAGCCTAACTGGGAGACACCTCCCAGTAGGGGCTGACTGACACCTCACACAGCCAGGTGCCCCTCTGAGATGAAGCTTCCAGAGGAAGGATCAGGCAGCAATATTTGCTGTTCTACAGCCTCCGCTGGTGATACCCAGGCAAACAGGCAAGGCAAGGGTGTGGGGAGGCTGGTGAGGTCTTCTTCTCTCCAATATCCTAGGCCAGGCCATATGGCTGTGCAATGTGTTTCCCTGAACAATACAGTTGATCCTGTGCACCCTGAACTTCTCAGAACGGAGATTTGCGATTCCCTGAAATTGCTAAACTGCTCTATGAGAAAGATATTTCCTGCAGCATTGTATATAAATCTGGCTTCTGACCCATATTCTGCAAAGGCATTTCTGGCATTTCTAGTGTAGCTCTACAGCCTGACACCCTGGAGGATGTTACTGCTGCTTCTCCTGCCCAGATGCCAGCCTTAGATGTCCTGGGCTCACCTATCCCCATTGAGATATGCTTGCAGCCTGTGTGGGGCTCAGAGGCTCCATCATTGCAGCTGGGATTTCCCCCCTGGAAGAGGTCATGGGCAAGTCTCTCTATCAGAAATCCACCCCAGGGCAAACGCCGCTGCGGGGCCTGAAGTTCCAGCTCCCCATCTAACTGACTCATCTGAGACATGCTTCCCAGGGAAAGGCCAAAGGCAGTGGGCCCCATGGGAAGAGCTCCTTGCTCTGACATTTTCTGCTTTTTTGGAAAAAGTCCACTGGGCCATAGCTTAGAACCATCCTGTTGGTCCTCGAAGCTGGAGCTTCTGTAAAGATGCACAAAAAATTGTCCCTGGACTTGCTGCGAGCACAGATTCTTAGTGGTCCTGCCTGGCAACGGACCGTGAAAAGCCAGGACCCACCCTCCTTACAGGTGATGCGGTCTAGGCTAGAAGGTCCTGGGCTCACCTCATCTCTGCCTGAGCTGCTTCTGGCTCCAGCCCCCTCCCCTGCCTTCCCTCACACCACTTAGGGTGGGCACAGGGCGTGTCCTCCCAGTGGGACAGAGCAGGTCCTGGTGTCTGGGATCTCCAGGGTGGAAACCTGTCTTTGTCTAAAGAATGAACATCAGGGAAGCATGGCTCTAACGAGGTGGCTCACTCACAGCAGGCCACAGCAGCTGTGCCTGAGATTGCAGCCTCTCGTGTCTGATGGAGAGGAGACTCTCGCCCATCCAGGGGAAAGGGCTCTGGGGAATTCTGTGCAGCTGCAGATGGGGAAGAAACCCAGGCAATCCCATCCACTTCCTCACTCTGCGTTGTTTCTTTATGCTACACCTTCGGCAGGAGGGCCCCCTAGTCCCTCCTTTGGGGAGCAGGACAGCTTAAGGGTTTGAAAGCACCCAAGGGTCTGGGAGAGGAGTCACAGCTGTGTGAGCCAGGAGCCCTCCCCATCACCACATGGCTGGGCCGGCTGAGAGAGGCTCTCAGTGCAGAGCTGAATTGTCATATCCCCCGTCCCCAAGGCCTAGGCTGGGCCTGCCTTCCAGGGGGCTGAAATATGGACACCCTTTGGGAAAGGCACAGCCAGGACAAGGGAGTTGTGACAGTGGGAGTCCAAGGTGGAGGACGGCCCCTCCTCAGGCCATGCTCTGTCTGGCAGGTCACTGGGACAGTAGGCAGGTCCAATTCTGCAGCCAGCCTTCCACAGGCAGTACTGGGGCCTCCCGGGGTTTCCTCAGCCCAGGGCCCACGCAGAGAGCCTGCCGTCAGAGCCACATTCAGGGCTGGAGGGTGCATATGTCTAGAGCCACCCTCCAGAAAGCGAGGCGTAGTCGTGTTGGGTCGAAACCCCCATTCTTGCGATTCAGCTCACCGACGAGGCTGCTGTCGGCCGGGTTTGGGCAAACAAAACCTAACCCCAGAAAAGGAATAATGGTTGGATCTGAGGCCTGAGACAGGAGCAGACAGCCCTGCTCAGCCCTGAGGCCACTACCAATGGGTTCATCTCCAGCAGACAAAAATAGGAGCTGCTTGCTGGCCTAGCAGGCTAGGAAGAGAACTTAGCGTATTCATGTGGGATAGACTGCACCAGACGCTTGACAAAGTCTAGAGCATAATGGAGAGGTCTGTTAGAATGGATTCGGCTGTATCTCATTTAAGGAAATATGAAACAGCAATTCCAAGCACGCTGCTTGGTGCACTCTGGATACGATACACACAGCTGTGCACTGGAAAGCAAAAGGGGCTTTTCTACCATCCAGCTTCAATCACAGAGGTCATCAGCCCAGCTAGCCGGCTGATGGCCTGCGCCTGCAGAGTGCGGCTCTTCCTCTGAACCCAATGACATCGATGGTCGGCAGGAGTATGTCAGTGAGCTGAGACATTCGTATGATTTAGATTTTTTATAAGCGACATAAACGGCCATACGGAATTTAAATTAAGAGAAGCTCTCTGTTTCCACAGTTCATATTTTGGAGTTGTGCCTTATTTACATACGAAATTACATTTGGGTCTTATTTGCATATCACATTGACAAAATGTTATTTCCAACAGCGGTGGTAAAGTTAGCAGCAACAGAGACTGAGCACATCAAACATCTTCCAACCCAATGGAGCAGGGAGCACCAGCTTCCCGGGATCCCGGGCGAGATGCTGACTTCATGCCACGGAGTCATTCTGTTCCTGTGTGCAGGCACAGGAGTCCCCGCTGTAGGTCTCTGGCAGGGATGGGGCAGGTTTCACCCCGTGCAGAAAGCAGTTCACTACAGGCCGTGTGTGTCTAACTCGGTGGACAATAATCCTGCAATGGTGTCCTCACAACTAGATGTTTGAGTCATGAGATTTTTACAGGGATTTTCTGCTTGTTGTTCCAAGAAGCCTCCAGAGACCCTTCTAGATGATCAGGCCCAGGAGGAGGTGAGGCGGCCAGATCGCCTCGGCCTTGCTCTCGCCCTGACCGTGGCCAGTGGACTCCCACGGAGGGCTGGGCCCAGGCCGCCCCAGAAGCGGCTCCCAGGATGTGTGGGGAAAGGAAGCTGTGGGCTTCTCGCAGAGGCTCTGCGGGAACCAGGAGGCGGCTGCTGCTTCTGCCCATGCGAGGCCGAAAAGAAAGCCCCCGCTTCTCTCTGCATCCCTGGCTCTCCCTCCAGCAGCCCCCCAGGAATGAGGCCCCCACCCATGGAAGCCCAGAGCTGGTGGCGGCTCAAGCGACTGGTCTGCAGAACAAGAGGAAGGATGGGGCGTCCTGCTCCCTACTGAGGACTTGCTCCCGGGGCTCCGCGCTGAGCTCCACAGAGCAGGGACGGGACTCTCTGCCTGGCGGTGGGCGCTGGGAGCCCCAGGGTGGGACCACGGCAGCAGGGCCAGGAGCAGTGGCCTGTTATGCCTGGGGTGTCCACACCAGCCCTGGACCCTCATGGCTACATGGGGCGGCCAGACAGGCTGGGAAGGAACCCACCCAACAGCAAACCCAAGCGCTCAGCCGAGGGGCGCAGCGGGGGCTTCCTCCTCAGGGTCCAGCCCCTGCCCCATTTATCTGCCCAGCCAGCCCCATCTGTCCCCTCAGGGAGCTCTCCAGCCTCCTCCTCATCCCAGGCCCACTTCACGGTGGAGGAGAAAGAATGAAGGGAAGGAGTCTCTCAGGGGAAGCTAGGGCCAGCTGGGCCGCTTTTCTTTAGTTTCATTTTAAATTAATTAATTAATTAATATTTTCAATGGACAAATTAAAATTGTATGTACTTATGGTATACAACGTGATATTTTGAAACCCATGTACATTGTGGCATGGCTGGATCAAGCTAATTACCCTATGTGTGACCTCATATGCTTCTCATGATTTGTGATGAGAACGCAAAATCCACTCTCAGGATCTTGCAGAGATTAACACATTGTTATTGTCATAACCGTGGTCACCACGTGCACTGCAGACCTCTGAGCTCACTCCTGCTATCTCACAGAAGCTCTATATCCTTTGACCACCATCTCCCCATGCCCCAACCCCCACCCACCCCGCTCCTCCTCTCTCTTCCTGAGGTTGGCTGTGGCGGATCCCACAGCTCCGCGACATCCTGTAGTTTGTTGTTCTGTGCCCGGCTTGTTTCCCCACCATCCTTCTGAGGCACTTTGTCCCACCCTCGAGAAGGGGCCAACGTCAGGGGCCAGAGGCATCTCCCAGATGTTTTCACAAATGAGTTACAGTGACTTCAAATGGAATAGAGTTTCTGGTGTCTTCCTCTGATCATGTGATGATCCTAGTGACTTGGGGACAGCAGGGAGGCTCTCTGGGGCCCAGCCTCTCCAAGGGTCCCCCGAAACCTCAAAACCCAAGACTCCCACTGAGGTTACCCTCCCCCCATCTTCCTTCCCTACTGTGCCATGCACACCTCAGAGGCACGAGTGGTCTTTGCGTGGATTCACCGCTCAGCGCAGGGCCTGGGGGTCTCTGCTGGAAGAATGGACGAGGGGTGGGCACTTGGACCATGCGCCTTCTGCGTGTCAGTGGCTCCTCCTTTCCACGTGTGCCTGTCCCTGCTGGTGAGACGCTCTCCAGCCGCTGCAGGAGAAGAGCCCCCAGCCCCACCCCAGGCGCCCTGTGCCACTGCAATGGGGATGGACACCCTGGGCCTTGATTTCCGTGTTTGTTGGCGTCTCTCCAGCTGGACTCAGAGCTCCATGAGGACAAAGGTGCTGCCTGCTAAGCTTCCATCTCCTAGGCCAGAGTCACACCGCTTGTTAGCAGGCTCTGATTCTCATGGTTTTTACAGAAACGGGGATAGATTTCTGTATCTAATCTCCTCCCTGGCCCTTGGTCCCAGGGCAGGCAGGCAGGGCAGGCAGGTTGAGCCCCTGGCACATAAAACCTGGCAGATGGGTGGACGGGAACCACCGCACCCCCAACCCCACCGTCTTCCTCTTTCATCAGCTTCACAGCCCGTGGGTCACCAAGTGCCTGTACTGAAAACACACGAGCCTTGACTGTCCCGATTCTCGGTAAACACGCCCAGCCGAGGGCTTAGCTCCTTGGTATCCTAGCAGCTGCTCTCTGCTTTTAGATCCTAAAAATCAGGTAACTGGTGATTCCCTGTCTCAGAAAACCTCATCACCAGCTATTTTTATAAACGACCAGGCTTGTGAGGAACAAGATTGAACTTTCCGGCTGAGAAAATCCATCTTTTGATCGGTGGGAGTTCTTCCCTTTGGGACTCCAAATAGGAACTGAAGTTCCGGAAAAGAAAACCTTTATTTCCTTTGTGCAAAAGCTTCTCCCTGTGTTTCACTGTAGCCAGAAATCTCTCAATCTCTTGCAAATCCAAGATGATTCCAATCTGGCACTGCTCTGTGCTGACATTCTCCCAGGAGCTGCTTTCTCCAGGAACCTGCCAATTAGAGCCGGCCCTTTCCCTCTGCCCTGGCAGGGGTGGGTCAGCCCACAGCACCCTCCGGCACCCAATCCTCCTGGTGCTTAAAAAATTGATATTTTAAATGAATACATAATCAATGCACATATTTTGGGGTACATGTGATAATTTTATACATTCATATAATGTGGAAAGATCAAACCAGGGTAACTGGTGTATCTATCACCTTAAATATTTGTCTTTATGCTAGAAACGTCTGAGTTATTCCCTTCTAGCTATTTTGAAGTATACAATAGCTTACTGTAAACTATGGTTGCCCTACTGATCTGTCGAACCCCAGGTCTCATTTCTTCTATCTGTATACCTGTACCCATGAATCAACCTCTCCTCACTCCCTCCCTTCTCTTTCCAGCCTCGTAACCACCAATCACTCTGCATCTTCAGGAGCTCCACCTTTTCAGCTCCCACAGAGGGCTGAGAACATGTGAAGTCTGTCTTTCTGTGCTGGCTTATTTCACTTAGCACGGTGACCTCCAGTTCTGTCCGTGTTGCAAATGCCCGGATCCCATCCTTTCTAGAGCTGAGTGGTATTTCATTGTGCATATGTACCACGTTTTCTTTATCCCCTCTATCCTGCGGTTTTGGTGCATGTCCCAGCACTGGCCCAGCAGACTGTGGGACCCACTGGCTGGCGGGGAGGGGTTTCTAAGATGTTGCTCTCGGGACCTGTGTGGGGTCTTCCTATTCCATTCAGCACTGGGCCGAGGACTTCCCCGAGGCACTCCTGCCACTGGCCTACCTTTGTTCCCATCTGCATCCCGCAGCGTGGGCTGTGCACGTGGCCTCTGCGCCTCCCCTGCCGGCTTTCTCCCTCAGCCTCTCCCGCTCTGCTCCTGGCTGCTCAGGAGCCAAACTCTGTCATCAGGCGGCCCCAACCAGACACAGCTGGGAATCTTCCAGCATGGACTTTCCTCTCCTGGCCAGTGGCTGGCCCGGAGAGCGGCTTCGGGTACTGTGAAGGGCTCAGGTTCTGGGCGTTTGTCCTGTGGCCGCACATGCGAAGTCCTGCCAGATTGTGGAACAGCTTCAACACTGCAGGGCACTGGCTGTGGGCACCTCGGATGCTGGCCGGCCTGTGAGGAGTGGGGCGGCCCAGCACGCTGAACTTGCGTGATCAGAGGTTGAGTTTCCCAACCTTGACTCAGCAGAGCAGCTCGGGAAACGACGCAGGTTGTGAGCCGTGGTGTTGGCTCGAGAGCTTCCTGCGTGGGATAGGGAGCAGCCCTGTCCACTCCAGAAGTGAGGGGGTCAGATTTTGTTTGGAAAGTGCCATCACAGGGGCCCGCAGGCTGGTCAGCGCTCACTGCTGGCTGCTGCGCCCTCCCGGCTGCAGCCTTCATCCTGGCCTCCTGCCGTGGCTGCCCCTCCTGGCTCCTCCCCGAGGCCCAGCAGATGTGCCCTCTGGAGCTTGCCCTGACCTGCACTCTCTGCCTCTGGGCAGGGGTGGCCGCTGAGTCCTCAGCGCCCTGGGATACTTCATACGAGCTTGGTGTGCACTCAGTTGTAGCCATTGGTATGTCTGGCCCGGGGCTCAGAGTCTGTCAAGTGAGGAGACTTATTTTTATCTTACTGTCAGAGGCTGGCACAGATGTGGACGGCTTTCTAGATTGAGTTTCCAGGAGCCTGCCATTCTATTATCCTCTGAAAACCATGAATTACTGTCCACACCCTTCCCGTGTGGACCTGTGCGGTCCGTCTTTCCAACTTGTGGAGTGTTGAGCTCTGGAGCGAGTCCTCGCCACACGCAGGTCTTGCTCACACTTCCCAACACCCGGCAAGGCAGGGCTACATCTTCAGTTTTTATTTTAGGAAGCAGGGACTAAGAGAGATTGAGATACTTTAGAGGGTCACAGAGCTCTGAGTCAGGACCTCTGAGCCTACCTGTCACCTCCTGCACTGCACTGGTCTCCAGCAGGGTCAATCTGTCCCCCTGCAGCTGGATGGGAAGGTGGGGGCTGGTGAGTGGGGGGTGTGGAGCTGGCTGGGCAGACCCTCCCCTACCTTCCAGCTGTGAGCCTGTGGTTGCAACTGGTCTCCAGCAGGGTCAATCTGTCCCCCTGAAGCTGGAGGGGAAGGTGGGGGTTGGTGGGTGGAGGATGTGGAGTCAGCTGGGCAGACCCTCCCCTACCTCCCAGCTGTGAGCCTGTGGTTGCAGGCTGTGGCCTCCTACCTGTGTGGCCAGGTCACTTGCTGCCCTCACAGCCTCTCCACACAGACGCCAAAGGTCTCCTTTCCTCCTGGGCTCTGCCCTGACATTACTTCATTGGTCTTACCCAAGACCCGTCCTGCCTGAGCCCCATTCTCTCCCTTTCCCAGGATGGCAGCTGAATGGCTGGATGGGATCTGAAGTCTCCCTTTCCCAGGATGGCAGCTGAATGGCTGGATGGGATCCCGTCTGGCGGTTACCAAGCATGGTCCCTGCCTCCTGCTTCTCCATCAGGTGAGGAAATACATTCTTGGTGGGGCTTCCTTCTGGCCAAGAGAGGCGCAGACCCTGGGCCGAGGTGGGGCTTCCACTCTTTCGTGACCTTGGCAATGCTCAGGCTCCTGTTCCCAGCTGCATTTCCCACCAGTGTGAGGATGTGAGCCAGCGAACATACCATGTGTCACAGCCTCCATTGGGGTGAGCCACGCAGGGGCTGGCGGGGAGCTCTGCCAGCCCATGCAGCTCCTCCTGCCGGCTTGACCGGCTCACACTGGCTCACGGGAGGGGCTTTTAAAACTTTCATTTATTTGTTTATAATCTGACTTGTTTAATGCTTTGACTTCAGTTATGAATTGAAATAAAAATATGTGATGCTGGATTATTTGTTTAATCTGGTGTTTTTCAAAGTGAAGAGAAGCCCAGTTCTTTTTTTTTTTTTTTTTTTTTTTTTTGAGACGGAGTCTTGCTGTGTCGCCCAGGCTGGAGTGCAGTGGCATGATCTCGGCTCACTGCAAGCTCTGCCTCCTGGGTTCACGCCATTCTCCTGCCTCAGCCTCCCGAGTAGCTGGGACTACAGGCGCCCACCACCACGCCTGGCTAATTTTTTGTATTTTTAGTAGCCGGGCATGGTGGCTCACTCCTGTAATCCCAGCACTTTAGGAGGCCGAGGTGGGCAGATCATGAGGTCAGGAGATTGAGACCCCGCTGGCTAAGATGGTGAAACCCCATCTCCACTAAAAATACAAAAAAAAAATTAGCTGGGTGTGGTGGCGGGTGCCTATAAACCCAGCTACTCGGGAGGCTGAGGTAGGAGAATCGCTTGAACCCAGGAGGCAGAAGTTGCAGTGAGCCGAGATTGCACCACTGCACTCCAGCTTGGGTGACAGTGAGACTCCATCAAAAAATAAATAAATACATAAAAATAAAAAAATGAGAGGAAAAGAAAGACCAATTTGAGAAAGAACGTCAGCTTTCTGGTAATCCTGAAAAAGGAGTGTAAAGATAATTTTCCACTTCTGGTTAAAAAAAAATGGGGAGAGAAAAAAGTCATAGCAACGTGGTGCTTACAACATCGCAAAGAATTTAAATTCCAGAGCCAGGGGGCTAAAGCAGCTTTAACAACCAGAATTTCTTTAAAAATGTTTACCCATTAAGCTTGTGGATCAAGTTCTTAAAATCCAGCTTCACAAATAGCTTGCTGATATAGTGTTATTTTTTCATCAAAATGGAGATACTTAGATGTGGGCATTAGTAGCTTATTGAAAGACAGACATAACAAGGGATTTCAATCTTGTCCTAAAAGTAAAAGTAAATCCTCCAGCACAATCCTCTCATTCCAGGTTCCTGAGAGCTGGGTGGGGCTCTTCTCCAGCAGAAATAAAAAGAGTTGGAGTCGATCCAGCGTCTTGGCTCCCTTGGGTGCTTCTGGGCTGGCTTGGTTGCCATTCTTGTTTCCGAAGCCCACCTCCGCTTCGGAAGGATTCTAGGAATATCATGATGATTTTGGCATTGACATGGCTGTTCCTGTGGAGAAGAGCTTGGGGGGTTTGGGGTTGTCCGGTCTTGGTACCCCTGGCCCCACCTCATTCACGGGATCCTTGTGTGTCAGGCAGGCTTCTCCCAAGTACATAGGTACAGGGTTTTAGCTTCCCAGGTACAACCCACCCAGGATGTCCCCTAAGCCCCCCATTGTGGCAGCCGCATCCCTCAGGAGACATGACTGTGATCCCAGGCTGCAATGAAAACACACAGACAGACAAGAAATCCATTTGCTTGACTCTGTTTTAACCTCCAACGCCCTTTTATTTCAAAACGCCAGAATTTGTTTGAATCCAGCCTCCTTGTGTGGCACCTTCCTGGGCACTTCCTGTTTTTTCCTCCTTTTCTTTCTAATTTTTCTCTCTCCTCATTTGCATACCCCTCAAAAAGAGTGTTTGCTTTCCAGGAACACGGTGGTGGTCTTCCCAGTGGGGCCCGCAGGAGTGTGCACGGATGTCCACAGCTGCTGTAATGTTTGCCTCTGAAGCCAGAGTACGCATCGTGGGGTGCTATCGCTGTGCGCCTCTGCAGAGCCCAACAGTTCAGACTTCAAAACTTCAGGGCCGTGGCCTGGGATTCAGGCGGAAGAGACAGAGTATTTGATAATTCATCCAGTTACACTGCCCTTCTGTAGCGAGCTGCCGAACTGGACCCTGGAGGACATTTGCACAGATGCTCATGTAGGTAAATTTGATTGGTTCATGAATTATTTCTATACTGTGAATTTTTCAAAGCAAAGGTGGAAGCTGATAGTTCTTTACTTAGTGCTAAACGTTCAACCTTTAGCTTCTGTGTGGGCTAAATACGGTGATTACCCAAATGGGAAGAACATGCACGCCAGAGCCATGTTGGCACGGATTCAAAACGTGACCCAGAATTTGGCAGAGGTGTTTGTGGGCGAGGCACCAGCATCTCTGGTGCTCTCTCTGAAGGGAGCATGGTGAATCCTACATGGAGTCCTGAGGATGGAAGCTGATCAGCCACAGAGTGTTGGAGAGGATGCTGGACATGCTACAAGCGTCCAGTCAGGGCCCAGCCTGCGTGGGACCAGTTGGGCTTTAAGGACTGAGGAGGGGTCTCTATAGACGCATCCAGGGGGTTCTGGTTCCATCCAATGCCCCAGCCAAGGCCAGGGTCCTCCCACGTCCCTCCATCAATTCCTGACTGGGGGCGTTTTTTTGCCTGGCCTGGCTTCCCTCTTCAGGCAGTGGCAGGGCCTGTCTCCCTGTTCATGCTCCTTTTCTTTTTTAGTGGGTGAATAACCTATAGATGAAGACTAGCTTCCTGTGTGGCCGATCTGGACAGGTGAATTCCGCAGCTTCCTGTGTGTCTGGGTGTGGGCAGTGCCTCAGGTGGGCCCGCAGGTGCACACAGAGGAGTCCATGGGTCTGGGAAGGGTCTCTGAGGGAGGCATGTACCCCTTGCCCCCTCCCTGCTGTGCGCTGGGCTGTGGGCAAGATGCTGCCAAGAAACTGAGTCCTGGGAACAGAGTGTGCTGTCCTCCCCGCATTTGCTGGCCTAGGGATCACTCGTGAGAGGAAATGAGAGTCCGTCTAAGTGGGACTTTCCGCAAATCTCCGCCGAATCCAGTCCTACCTGGTCCAGCATTGACCCATCTCCACCCCATCATTTTCCCCTCCCCTGCTCCCCTCCTTCTCCCCCTCTGCCCTCGCAGGGCCACACAGGACCTTCCAGTGAGTATCCAGGGTGGGACAGCAGAGATGCTGGCATGGGACCCCACCCTCCCAGGAAGCAGTGGCCTCCTTAGGCCGGTCGTGTGCCAAGGGTCCTTCACCTGGCGTGGATGCGGAAGCAGAGGTGGTCAAGGCCCGGGCAGGGCGTGGCAGAGGTGGGATTTGAGAACCTCCTGGAGCCAGGCCCTGGGCCAGGTCCTACACCCTCCTCCTCCTTTCATCTCTGTGGAGCTGGGAGGAAGGGGATCCCCAGCAGGGACAGGCTGCGGAACCTGCAGCTGTTTCCAGCCCAAGCCACGGCCAAGCGCCTGTCCTTCCCTCACTTTCCTCCATGGGGCGCTGTTTTCCTAGGGCTCAGCCCCAGGGCCAATGCACCTGCTCCATGGCCAGGGCGTCTCCAGCTTCCTTCGAAGGGAGAAACTCAGCAGCCTCCATCCAGCTCTTGAGTTCTCCCCATGCCTGTCCCAATATCTTGGACCTACTTGGCTCTATGCATAATGCAATCTTTTGGTTCTTAGGTTTTAACTAATATTTAAAGCAATCTGAATTCAGAATTAAGAGACCTTCATAACCCTGTTTAAGTAAATATGTATTTTACAGCCATTTATAGGGAAGGCTTCAAGAAAGCTTGGACGTGTTTTTGACATCAGGACCGTTTTAGATGTCATTGGACTGTGCACATTTTTCCTAGATGAGCCCTGCTTAGCGGCTGAGAGGAGCCCGAGGGCTGGGCCTTTGTTCTGTCTGATTACAGAGCTTTGTAAAGGTCAGAATCAAGAAATTCCACCTCTCGGGCTTTTGTTTACAGCTGTTTAACATGAGTGCGGCCCAGGGGCTTGAGGTTACGAATTATTGAATGTTTTCCTTTGTTTCAGGAGAGATGCCGCTGAAAGCAGCCCAGGTTGTCTATGTCTAAGGTGGCAATGGCAGGTGGACTCAGAACACTGGCTTCATTTTGGGGGGTACCTTGAGGCTTCAAGGGAAGGGGCTTGGGACATCTTGGACCTGGTAAAGGCTTCTCCCTCTTCCCATGCATCCCTGGGTAAAGTCAGGCTGAACAGAGCAGAGAGTGGACTTTAAATTGCAATGTCCCATGACCACACAGAGGGCTCTCCCCAGGAAGGGGTGGTGTGGTGGGTTCCCCTCAGTTCCTTTTCAGACAGTTTTGGTCTCATCACAAACCTCCCTCTCCTGCCCAGCCATCCAGCACTGCAGCCCCTCAGGGCTCCCAGAATTCTGCCTTGTCCCTTTCTCCACCACCCCTCAGCATGGGGGACTTGTCTATTCTCCCAGAGCTCCTAATAGAGCATGCTGGTTCTGAAAGGACGCAAAAAGACAGCCGTGCCCTGAAAGAGGGTGTCCCCAGTCCCGGGGATTCAGCCTCATGGTGTTCTCCAGCCCCCGGGATTCAGCCTCATGGGCGTCCCAGCCCCCTGTGATTCAGCCTCATGGGCATCCCCAGCCCCCAGGGATTCAGCCTCATGGGCGTCCCCACCCCCCCGGGGATTCAGCCTCATGGGCTGCAGGATGTCTGGTTGTTTCCTGTATACCAGGCCCCATTGTCTATCCAAAAGCTCAGAATGTTTGGCAGTAAAACCCTCACGTTTTCTTTGCAACTCACACCATCAACATCATATTTAAATCTTTGCTGCCCCACCTGCCACCTGATGGATCATTTATGAACTGCTTACCTGGCACCTGTGATGGAGATGACAAATCTCAAAAACCCCAGGTGTCCCCAACAACCTAAGGATTGATATTTTCATTCTACTTTTTGTCTCCATTTCTTAAAATTAAAATTTTTTTTAGTAACCATTCTTAAAAAATAATACAAATACTAGATTTTGTTGGTCTTGTGATATGGTTTTATTATTCATTTCTGCTATTACAGCCTCAAGATTGAATAATTCACTTTTCCAAATATGAGTGAAGGTTTATGGCTGAGATTTCATTCTGGGTCCCACAATAACAGCATTTGCCACTCTCTAATAATGTTGAAAAATCTCTTCTCAGATACCTGATTAGATGTGCTTTCACCACAAGGAAATGCAGCTAAGATCCTCATCGTGGAAATGCAGTTTCCTTTTATTTGAGACTGCCTGCTGAAGGTTGGATGGGACCAGGGCTGACGGAAGACAAAAGGCATCTTTGGTATCATTTGAGGGTTAATACAAATCACTTCCTTCTTTACAAAAAAGGGTAATTACAAGCACTGGTAGATTAACTGTATTAGACCCTGATTGTATGCAGGGGCCATTTATTACAGGCAACGTTTATTCCACACTTCCTGGTGCCTCTTCGGCATCCCACACTGGTGATTTCACAGTGGAAGCTTCCATTCTGGGTTTCTGTTGTGGGAGGTGTGTGGCCTCTGGCACCGGTACAGCCCCTGGGCATGTCTAGATCTGCCAGGAGTGGTGGTAGAAAGGTGCCAGCCGGGGCTTCAGGGCCCAGACGCTTCTCCTCCCATCTGGATGGACACTCGGGGTTCCAGTTACACACGGGCAGAATCAGCACCTTGGGAATTTGAGCCATCTGCAAGCAGATCCCTTTACATTCAAGGGAAGGCTTGTGTCTGACAAATGAAAATGGGACACTTTCCAGCTTTCCACGTTGTAAGCTAAACCACTTGCCCCTGCATCAGCATGTCTGGAAGTGGGCTCCTCAGATGCCGGAGATCTGCAGACGTGCTCTTGGGGTCTGGTTCTCTGTACTCCATGTTACCTGGGCTGCCTTGTGAATGAGCCCTATCTGTGGTTTCACATGTGGGTGTATGCAGAGCTCTTCCCAAGGAGTGGGCGGGCACTTCTTCATATGTGGGTCTCCAGCTGTCCCTCTGGTCTGCTGCTCCAGACTTCAGGCTGGAATCACACAAATGCCACTCCGTTTCACTAAACCCCACTCTGGTCTCAGGCCTTGCAGTCAGCCGCTCTGCGCTGGCCTCTAGCTCTCTCTAATTTGGAATGCTGTCACTGGCCCCAGATGCTGCTCCTCTCATGGCTCGCTGGCTCACCTGTTCCACAGCAGCTGCCTGTGGACTCCTCCAGGTGCAGGGGACAGGGCCAGTATTGCATAAAAGTTTAAAAAGTCACCACAGCAGAGGGACATCATGTCTGGTTGCCAAACTTGTTTTTTTCTGACTTTTCATTGTAAAACAAAACACAGATATGGAAAACCACACAAAACACGCACACAGCTGAAATGGGTTATGATAAAGCAGCCCTCCCCCACCTCCCTGCAACTACCACCAAGTTGAGGAATGGACCTTTGCAGACTCTCCAGAAACCACATGTTCCTCATCCCTGTCAGTCTCGCCAGCCCCTGCCTCAAATTAACATCACCACGAATTCAACATCTTGGTCCTTGCCCTTCTTGTGGTCTGTCAGTCACGTGCATGCCTAGAATCTAGAGTTTCCTCTTGCCCATTTTCTTTTTAATCTGAGGTCTTTAAATCCCTTTCATTCTACAAGTTCTCCTTCTACTCTTTTCTTTCCCATACAACTTACCTGTTGTAGAATTCACGGTTTTTGCCCATAGAATGTCCCAGTCTGGCTTTTGCCAAGTGCAAAGTTATGGGGCAATACAACACCATCTTCTGTGCTCTCAACCTGCACATTGGTTCCTGCATCCAGAGCCCGATCCTAAGGATCTCTTTCTTAAGATTACAGTCGGCATTTTGTTTCTTTATTGGGAGGCATATAACACTTGATTGCTTCTCTCTGCGATGCCAGCTGCTGTGGATGCTGCTAGAGTCATGAATCCATCATGGGTTACACAATGGTTAGCCTGATGGCACCATGGTTTCTGTTCTTGAACAGCAATGCTGTGATAAAGACATGCCTCCCCTTATCTATGACTTGCTTCCCCTGAGGAACAGCTCACAGACAGACGAGGCTAAATGCTTGATTCTCTTCATCTGTTTTCAAGATAATGAACTGGGACACTGTCGTTCCATGAATATAATATTCTCTGAATTTTCTTATTAATTTGTGGATTAGACTTATTTAATAAGTTTCAATCAGTTGAAATTAACATCCTTCCTGAAACTGAGATTGTCCCATCTCCCCTAATAGGAGCCTTTTCAAGTTGGACTTGAGCCCTGGTAACACAGCCATGGCCACCTTGACCTCTCCGCCCTCTGGTGCTGCCCAGGCCCAGATCATATTCCACTCCCCCAGTACCTGGGAGCAGTCATTTCCCCGAGAAACCCCACTTATCCCGTGGCAAAGGTGTTTCCCAACTGTCCCAGGAGCACTGCGAGTGCTCACTATAGATGGCAGAGCTGGGAAAGGCCTTAGGAGTTTGAGCCATTTCTTCCAATTCAAATTCAGGATGAAAGAGTTTGATTTAATCTCCTCTTATTTAACATCTGTGTCTCCTTTGTTCAACACCAAAAGTTCTAGCAGCACTCAAGGATGATAGAATCAGGATATCTCACAGAACTGCGCATTTCTTCTATTGCACATTATACACACAATTGTTTCAGAATAAAAATATTATATGTGTGTATATATTATATATCAGTAATAATGTTATCACCACTGATATCATGGCTAAAAATAATATTTTTCTGTGTGTGTTTTCTGTTTCCACTTCCATTTTAAAATAGAAGTATTGTGTCTACATGGTCAATTCATATAGCCATTATATACAATTTTTTCTCCCTTTTAGCCCTCATTTTCCTAGTTCTACAGGTAACTATATAAATGCTTATCACTAGTCTTTAATGAAAATCTTTGTTGCCATTTTTGGTTGAAGTTCATTCTCTAGGATGAGCTCTCTCTTAGCATAGGCGCATGGGAACAATATTTCTGAATTCTTGAATGCTGATAACACTTCCTCTCTTTGATACTTGAAAGTCAGTTTTGCTGGGTATAAGATTCTTGGTTCACATTTTTTCCTTAATAAAACTTAATAGATATAAGATTTTAGCTTTTTTCAGGCATAAAGCTTTGCTGTAAAAGCATGATGATACTCTATTTTTGTATTCCTTACAATATCTTGCTTTTCAACCTAGATGCCAAAAATGTTTTTTTTTAATTTTTCTGTAAAAGTTTAGTATTTTAATGCGTATATCTTGGTGTTGGTTATTCTGGATCTATATTCTCAGGTAGCTGGCATGTACTTTCAATATGGCCATTTTAAATCTCTCTTAAAGTAAGGAAAGTTGTTGTGAAAGACAGTTTTTATACTGACTTTGTTTCCTGCTTTGATTTTCTCCTGCAGGGTCCATTTGTACATGCCACCTTCTGTGCCTGCCTTTCATATTTGTCCTTTTGTATTTCTTGAGTCCCCTTCTTTCTTACTTTCTTCCTTTTTTATTTTAAAAAGCCTTTCTTTGTTACCTTCTATTTTTCTTAAGGTATTGTCTCTTGTGTTTCCTCCATTCATGTCTCTGATAGCTTAGTTTTCATTTCTGAAGTGATTTTTAGCATTTTTTATTCTTCCTGTTTTATCGTCTCATTTCTGAATTCTTTTAAATGATGATTTTTGTTTTTATTGCATGTTTTATAGAATCTGTAATCTCATTTTGAACTACTACTAAGCTGTTTCCACCCATTGTCTGAGCTGCATCTCTGCCATGCTTTAATTGTCCATATAGATATTATTCTGTGCCATATTATCCATTTTCTTATAAATACTGTTAGTGAAAATTTGTCATGTCTCATTTTTTAAATCAATATTTTGAACTATTAAAAGCACGTAGCATAAAATTTACCATTGTAACCATTTTTTTTTTTTTTTTGAGATGGAGTCTCGCTCTGTTGCCCAGGCTAGAGTGCAGTGGTGCGATCTCAGGTCACTGCAAGCTCCGCCTCCTGGGTTCACGCCATTCTCCTGCCTCAGCCTCCTGAGTAGCTGGGACTACAGGCACCCGCCACCACGCCTGGCTAATTTTTTGTATTTTTAGTAGAGACGGGGTCTCACCGTGTTAGCCAGGATGGTCTCGATCTCCTGACCTCGTGATCTGCCATCCTTGGCCTCCTAAAGTGCTGGGATTACATTCGTGAGCCACCATGCCCGGCCCCTGTAACCATTTTTTAAGAGTCCAGGCACAGTGGTGTTAAGTGCATTCCCTTTGCTGGGTAACCATTGCCACCATTCATCTCCGGGAGTCTTTTCCTCTTACAGAACTGAAACTCTGTCTTTATTAAATACTAACTTCCCTTCCCCCAGCCCCTGGAAACTGCTGTTCTACTTCCTGTCTCTATGAGCTGGATTACTCCAGGGACCTCACAGAAGTGGACTCATGCAGTATTTTTCTTTTTGCGACTGTCTTATTTCGCTCAGCATCATGCCCTCAAGCTTCACACATGTTGCAGCCTGTGTCAGTTTCCTCCCCTTTTAAGGCTGCATACTATTCCATTGTATGGAGAGACCACAGTTTGCATCTCCACTCATCCCTTGATGGACTGCTGTGCTTCCTGTTAATGTGAAATTAGCTTTCCTGAATTGTTGGAAGGGGGATGGCTTGAGGTAGCTTCCTAACCTCGCAGAGCTCCCCCTTTTGTTGTTGTGTAGTGCCCAGAATTATGGCGGCTTACTCCCTGGAGCTGCGGGCTCCCTGTCCCTGCCCCAGTCTTCCTCGGCCTTTCTCTCCTTTTGATTTTATTAAAATTGTCCTGCTCAGTTTTGACCTTATCCCCAGAAGCTGAGACAGGTTCATTGCAACAATGAGGGACATCACAACCTAACTACAGGATAATGATCAGTGAAACTTTCAGAGAAAGAGGCAGGGGGGACCCTCCCTGGTGGCTTTGGAGGGAGCAGGCTCTGCCCACATCTTGGTTTCAGACTCCAGCCTCTGGAGCTGAGAGTCCATCCCTGCTGTTTGAAGCCACCCACCCTGTGGCACTTTGTTACAGCAACCCCAGGAAACTGATCCACACTCAAACCAGCGTTTTTATAAGATTAGCACTAGAGGCACAAGCATGGCTTATTTTAGGAATTAAATGATGGTTTAATATTAGAAAATATATTAACATAATTTATCACATTAATTGTTTGGAGGTGAATGTCTAAGAAGTCACGTTGATAAAAAGGATTTGATTAAAATTATGGCTGTATTCCTGGAAAAAATGCATAGATGCATCTAGTGCAAATAAAATGTATCCTACGCTTGTCCATCTGAAAGGCCCAAGGGAATCATCTGAAAAACCATAAGAATGAGTACAAAGGAGGAAGAATTGGCAATAAAGAAATGCACCAAAATCAATGGCTTTTTTAACTGCCAAACATTAGAAATAGTTAGAAAGCATCATAAATACAATGGCTTCATAATAGCAACCAAACATAAATTCTTGGAAGTAAACTTAAGCAATACGCAATCTCATATGAAGCAATCTATAAAATTTTACTGAAAGAAATAAAATAAGACAAATGTATGGAAGGATTATTAACTCAATATTATAAAGATGCCATTTCTCTCCTAATTAATCTGAAAGCACAATCCTGGTCAAAATCCCCAGATGAGTCTGAAAGTTATCAGGATTACTGAATGAACAAAGAGGGTCGTTTTTTGAAATTTTCACACTATGGAGGAGACCTTGCTCTACTAGTTGTGAACATGTTTTTCAGAGTTAAACTTTAAATGGCACGTGACTTAGGTCAGAGAGAGAATGAAAAATCAGTGAAATAGACACAAGATTTCAGAGCATTGCAATGGGAATGTGATATATGCTACAAGTGACACAGTCAATAAAAAAGCTGGCTTATCCAACAAATGTTAGTGGAATGACTGATTAAATTTGGGGGAGGATGTTAAAGCCCATCCTTAGCTTACACTACGAAGAAAAGTAAATTCTGGATTGAATCTATATATAAAGAGAAAAAAACATGAATGCATCAAAGCTCGGGAAAAAAACCAGGAGATTTTTTTTTTTTTTGCACGAGGTAAGGTTTATCCCGTGAGGTTTATCTGGCAGCAGAAAACTCACAGGACACCCTGGTTTGGAGGCTCTGTGGCTGCAGGCACACCTGGCTCTGTCCTTATCTGGTGGGGACTCTTGGGCAAGGGACTCAACTCTGTTTTTCTATTTTTTCATCTCTGAAATGGGAAGGACAAGTTCCTCCCGTGTGGGGTTACTGCAGAGATAGAATGAAAGGACACATAACTTACTACAAATTGAGGATTTGAGAAATGTATGCTATTAAAATTATGCACAACAAAAACTATTCCAAGACCGTGAATGAATATCAGAGAAAGACTTGCATTGCACCTGCCGGGCGCTGTCAGGGCATGGTCTTTGAACACAGGTGTGTTTATTCACACTGTGGAGGCTGCCTCTTCATGCCCCTTTCTGTGCATGCACAGCTGCTTTGCACTTCACCATTAGTAGCGCACGTCCTTCAGAGATGGCACATGGTGGCTAAGGGCAGGACCTGGAGCCAGGCTGCCAGGGCTGAAGCTCAATTCTGCTTCTGGAATCTGTTCCTGGGATTCAGGGCACTCCTGATGAACATGTTATATTTACATGAACGCCTTGCGCCTCAGGCTTTCCATCTAAAAAATGGGAGAATAACAGTACCTATCTAATAGGGTTGTTAGAGATTAACTAAATTACTATTTGTCAAGCTCTTAGAACAGTGATGGGAACACAGAGAACATGATGTCAGTATTTGGGAATTTGGTAAATGCATAAACACAGTTTCTGCTTTTTCAAAATGTAAAGTAGTTTTTCTCTTTTGCATTTCTGAGTGGATGACTTTTGCTCTGGCCAACCCACGGCATCCGTCTTGATGGAGATTCAGGTCTCATACAGCAGCCACGGAAGGAGGAGACGTAAACTCGGGTGCTGCAGTGAGCTGCAGCTTTGGGGCCTCTTGGGAAAGGGTTTTATCAGCCTTTTAAGCCTCTTTTGCTCATTGTTGCCTAACTCTGTGGGAGCCAGGTGATAGCTTTCCGCGAGAACAGGGGGATAGCCCCTCTGTCCATGGCTGCTGCGCCAGTGGCAATGAGAAAGGGGGTCAGAGACCTCATTAGCCCAGGGATTCTGGAAGGAGCAGGAGAGGCTGGCAGGAGAGCCAGGATGTCAGACGCGCATCCCGGCCTCTCTTCTCAGAGCTCTGCCATGGCGACAGAAAGGAATGGAGGCAGAGTGGTTGTGGAGCTTCCAGGGTCAGGAGGAGGAGACCCGAGGCTGGATTCTCAGGTGCCCTTAAGTCCCAAATGTGCATCCTGGGCTGGAGGCAGGTGAGAGCCTCTCAGAGGGGGTTTCCAAGGTCCTCAGGGTGTGGCGTGGGGGCTCCAGGGGCAGCTGCAGAGTGGATAATTAGAGTGGGGACCAACGGAGTCACAGTTTGAGCTCCGAGGGGATGCTGGCTATAGTAGGAGATAGACAGAGGGAGGCCAAGGCTGCCCCTGGGATCTGAGCACACAGAGAGATCCCAAGCCACAGGTAATGCCAGCCTCAGCCTCAGCATCAGCCTTCAGTGGGATCAGTGGCTGCCTGAGGAGACCCCAGGCCAGAGCCCCCCTCTCCCCCAGGAGATGTGGCCACCACACCCTGTCCCCCGCTCCCCCACAGCACCCCAGGACACCTCTCATAAGGGCGACACCACGAAGTGGTAGGCTAGGAGCCGTATTGTGGCCTGAGTCCCAGGACGGAATCATGATTTAGAATGGGCTGGATGCCAGCGATTTACCGCCCCCCCCCACCCCAGCTCACAGGCAAGGCTCTCTGAGGAGGACCAGATCTGAGCCCTCATTTTCTCTGAAATGTCAAATTTCAGTGAGAAATTCTTCAGCCTTGCTTTATAAAGAGGTATTACCTTAATATAAGGATTTATTACTTATCAAAAGGAAAACAGGGCAAAACCCCCATAAAAATAGGTAAAAGGATATGAAATAAAAACATAAACACGTTGAAAACCCAAGTAAAATGGTAGTTATCAAATTAGCAAAGATAAAAGGTCTCGTCACACCCAGCAACAGCCGCAGGGTTGAGGCCAGTCAGAGCTGTTGGCCAGTCCAGGTCAGTGCCACCTCTGCAAGGGAGAACTCGGCCCAGCTATGAAATGCGACACCAGGACCCCTGCCCAGCCACACATGTCCCTTCCCGGGAATCTGCCTTTGTCATATTAGGGAGTGCTGTCCGGGACCAGAGGAGAGACAGAAACTGCAGCTCAGATTTTCCCCACCTCAGTATGTCACACATGAGGAAAACACCAGCATACAGCTATCCAAAGAGAAAAAATAATCACCAACGGCGACCAAGCCAAGAAAGAGAAATCACCAAATGCAAAGAATGTCAACACGAGGCAGCCTGCGAGGGACCCTGCACGGCTGGTGCAGACTCAGGGCAGAGCCAAGTCCCAGGGGATGATGTCTGGAGGTTTCTCGCCAGTTCCCGTACTTGGGAGACACAGAGCTGAAGGGGTTCCTTTCTCCTCCTCTCTTCTGAGGAGTCAGAGAACAGCAGTTGAGGGGAAATGGGGAGGGGGGCATGGAAGAGCTGGGTGCTCTCTGCAGAGCTGAGCCAGGGGCTCCTCCTCCAGCCGGTGGCTGATGGGGCCAGGCCGTGCTGCTTGGAGAGCGAGTCTGCTCCCGGCAGGGACCCTGCACCTGGCTCCTCAGAGGATGTCAGAGCCCGTGTAGAGAGGCAGAGGCACCACTGTCCACCCGGGGCGTGTGGCCCTTCCCTTGACAGCTCCATGCCTGGGCCCCCAGGGTGGCCTCCCGGCCCCTCCACCGCAGCTCCATGGGCCTCGAGGGGGTCCTCACAGTGGTTGACAGGCTGGCAGGTGCCCTCAGCTCTCTGTTTCTCACTGTATGGTCAGAGGCAGTGGGTTTGGAGGAGGATACTGAGCCCTTGGGGTGGTGAGAAACCAGAGGCTCGTGGCCCAGGGCCCGGTCCTCAACGGGAGGCATCCTTGCAGCACTGAGATTTGACAAATCTTCCCTTCCGAATGCTCCGGCATCCTGACAAAGACTGGACGCCACTTCCGTGGGGATCTCCCTGGCCCTCATGCTTCTCATGAAAATTAGGGAGAACAGGAGATACCCAGCCTCAAACTGTGGGGCCCGATGGAAATTCAGTCTCAGATACGATGGAAGAAGTCACCCCAAAGAGATTTTCTTGAGGTAGGTGTCCAAGTATGATCAACATGTAAAACCACATGGCCACCAAGTAATGAATCGTCCCAGTTAAACATAAAGCACATGAATAGGTAAAGAACTCAACTCGGAAGAACACAATTTCACACAGTAGGGAAGAGAACAGAAACCTTGTAGAAACGGGGAAATGAATTTACCCACATAGCACAATCGCAGGGCGAAAACATTAGGAATCAACTGAGACGCCTCCCTCGGTGCAGTGAATGCAGGTGCAAGCAAAGCACTAACGGAGGAAATTACAGAAAAGACGCTTGTCGTGGAAGATGGGCACAGACGATCCCAAGGATACCGCCTCTGCAGAGAACCCAGCAAAGAAAACGAGAGACGCAGGCAAACTCACATAATACCACAATAATACACCAAAATAATACATGTGACTTTTCCCAAAAGGAAAAATTAGAACATGCAGATGGAAAGAACATTTTCAGAAAAACCTCAACAATGACACTCCTTGTGCTTCCATTTGAAGGCAAAAACCTGCGGGGGTGGGGGAGGCATCCAGAGTACTTGCCAGGGCCTCCTCTGGAGAGTGGGGTCTTGGGCCACTTGTTTTGATTGATCTATTTATTTATTTTCTTGGTGGTATCTTTGAATTCCTTGTGCAGTGAAACATTGTTAAAATAAACCACCAGAATGAGGCGAGTGATGCGGGGTGTGGGGCATTGTGAAGCTGTGGTCCCTAAGATGAGTGCTGGGTGTAAATGAAGCCATGTTTCTCTGACGGGCAGTCCTCACCCTCGGAGAAATGCAGCCACGGCAGTCAGTGGACACACCATTTGCCACAGAGTAATTTTTGACCATTGATTCTTTTCTTTTCTTTTTCTTTTTTCTTTTTTTTTTTTTGAGATGGGGTCTTGCTTTGTTGCCCAGGCTGGAGTACAGTGATGCAATATCGGCTTCCTGCAAACTCCACCTCCCAGGTTCAAGTGATTCTCCTGCCTCGGCCTCCCAAGTAGCTGGGATTACAAGCATGTGCCACCACGCCCGACTAATTGTTGTATTTTTAGTAGAGATGGGGTTTCGCCATGTTGGCCAGGCTGGTCTCAAGCTCCTGACTTTCTCGGCCTCCCAAAGTGCTGGGATTACAGTAGTGAGCCACCGCACCTGGTCATGACCATTGGTTCTAATCTGGTCCCCCAAACCCAAAGTGTGCTTCCCCTGTCTCTACCTGCACATCTCTGGGGAGGGCCCCTCCTCTCTCAGAGGCCTGAGGCAGGTGGGCACGCAGACCCTTGGGGTGAGATATTTAGGGCCCCGCCCCCCGCCAGGTGAGTTCCTCCTTCCCCTGACTGCATAGCTAAGTCTGCACAGTAAATTCTAAGAAAGGATGCATTTTCATGTATACAAATATTTCCCTTCTTTCTTTATCCAAAAACTTGGTTTTGCAACACCAGGACTTTTCCAAAAACTTTTAATAAATAATTCATTCTCAAATACAAAGTTTGAGGACTTTCCTGATGACATATCCTGATCCTTTTTATTATTTCCTGTACATCATCCAGTGTCATTGAATTTCACTGTCCTGGGGGAACATTTTAGGAGAGCTGCCTAGAAATCACATTCTAGGGAAGTTTAAACATAACTGCAAACAAAGAGAACAAGTGACTTTATTCTATTAAGAGATCACTAATCTATACATTGGCAGAGTAAAGTTATCTTTAGAGTCTCAATTTTATAACCATCTGCAATTTAAATGAGACTCTTTTTATTGAATCATAACATCATATGCCACTGAGCACCTTGGCTGCTGTTTGGAATAAGTCAAGGTTTTTTTTTTTTTTCTTTTTTTTTTTTATGTAGTAACCCCACCCCCACCCTACATTCTGGATTTCAGTTACAGAATTCTGCGTAATTTCCATGGTATATGGTAACATTTTCTTACTTCCAAATGCATGAGCCTGTTTTTAAAACAGCCAACACCAGCTGAAGGATCTCATGTTTCACAACCTAATTATAGACACTCCGTGATCTCCGAAGGCATGGCAAAGCAAATAGATGCGTCTCTTTGGCAGAGGAATGGCGCTTTTATAGTAAAATACTCTGTGTTAAGAAAGTAATGAAAACAGAGCGTTCATTCTGATCCATCTTGCTAAGACAGGCTGAGATCACACCTTAAAAACATATTTGAGTTTCTCCACATTTTGGAGGGGGATGAGGATCTAAAAAGAGAGAAAGCAGCCACTGACATCCAGGAGCTGGTACCACTGGCTGGGCCTCGCTGTCCTTCGCTGACCATAAATGATGTCACATAACACTCACGTCACACACACATGGCCACTCTGTGACCAGGATTGATCCAGACAAATCATGACCTTGCATATCCCATCAGAACGCAGAGAAGAACACGGACGTGGTCCAATCTCAAATGACCAGACCCCCGACCCTGGCTCACCCGGGCATCTGCCTGCACTTTGCCACTCGAGGCTCTAGCCTGGCTGCCTTCCCTCCGTCTTCTAGACACGGGCTGGGAAGACACCAACTGCAGCCTGGCCCCACTTCCTGAGCAAAGTCCTGCACCCTAAGCCTCCAAGGACCACCCCACACACATCCAGCTCCTATTCCCAGCTCTTCCCAGGTACCCTCTTGCTGAGATGGGGGGTGGTGTCCCTCGCTGAAACGTGAAATGAACCCACTTGTTCAACCCCAGGGATTGTCCTGGTTTCTATCACGGGAAGGTGCTGGCAGAAGCAAGAAGGAACCTGCCAAGTTAGAGAACTTGGAATGCACCGGTGTGTGACCTGGAAATTCACCTTGTTTTCTCTCTCCTGCAGTGTTGGTTCTCCAGGCTCCCATCTGTAAAGACCCCAGGGACGCTCTGCCTGCCCCGTCTTGCTGGCCTCTCCTGGTCTGACCAGCTCCTGGGGACCTGTGCTGGTGGTACCACTCTTACATGCTACAGGAAAGGGAGCCCTTGTCCTGCTGGCTGAGTGCCTGGGTTGACCCTCATCAGCACAGCCCTGTGCCGAGCTGGGCCCCTTCTTGATATTCATCATGTACTGCGGGACCTGGTCTCAGGCTTCCTGGCCAACCTCATGTCCGTCCTCACAGAGCCCCACACACAGGGACTTTCCTGCATGCCGTGACTGCACCACAGCCCTGCCTGCACCAGCGTGCACCTGCAGTTCCCACACCTGGCGTGTGTGTGCTGTGCCTCTTTGAGGGCTGGTGCCTTCTTGTTATTTGGGTCTCCACTGAGATGCCTCCTGTACAGGGAAGCTGTACCTGCCCCTGCGCCAGCATTGCTGTGCCACTGCCTTGTCTCACCATTGCCTGAGCCTCCTCATGGCACTCCCCACCGCTGGCATCTACCTGCTTCCTTACATGCAGTCCCCCACTCTGCAAAACAGGGGCTCTGTGGAGTCAGGGTCTGGGCTGTCACATTCACTGCCGTGCCCAGCACCCAGCACAGCTTCTGACACCTGGTCTGTGCTTTTGCAGAGTATTTTAGGTGACGGATTCTTAACAACACTTGCTGTTTTCTGGCCTGAGAAGCACCAGGCCATCTTGTCTCTCTCCTCAGGGCTCCTGCTAAGCTTTCCACCTGCCCTTTTCTCGCAGGGCTCTGAGGATCACGGTCTGAGCAGTGCTGGGCTGGAGGCAGGGGTGTGGGGAGGCTATCCCGGCATCCCAGCCACGTGCTCTCCATCCTACTGGGGCCGAGGGCTCAGGGCATCCCTCAGTGTCCCCGCACTGGGAGCACAGAACAGCCTTGACTTTGCATCTGGGACATCCATCAGCCATTTTCTTCTATTAGCTGTTTCTATCCTGCTGACTGTGGGACACTCATTTACACTAAGTTGTGTTGTTGATCACTGTTGAGCCCTCGGTGCTGGGGAGATGGCTGCACTTTGAGGGAGCCAGTGGCAGCTGAGTCAGGGCAGGGGTGCCCGTGGCCCATGCCGGCTACTCCCTGAGCTAGAGGGGAAGAAAGCAGCGCACACCTGGGGAGTGATGCTGGACTGTGTTTTAATGAGTCAGAGGCTTTTCTCCCTTTGTCATTGCACATAATCCTTACATTTGAAGTTTTAAAAGCTTCTTTTAGCTTTTCCCACCCCACGCAAGTGTGAGATGTCAGTCCTTCAATTGATTAAGACTTTACATCAACCTTATGAGGAATGCACAGTTGCCCATTTTACAGATGAAGAAACAGTTTGAGCAATGCGGGGGGAAAAGGACCCACAGTGCCCGGTGCTCGGTGGCCTCTGTCGGGCGCTGCTGGGCTTCCAGCCTGGGTTTCTGTACCTCGGAGCTGCTTCCACTGGTCTTATGCTTCTGTGAGTGTGCACGCGTGCACACACACACACCTGCAAGCACACTTGTATGTGCACATACACACCTGCATGCACACTTGTATGTGCACACACATACACCTGCAAGCACACTTGTGCACGCACACACACACACACACGCATGAATGCATGCACACACACAGACACATACACTTGCATATATGTAAATGCACTCACACACGTGAACAGATACACATGAAATCTTTTTTAGATAAAAGCATTATAGCCATTATGAGGTCATAGCTTTACTATTTTTACTATTTAAAATGCATGCTAATTTATCGAATGTCAGTTATTCTTTGCGTAAGCTGTTAAAGGACATACGCTTACTGCAACAATCTGAAGAGGTGAAATTAATGAAGAAAAAAATTAAATCCATCTGCAGTATTCCTAAGTTCCCTGCTTTTTGTAAAATAACTCTTGAAGGTTTTTTAATGCAGATTTTTTTTTCTCTTATTAATGCCTTCCATGCTGGTTGTAACTTGCATTCTTACCTGAAAGTATACGTTGACACAATTTTCTGTCAATAATCACTGATGATGCAGGTGCTACCGGAATTGCAGGAGGGCCTATTTTCCTCGGTTCGGAATTGACCCAAATGAGGGACTTATACAAACCTTGGTCCTGCCTACTAAGCGACAGAAAGGTCGAAACAAAAACTCACTCCTGGGAAGACTGCACTAGTAGGCAAATTACTGATTAAGACGCTTGCTTTCGATGGCTGTGCAGTACTTGTTTATATAAATTCAACCCTGTTCTGTTGTCAGACCTTTTGGTTGTTTGAGCTCTGTGCTGTCTTAAAGAGCATGCAGTGAGATTCCATCACATACATCTTTGCGTACTTCTCTGATAATTTCCTTCAGTAAATGACAAGAACTGGAATTGCTGGGTACACATTTGAAGGTTTTTTCTTAAGATATTGCTACATTGCCCCCTGGAAAGGTTGTATAATTGTATACTTTTATAGGCAGCAGAGAGCTGATGAAAAGCAAATTCTTGTGTCCAGATTTTGTCATTCAAGCCTGGAGTTTAAAGTGGGGGGGCATTTGTTTCCCTGCAGACGTGTCCAGTCTCTGACTTTGGCATTGCCTGAGTGGTCCCCACGCTGGTCCCTTGGTGTCCCTGTAACTTCAGCGTTCACTCTTCAGAGGTTCCTTTTCCTTCTGAGACTATCCCCAGAGCTGTGATTCTCGGAGTGGGCAGAGCAGGTCCCTGTGTCAGGCGGTGTGGGTGATTGTTAGAAACACAGTCCTACTGTCTCAGAATACCCATAGGGAGGCCCAAGAGTCCGAGTCCACACACTCACTCCCTGCCCATCTCGCTACAAAGGATTTCTTTTGATCCAGGTCTCAGGGCATGCGTTTAACCATCTGGCCAACCTCTCAGTTTTGAACACTTCGTAGTGTGTCATCATCACTACTGAATAGGCACTGCTGACCCTAAAGAACGGCTCCATCGTCTCAAAGGTTAAGACAGGTGACAGTGCACATTTTCACGTGTCTCTGTTTCTGGACTTCTCAGAGCCCATGAGCTTACAGCACCTTATGGGTTTATTAAGCTGATGAAAGTTCAAGAAGGGGAAATAATACATGGCCTTTCCCAAATCCCCACCAGCGCACAGTGTGGGGAAGCTGCGATGGGAGCTCATTCCTCCACCCTCCGGGCTTCCTGTGGACTTGGCCCACATCCTGTGGTTAGAGCACAACACCCCGGAGCTGAATCCTTTGGTCTTGTCTTTACAATCCAAAAGGCAGCTACTGAGATCTTGATTTGATATGATTTGTGAGAGAGAATTTGATATACCTACTTTATTTTAAGGCACAAAATAGTAATTAAGGACAAATTTAAGAGTCCAATGTCTGAGCATGTTACATCGCTATTTTTGAGAATGTTGTACAGTCTTCTCTCTTGCTTGAATTTAGGGTCCCAAATAATTCTACGGAAATATGCTTGGTGGCCACCAGCTTCCTGGATCATGACGCAGTGCTGCAGGTATTGAAAATGCACGAGACACGGAGGCAGGGAAGTTGGCATCTGATCCTGGCTATGCAGCTAACTAGTTGTGTGACTGGGATATATTCCTCACCCTTTTTTCTAATAAAATGCCCTCCATTGTAAAACAGGAATGCTAATCTAGATTGTTTCTTTATGCTCTGAAGATGTTACTAGACTTGGGAGATGACAGGCGTTTCTGTGTGTTATTTTTTAATCCTGGTCACGAGGTGCACTGGGGCAGGGGAGGCTGCATCACCATCCAGCTCGAGAGCTCGTCCCTGGCCTGGATTCATCCTGGCTCTGAGTGAAGAGGTCAAGAGGGTGCAGGAAGCAGAAGTGCTTTCTTCCAGGAGAGGAATCGATTTCACTCTAGAGCATGCCTCAGTTCCTGATGTCTACGTGGTACCAGTTATTTATCTCATTAATTGAAGCAAGATATTTTATTTTCCTCTTGATTAAAGAAATAGCTGAGGAAAGCTGCAGCTGATGCAGAATTCATCTTGCAGCTTTGAGGGACACCTTTAGATAAATTCTCCTTCCCAGCAAGTTGAGCTTTGATGTCTCCACACCAGCAAAAACCGTCCAGTTCACCAAGTCCACTATCATGGATATGTGTCTTTGCTTTTTCATCTGCTGCTCTCACTCCCTGGAATGCCCTGGAATGACCTGGGAAAGATGCCTCCCCCCACCGACAGCAGAGGGTCCCCACTCCACCTTTCCAGGGCTTGGCTCACACATGCCACCCATGGCCCCTCAGGTCTCCATGCCTGGGTGTGCTTCCCACAGAGCCTAGGGCTCTTTTGTCTTTGTGTTCAAGTTTCCAGGACATGCGCCCCCAAATATTTGTTGGATAGATGAGTGAAGGCATGCATCCCAGATCTTATTCTACTAAGATGGGCTCACGGGCTTAGAGCAGATGATTCAAAACATATCCTTTGGAAAATATGCACATTGGCTCTGTTAGCATGTAATTAATCTCCTGTGGAGAGAACCTTCCTGTCTTCTAGACCCTAGAAGTCACTACATGAGGCCAAGACTCTACTAGCCAGACATACCCTCACGGTGCTTGAAGGCAGAAGCAAGCAGCCAGCCAGACTCCTAGGAACCGGATCTCCCGGCCACAGGCTGGCCTTTCTGCAGTAGTTATAGGAGGGGGTCTAGAATCTAGTTCTCAGATCAGGAGTCTGGGGTGGTGGCAGTAACAGCAGAGAGATTCCTGCTAGAACACCAACTGCTTCTTCCAGATGTTTCTCCAGAGCTGCGGGCTCTGTGGCTTCTAAGCTGTCACAGCAGCTTTCTGGAGGTGCCATAAGCTGATCAGTCCTCTCCACCAAGTCCGGCAAGAGTTGAGTCTGATGAACCCAGATATATCCTGATGGGCCTGGCTCACCAAATCCTTGAGCTCCTTCTCCTGATCATTCCACAGGATTTCTGGCATCTCAACTTTATTTGGTGTATGTTGTCACGGAGTCTAGCTTAGAGCTGACCAACTGAGAAATCAATCAAAGCCATTCTAAGCTGATAAAGTGAGCATATCAGATCCAGAATCTCTGCCAAGTTCACAGATTTTATAAATTAAACTTTATCTGAATGAATGGCCTTGGGCCCTACATCCAGTATCCTCAAATCCATACCTGTGTATGTAATCTTCAAGTTTTCTTTCTGATACAAATTAGTAAATCTTGCAATTATTTTAGCGAGTGTTTTCTTTTCTTGGGTTTCATGTTATAATTAGCTTCCTGGGTCATAAAGAGAATCTGATTCTAACAATAAGTTCAAAGGAAATGGAGTCTGTCAGTGATAGGGCAAGAGAATTGGCATCCTCCTGCAATGAAGCAGTCTCTGGTGAGGCCAGCTGAAGTTTCCAAGGGAGGAGGCAAACTGGGAAAGGGAGAAGGTGCTGCTACTTCCGGCATGGGAGACTCAAAGCATTGTAGTTTGGAGTCCCTGGTTTCATCCTAATCCCCCCAAATATCCCTATTCAAATTTTCAGTCCCCTTGTCTTTCCCAATCGATGGCCTGCTTTTCATTTTAGAGATTGGCAGAGACCACGGATAAAACTCCCAACTTCTGTTGTAAAGCGACAATGCTGGGAATCAGACTCTGCATCTGGTTCCAGCTCTGAGAGATTTAACAGTATCATAGCGTCTTCTTATTCCAGATCACGCCTTAAGCTAAGAATTTTCAGCTTTGATTTTGTTTCAGTTTTAAGTTTTTCACCATAATTAGAAGCCACCCACCTGCCCAACAGTCCTTGAATTCCTTGTGTCCACCCTGATGCTCTATAAATATAGCCACCTGGTCTCCAGTGCCTTGGCTTCAGAAGGCACTTTATCCTAAGTTTAGGAGATAACTCCAGCAACTGCTTCATCATTTTGCGCCGTCCCCACCTGCGTCCTATCCTTTCACGCTAAGGCACCAGGCCATGAAATCCCAGCTTCCATTTTTACGTGGATGTATTACCTGCAACCAACCTGTTAGCAGTTATACTTGGCACACAGCATTTATAAACATTCAAGAATAATTCACATTTGGGATCAAGAAAGCCAGGAGAGACATCTGAACACCCAGGGATCTAATCTGGTGGAAACCCTCATTGTCTCTTGAAAATGACACCTGTGACTCTGATACTAAGAAAAGGAAGCTTCTATGCATTTGTCCCTGAAGAGCTGAAGCCCCAGCTGGAAGGTCTGACTTGGACTCTCCTGCTCAAGGTCATTGCTGCACCTGACATTGTCCACCTCTTCTTTATGAGTGTGGGGTTTGTTTGGCTGAATTCAGGGAGCATGATGGAAAGTAAAGTCTTTCTTTCCTCCCCTTGGTGGTACAGGAAGGCGCACCAGAGGGGCTTTGGATATTGCTAAGTGAAACATCCTGCATTTGCTGCTGTACTTTCCAACACATTCTTCTTTTTTCAAGTTTGCCAGCATGTGGTTTTGTTGGCTTCAGCAAAACACACAAATTTACAAACAAACAAGCAAACAAAAATATGAGGTCCTGTCAGGCAGCTGCATGTCAGTGGGCATTTCTGGGAGATGCATTGATCAAGAGTTGCTTCATGAGGCTCTGTTTATGTTTGATAAAAAGTTCCACAAATGTGAGTTTTGGCCACATGTCTCAGTTCCACATTTTCCTTTTCTCTGGCTTATGAATTATAAGATGCAAAAGATTTATTAGGCTTTTGGGGAAGTTTGATGCATAAATAAGCACAATACCACTTCTCTGGTTACTGTGCTTACATGAATAACCCTCCAGCTGACAATTTCTATTTTCCTTTGTTTCAGCACCAAAAATATGTATATTTGCCATGCATGTTTAGATGAGCCCTATTTTATGACACACACACTTCTGAAAGTGAAATGCAATTGAATAGAAATGGAATTGCATATAAATTGCTTTATCTATTATAGCAACAGAAGATAAATTTAATTAATGATGACTTTAAAATGTAAGTTGTTTGTGCAGGAGATATGAGAGAAAGTTGTGGGTGTTTGCATTTTTGGCCATCTCTGAACTGAAAGTTATGGAGAGGCACCTGGGAATGGTGTCCCTTTATTTGGTTTCACAATAGTAATTGCTGCGTGCTGGTGGCGCAGGGCGGAACGGCCATGAATGCGGGCGTGTTCCAGGCCACCCCCGTTCCCTCCATCCTCACACTGCACTCAAGCTTCCTGTGTCCCCCTTCTGTGCAGCAGGTCCTGGGGCAGATGGGGCTTTGTGGCCAGTTCTTGGCTGGGCACCCCACAGCGACACTTGAGGCCACAGCTTCCCATTGGGGACCTGAAAATGCCACTCTTGCCACTTCTCACTCTGTAAAGGGGTTCTGGGAAGAACAGGTCTAGCTTGGGTCTATAGCTGCCTACTTCCTTTCTTCTCCTTTAACAGGGCCATGGTCAAGTTCATTGATAGCTCAGAGCCAACTCCCACCACCCCAAGTGCAGGTACACAGTCCTGCGGGAGCACAGGCGGCCTCTGGACACAGATGTGGTCATCTCCAAGACCTCCTCCGCTCCTATCTCCACCTCTCACTTCCTATTGAGAAGCATCTCTCTCCCTGAGGACGGGCATGAGTCATTCTTACTCCCTCCGCCCTCCAGAACATGCTGTGTCTCCCTTTTTCAGTATCAAACTGACCTCTCCCTCATCATTTCTTTTTTTGTTCGTTTGTTTTTGAGACGGAGTCTTACTCTGTCACCCAGGCTGAAGTGCAGTGGTGTGATCTCAGCTCACTGCAACCTCCGCCTCCCGGATTTCAAGCGATTCTCCTGCCTCATCCTCTAGAGTAGCTGGGATTACAGGCACGTGCCACCATGCCCAGCTAACTTGTGTATTTTTAGTAGAGACGGGGTTTCACCATGTTAGCCAGGCTGGTCTTGAACTCCTGACCTCAGGTAATCCTCCCGCCTCGGCCTCTCAAAGTGCTGGGATTACAGGAGTGAGCCACTGCACCCACATCATTTCAAAGCACTAGCAGCCACACAGGCCCGTGCTGCACACTCGATGCTTGCTGAATACTTATCTGGTCCGTGGTGGTGCAGACTTCTCAGTTCCGTGCAGCTGGAGCCAGGACATCTCGGGGACTGGCTACCTTATGACCTTCCACAGAGACAGAGCAGGAGAGCCGGGTTAAAGTGTGACCTGAGCTGGGTTGGGAATCCTCCCATTCTGTTGTCACTCGGGTGTTGCTGGTGCTTTCTGCCTTACCTCTCGACAGCGCTGGGGTTGTGACGTCTGCTGCTGAGCCTGTTACAGTGGGCATGAACTGGCTGTGATTCCTATAGAGGAGGTTTCCCCATCTGGACTGTTCCAGACACGTGAATTCTGACTGTAGCTCAAAGTGAGGTCTGCCAGGCCCGGGTACCTTTCTACCACCACATGGAGAGGGAGCGCCTTCCTTTCATCCCAGCAGCAAGCATCTATTAAGCACCTACTGTTTGCATGCAGCAGTGAGGAGGGGAGATAGGTCCTGGCCCTTGCAGGGCAGGTCAGCACCCTCTTGGCTCAGCACAGGCAGTGGGTGGGCTGTACACAAAGTACGTTTTCCAACCCACTCAGGTCCTCGCAGAGCTCCGTGTGGGGAGCAGAGTCCAGGTGGCACAGTGCAGAAGCTGGGCAGGGCAGCCGCCTGAGGCACCCTTTCCTCTGAGAAGGCCCCTGTGGCTCCCTGGGATCTGTTTTGCATCATTCATTGCCCTTAGCTTCACGTGATGGAGGGTTCTAGCTCCCAGTGGTGAACCTCAGACCACAAATAGCTGACTGGCCACCTTAAGCCTCTGGGCACCCAGGAGCGGGGCTGGAAAGTTCACGCTCAGGGAAAAGGGATGTGTGATTGCCTCACTATGTGGGTGACAGATGTGAACCCCCCGGGGCTTCCAGGCCACGCATGTTCCCATCTCTACCCCATCACATTTGGAAATGCTGTGTCCCTAGGGCAACTTGCCCTCAGGGTGTCCGCACCAACCTTGACACACTGTGTCATGTGGCAGAGCTCTGCTTGTCACCCCGTTGTACATATCCCTCTAGGTGGGCACTCTATCTTCCCTGCCCACCTTTGAACACCCTGTCCTGGCATGGGCCTGGCACTGACTCCTCTTCAGTACAGATGCCTGCATGACTGTACCATCATTTCAAGCAGAGCGAGAGTTCCCAGTGCCAATCAGAATGCCAGCTTGCCACAGCAGAGGCATGACCAAGACCTTCAGGAATCCATGGAGGAGTTTCTGGAAAGCAAAGGGTGAAGATGGACAGTACAATGCTGCCTCTTTGCAGGACAAGTATCCAGAGGAGAGGGTCATCACTTGTTTTCATAAAAAGCAGAGAGATGGATTTGGGTCTGTATAATAAATCAGAATTTCTTTGTTGCTTATGAAAGTGAATTTGTATGCAGTGTTGTATTAGATTTTTATCTTCGTGATCAATTTAAAGTATTTGCAAAATCTTCCCATTTCTGATATATTTCAATTAGAAGGATAACTCTTTTGAATGTCCATGATTACACTAACACATTTTGCAAGAATTACCTGTGGTCTTTGTTTAATGTAGCAGCATTTGACACTGAGTGTAATACTCTTGGGGACACTGCAAGGACATGGTTGTTATCATGTCTAAACTTCCTTGCCTGGATCTTTTGTCACTATTACGGAATCAGGGGGGCTGGGGGAAGAGAGTTCAGCTAACATGTCCTTGTCCGTCCGAACTTCCACCAGCATTTATTGCAGACTGCATGTGTGAGGCACTGCTGTGTCCAGCCCTTTGAGTTCGAGTTTGAACCTGACTGTGTGCCTGCTGACCAGGGCTCATGGCATCCTGGCCACACCTCCCTGTGGCTCTGGCACTGTCAAAGCTGCGATTGCCAACCCATTGCAGTGGGGATGGAACAGGCTATGAGTCATGCTCCCAGGAACGTGACACCTGAGCTGAGTTACCTGAAGCTGCTGGTGACAAAAGGGGGACAGGACTCCTAGGCAGGGGATGAGCATGCATTCCTGCACAGAGCCAGGGGCAGCCAGTGGGAGGTTTGTGCCTGTGGAGAAGGTGGAGGGTGAGTGTGGTGGGAGGATGGAATGAGGGGCAGGGCCAGATGCCCTGGGACTTGTGTGCTTCCCCTCCCAGGGGTGCAAGCAGGGCAGGGCACTGTCCGATGGATGCTGAAGAGGGGACCTGTGACCGGGCATGAGAACAGTTGGCAGGGCTGGCTGAAGGAACATGGAAGGGGGGTGCCGTCCTTGGCAGGGAAGACACCGAGGAGGGGCAGAGGTGGGAGATGCAGTGAGTGCAGAATCTATAAGACTGACCTCCAGGGAGGATGGGACACTCCGTGGCTTGGCGCTCATCTGCTCAGCAATAGTGGGGAGATTTCTAGAGGGGGAGCGCCTGGGCCCCATCCGATCTGGGAGAAAGATAGCTCCATTCTGCACGTGTTGAATGTGAGATTCCTGCAGGCATTCAGGGAAGATCCCCCAAGGCAGTGGCATATCTGAGTCCGGAGCTCAGAAGTGAGTGAGTTCCAGGCTGGAGCTCACAGGCTTTGACTCTCGCATCTATTTAGGGTAACAGGGGTTCCTAATATATCCCGCTGCCTTTGATTTCTTTTCCACAGAAAGGAAAAGACTTTATCCGGAGGACTTGTCGGGCTCTTGCTTATGACTGATTTGACTGATGCTGGCTCTTTTAAAAAAAGTATCGTACTTTATGTGAACTGTCAGCTCTCATCTCCGAAGGACAGCTTTTATGCTTTGTGGCACACTCTGTGTCATTGCTGTCAGCTCAGGACCACATCTACTGCGGGCTCATTAGTTTCAAGTGTGTGATTCACTGTGCATTTTGAATGTGATGTCTGTAAGTTTTTAAGTTTCTTACTTTTGTTCCCATTTGGGAATTTTTCAAAAGATAGACACTAAAATAAAACCGCCAGGAAGCAGCTTTCCTTACAAGTCTCTAGCTCGTTCTGAGATGTTTGTGATTAATGGAAGTGAACCAACAAACTCTTATCGTGGCTCAGCTGCCTTTGTGGGCCCCAGGTATTCCGGGGAGAGGTTCCCAGCTGCAGAGGGGACGGAATCCCCAGCTGGCTGCTGGGTCCTGCACCCCGCCCTGTCTCTCTCATCCACCTGTGATTACCGATGTGCAGTCAAGGTGATGCTGTTCATCCACAAGCCAAAGCTAACGCAGTGCAATGAAGGTTGGGCCCTAAACACACTTGGCCCACCGGCTGTGCCGGGGCTGCCTGTGGGACTCAGGGGCTTGAGCAGGAGCTCAGCCGTGTTCTCATTTCCTCGAGTCATGTGAGCGCTTTGGACTGACGCAACAGGAAAGTAAAGGACTGAGATGTGGCAGGGCACGGTGGCTCATGGCTGTAATCCCAGCACTTTTGGAGGCTGAGGCAGGTGGATCACCTGAGGTCAGGAGTTTGAGACCAGCCTGGCCAACGTGGTGAATCCTGTCTCTACTAAAATACAAAAAAATTAGGCAGGCATTTGTAATCCCAGCTACTCGGGAAGCTGAGGCGGGAGAAATGCTGGAACCTGGGAGGTGGAGGCTGCAGTGAGCCGAGATCACGCCATTGCAACTACAGCTTGGGCGACAAGAGCGAAACTCTGTGGGAAAAAAAAAAAAAAAGAGTGAGATGCGCAGTGTCCCTTCAACACCACACACAGAGCCTCTTTGGAAGGGGCCCTGGGGGGAGGCCTGCATTTCCTGTTGCTCCATGTGTACCAGCATGTGGGCCATACTTCTCTGGTGCCCTCTGAGCCTCCTGGCCCCGCAGCCTCTCGGGCAGCTAGAGGTGCCGCCTCTCCCACAAGGCTGATGCCCAGCTGCTGTTTGCCCTTCTAGTTTTAAGGAGCTCGTCCAGAAGGGGTCCACTGTCAGTGAGGGGCCAACCAGAGCTGACCCGCTTCTCCTTTGCAAATGCACGTGTGTCCTGGACCTGTCTGTGGACAGAGCCCAGATCCTGCCTCTGTTCACAGAGCTTTGCAGGGGCGGCGTGTCTCTGGAATGTGCACATTGGGACTTCTGGATGAAATTTCTCCTTTTCCCCTTTTCCACACTCCAGCAGCATCTCCTTTGCAATCTTCTTTGCCTTTCAGCCTCATTTCACGGCCTCCCTTCAACTGTCCTGATGCTGCTTCTGCTTGCTACAGAGAATGACAAGATCAATTTTTTAATTTAAAGAGATAAAACTTCTAAAATGATTTTTTTTTACTGGTCTTAAAAGCGTACGTCTTAGAAGCCACATGATATGTGGTGTTCTATTACTAGGCTTTTACTGTGGGTCCTCACAGCGCCCACTGGACGCGTTAACTAACACGTTCTTCCTTACACACAGGCAAAATTCAAGTCCCGTAATGCTCACAGATTTAAGTAATTTCACTGTCTGCTTTTCTACGTAGGCTTGTCTCTGTATATGAAGCTTAAAAGGTATTCCTTGAAGTGAAATCATCTAATTCAAAAGTATCCAGTCACTAATTTCTGTTGTTGGTATGATAAAGTCTACCGTTACAAGAGTGGAAATATAGAACCTGCATTTGCTTTAGTAAAAGCAAAAAACACGGCAGACCCCAGATTTAGAGACGGCTGATCCTTCATCCACTGCTTTAGTCTTTGTTTAACTTAATTCCTTTTGCCTTGAAATGTATCTTGTTTAGGTAACTGTTGCTTTCCTGGACTGTACTTGGTCTCCCCATCACCGCCTGGAAGCAGGCTGTTTTAGGGGTGGGCTGGTAGAATAGTGAAGAACCACCACAAAGCAATTACATAAGGTAAAAGTATTTTACCATCTTAACTGATAGAAAAAAACACATTTGTTTGTTTAACTTACTGAAAATGACCAGTTCTGTTCACTGCTAGGTGCCTACGTTGCAACCCTCAGTAACTCCTGTCTCTCTGCAGCCATGGTTCACTCGCTTTGATCAGCTTATAATTTGTGCATTGTTTTGAGACTTTGCTTGGGCAGTGTGGGCTTGTTTCTAAGAAGATCAGTGAAGTTATATGTGGCTTCTCAAAATATCCGTCCTTAAGGAAAACAGAAACTATGGCTCCTGCCAAGGAGTAAAACTCGACTTGGCTTCACTCGGAGCAAACAGGACCTTCAACAGGCTGGATGAGGCACGCATTTCCGTCCCCAGCACCCCATGCACGGTCTCTGATGAGTACATGAATGGATGCATTTGCTGGTATTTTCCATGGTGTTGTGACCAAGACTTGGCATTTTAAAAATAAGCACTTTGCCTGATCATCAACCAGTTTATCGTAACAGCACTTGAGCATTCAGCAGCCTCAGAGGGTTTTGTGAATTTCTCATTTTCCAGGAGTGAAAGCTGTTATTATTTTTAATTTTCTGCTCCTGCAAATGCCCTTCCCATGTCCATGAGCTTTCCCCTTCTGTGTCATTTGCAGGAGAAGCAAAGTCCCTTGAACTTTCTTCTCCGATTTCAACCCAGATTGTTGACAGCAGTCCCAGACATTAGCACAACGCTTTCCCCTTGACAAGATGCTGGCACTTTTGCTGCTCAGGTTTGAGGCAGAATGACGATGACCCAGGCAAGTGAGCTGGTCCTGCAGGGGAATGGAGACTCCTGTGGGCTTCCAGGAGACCCAGGCCCCTTTGAGGGGACAACCCACCCCTGGTCCTCAGGAGCTTATCTCAGCACACTTGGCTGGGATGCAGACTGGGCCGTGGGCCCTGACAGGCACAGTACATGCATTTCCAAGGAAGTGGTGGTCAGGAGACTCCCACAGAGAAGCCCACGATGACAGGCTCTTAGAATGTGGATAACATGGCACAGCTGAGATGAGCTTTGGTTTTAAATGGGAACCAGAGAACTCCAAGACCAACCACAATAAGGCGCGGGAGAGTTATTCTGCTTCCCAAAGAAATGGGTGTACAGAAGAGCACATGTATTAGTCCATTCTCACACTGCTCTTAAGAACTACCTGAGACTGGGTAATTTATAAAGAAAATAGGTTTAATTGGCTCACAGTTCTTCAGGCTGTACAGGAAGCATGGCTGGGGAAGCCTCAGGAAACTTACAATCATGGTGGAAGGTGAAGGGGAAGCAAGTATGTCTTACCATGGTGGAACAGGGGAGAGAGAGAGAGAGAGAGAGGGAGAGAGAGAGAAGGGGGAAGTGCCACACACTGTTAAACAACCAGATCTCCTAAGAACTCATTCACTAGCACGAGAACAGCAAGGGGGAAATCTGCCAGTGATTCAATCACCTCCCACCAAGTCCCTCCCCTGACACTGGGAATTACACTTCAACATGAGATTCGGGTGGGGACACAGTGCCAAACCATCTCAGCACCCCTTATTAGGGAGGCCCTTGCTCTGAGAGGCTCCAGGGAGGTGGAAGGGACTTGGGGCCACGGAAGTCATAGCAAAGGGACAAGCATGTGCTCAGAACACAGGGGACAGGGCCACAATGCATGTTCTCCTGTCAGATTAAAGTGTCCCAAAGGTGCACCATGATGGGGAAGGGAGAGTCACGTCCTCTGGCTGATGCTGGCTGTACCCTGCAAAGCCACAGGCGCAGAGCTCCCAAGACCATGGGAGCCCATCTCTTGCATCAGCATGACCTAGATGTGAGACATGGAGTCAAAACAGATTATTTAGTAGTTTTACCCTGCTGGATTTCAGACTTGCTTGGGACTTGTAGCCTCTTTGTTTTGGCCAATTTCTCTCATCTGGAATGGCAGCATTTACCCAATGCCTGTACCCCCATTGTATCTAGGAAGTAACTAACTTGCTTTTGATTTTACAGGTTCCTGGGTGGAAGGGACTTGCCTTGTCTCAGATGAGACTTTGGACTGTGGACTTTTGAGTTAATGCAGAAATGAATTAAGATTTTGGGAGACTGTTGGGAAGGCATGATTGTGTTTTGAAATGTGAAAACGTGAGATTTGGGAGGGGCCGGGGATAGAATAATATGGTTTGGATTTGTATCCCCACCCAAATCTCACCTTGAATTGTAAACCCCATAATCCTCATGGGCGTCAAGGGAGGGAAGAGGTGGGAGGTGATTGGAGGTGGCGGTTTCCCCCATGCTGTTCTCATGATAGTCAGTGAGTTCTCATGAGATCAGATGGTTTTATAGGTCAGTTTTCCCTGCTCCTGCTCACTCTCTCTTGCCTGCCATCATGTAAGACGTGCCTCTTCCCCTTCTGCCAGGATTGTAAGTTTCCTGAGGCCTCCCCAGCCATGTGGAACTGTGAATCAATTAAACCTCTTTGCTTTATACATTACACAGCCTTGAGTATGTCTTTATAGCAGGGTGAAAATGGACTAATAAAAGATCCATTCAGAGAAGAACAAGGAATGAAGAGGTGCTCTGTCTCAGCCAATGGATAAGGAAACTGGAAATGGCTCACTGCACCACAGATATGGTATTTACCTTAGACAAGTTTGAGAGGAAAGAATTAAATAGAAAAGACAAAATGCCAGATAAAAGGACCAAACAGTGACAGATTAGATCAGAACATGAAGGGAAGTGGTCTTCCCCAGATTAAAAACTGTTTCATTGACCCAGTGGAGACTCCCAAAGAAAACAGAGGTGAGCAATTCCTGCATCTGAGGAGGGGGAGGGGGGCCTTGGCAAACGGAATTGTGTTGGAGAAATCGGGGCCTTCCACATGTCGGGTGCATGAATTGAGAGTCATATCTGAAGCCATGTGTAGGAGCATCTGCATATCCACAGGTGTGTACACTCACACGTCTCTTTATCAAAGGTGGAGCTTAGGCTGTTTGTGCAGTTTGAGATCTTTTTTTCCCTCTTAATGTTAAGGTTTAATTTTTTTATGAATTAAAAACTTCGGGATTTTGCATTTAAGTCTTTAATCCACCTTGAGTTGATTTTTGTATGTGGTGTAAGGAAGGGGTCCAGCTTCAGTCTTCTGCATATGGCTAGCCAGTTCTCCCAGCACCATTTTTTGAATAGGGAATCTTTGTTTTTATCAGCTTTGTCAAAGATCAGATGGTCGTAGATATGAGGCTATTTACAATTGTTTTAAATCTTGAAGACAAACAAACAATAGAAGACAAAAACAAAAGAAGAAAGGAAAAGAAAGGAGAGAGAGAGAAAGAAAGAAAGAAAGAAAGAAAGAAAGAAAGAAAGAAAAAAGAAAAAGAAAGAAGCTGGGTGTGGTGGCTCATGCCTGTAATCCTAGCACTTTGGGAGGCTGAGGTGGACCAATCACCTGAGGTCAGGAGTTCGAGAACAGCCTGGCCAAAATGATGAAACCATGTCTCTACTAAAAATACAAAAATTTGCCAGGCGTGGTGGCAGGCGCCTGTAATCCCAGCTACTCAGGAGGCTGAGGCAGGAGAATCACTTGAACCCGGGAGGTGAAGGTTGCAGTGAACTGAGATCACACCATTGCACTCCAGCCTGGGCAACAAGAGTGAAACTCCAAAAAAAAAAAAAAAAGAAGAAAGAAAGAAGGAAGGAAGGAAGGGTCATGACTGTAATAGTAATCCCAGTGCTTTGGGAAGCTAAGGTGGGCAGACTGCTTGAGCTCAGGAATTCAAGAACAGCCTGGGCAATATGGCAAACCCCATTTCTACCAAAAATACAAAAATTAGTGAATTGTGGTGGCACACACCTGTGGTCCCAGCAATTCGGGAAGATAAGGTGGGAGAATCACTTGAGCCTGGGAGGCCAGTGCTATAGTGAGCCATGATCATGCCACTGCACTCCAGCCTGGGTGACAAAGAGAGATGCTTTCACAAAAAAGAAAGAAAAAATAAAGAAAAAGGTTATCCACAGTCTGGGAAGTGCTCGCCTGGCGGCAGGTCTGCAGCCCCTGTACCTCCACTGCTGTGGGAGGCTTGGCGGCTCTTTACTGCAGTTCCAAGTCCTACGGATTCACTGCAATGGATGTTTCCGTTTTCTAATCATTAGTACCTCTTTTATTAAAGAATCAAAGTGAAATAAGGCCACTTAAAACAAACATTATATATAAAAGTGTTGCTATAAATAATTTGAAAACTAGATAAAATTTTAGGTGCAACATCACATTATTTCTGCCTACATTAGTGTTTTCTATATAAACTTTTACAGCCTGAATAGATTGGTCTTGCTCATTTAAAATTATTTTTAGTTACAAAAGAGGTGCATCTTTAATGTTGAAAAATTTATGCATAAGCAAAGAGATGAAGGAATCTGCCATTATTACCATGGTTAATATTTGGTTTACATCCTTCTAAGCATTACAAAAGAGACAGAGGAAAATACATCTTGCATATTATGTTGTTTTAAATATTTTTTATTTCATATAGTATAAGCATGTTTCACATCAATAAGTGTATGTCTGTATTTCATTGTTATCAGTTAACTGACAACATAGCAAAATGTGCCTAATGAATCACATATTAGCATTTAGAAATTTCCAATTTTCCACAATTAAAAATAACATGATATATAAATATATGTATACATAGATACATATATACTAGCCAAGTAATGTATTATTTATTGTTGTTGCTAATGCATTTTTCCATTCTATTGTTTTGTTTGCTGTTAATATCAAGGAAAGCTATTATTTTTGTACACATTCAGTACATTTTTATGGGGTTTACAAGCAGACATGCATCTCCTCCTTAAATATCCACATTTTCTGTTCTCCATTCTACTGTTCATGCTCTTGTTTAACTTACTCTTTTCATTGCATTGGGTGGTATTTTCATAATTATATTGGCTTTTAGTGATGATGGGCACCCATGCCTTATTCCAGATTTTAATTGTTCCTCATGGTTAGAATTAAGATGCTGGTATCTGATTTCAGATGAATATATTTTGTCATGTTAAGAAAGTTTGTTTTTATGTTTAGCTTGCTACGAGCTTAAAAATCAATTACAAATGTTGTGACACATCAAATGCACTTTTCACTCCTTATACACGTGTCTACTCAAAACAGGTTAAAGACTCAAAGAGAAGACCTGAGACTGAAAAACTAATAGAATGAAATGCGGGGAAAAGCTGTGTGACATTGACACTGGACTGGGTAGCGAATTTTTTGGGCATGAACCCAAAAGCACAGGCAATGAAGCAAAAATAGACAAATGGGATTGCATCAAACGATGAGGCTTCTGCACAGCAAAATAAACAATTGGATGAAGACTCAACTCACAGATTGTGAGAAAAATCTTTGCAAATCATACATCACACAAGGGATTAATATCTAAAATACACAAGGTCTTAAACTACTCAGTAGTAAGAAAACAAATGACCCTACTTTAAAAAGGGTCAACGACTGAGTAGACATTTCTAAAAAAGAAGACAGACAAATGGCCAGCAGATACATAAAACAACCACTCAACATCTCCAGTGATCAGAGAGCTGCAAATTAAAACCACAATGAGATCTCACCTCACATCCGTTAGACTGGCTATTATTAAAAAAGATGAAATATAACAAGTAATGGTGGCTCGGCACGGTGGCTCATGCCTGTAATCCCAGCACTTTGGGAGGCCAAGGAGGGCGGATCACCTGAGGTCAGGAGTTTGAGACCAGCCTGGCCAACATGGTGAAACCCCGTCTCTACCAAAAATACAAAAATTAACCAGGCGTGGTGACAGGTGCCTGTAATCACAGCTACTCAGGAGGCTGAGGCAGCAGAGTCGCTTGAACATGAGAGGCGGAGGTTGCAGTGAGCCGAGATCTCCCCACTGCACGCCAGCCTGGGTGACAGAGGAAGGCTCCATCTCAAAAAACAAACAAACAAACAACTACCAAGTATTGGCAAGGGTGTGGAGAAAGGGGGCCCCTTGCACACTGTTGATGGGAATGTAAATTAGCACAGCCAATTTGGAAAACACTGTGGAGGTTCATGAAAACACAGAAACTGGAATTACCATATGGTCCAGCAATCCCACTTCTGGGTGTGTATCCAGAGAAAATGAAATTAGTGTGGGGAAGAGATGTCTGCACACTCATGTTCATTGCAGCATTATCCACAGTTGCCAGGATATGGAAACAATCAAACTGTTGATCCATGGATGAATGGATTTTTAAAATGTGGGGTGTATACACAGGGGAATACTATTTGGCCTTTAAAATACAGGAAATTCTGTCATTTGCAACAACATAGATTAACCCAGGAGTGAAAGAAAGCAGGCACAGAGAGACAAATACCATATGATCTCACTTATTTGTAGAATTCTGAAAGTCGGACTCAGAAGTAGGGAGTAGAAGGGGGTTACCAGAGGCTGGGGGTGGGGGCTGGGTGGGGAAAGGGGTGACATTACTCAACAGGCACACTTTCGGTTAAACGGAAGAAATCAGTTCTGGTGTTCTATGGCCCAGCACGCTGACTATAATTAATATTAATGTATTGTGAAAGGAAAATACAATCTCAGTACCGTGAATTCTCTATGCCAAAAGGGAAAAGTTAAGCATGGAAGTGGAGACACCAAAAACAAACAAAAACCCCTGCCTTTCCTTTTGTTCCTAAACCGATAGCTTCAGATAGGTGGCCATGTCTGCCCTCCCGCACCCTGGCAATGCAAACTAACCGCCCATCCTTATGGGTCTAGGACAGAAGCAGACTAGAAATGGCACCTTGCCCACCTCGTGATGAATGCGTAGTGGCCTGCTCCCTCCACTCGATGTCCACTTCCGCTTATGTAAAGCGCAGATTTACGGAGCTCCAGACGAATGCATGATTGACTGTGTCCTCCACCCCCTCCTTTCACCTGCAACATGTGGATTCACAAGAGTGTTGGGTCGGGCGCGGTGGCTCACACCTGTAATCCTAGCACTTTGGGAGGCTGAGACGGGCGGATCACCTGAGGTCAGGAGTTCCAGACCAGCCTGGACAACATGGTGAAAACCCGTCTCTACTAAAAATACAAAAATTAGTTGGGTGTGGTGGTGGGCGCCTGTAGTCCCAGCTACTCGGGAGGCTGAGGCAGGAGAATCCCTTGAACCCAGGAGGCAGAGGTTGCAGTGAGCCAAGATCGTGCCATTGCGCTCCAGCCTGGATGACAGACAGAGATTCCATCTCAAAAATAAATAAATAAATAAATAAAAATAAAGCCACACACAAGAATGTGATCATTCCCTCCCTCTTTCTGTTTCTTTCTCCTTTCCCCTCCTGCCCGCTTTTCTCTTTATGTTGAAGCCCTCAAAACCCTCTTTGGAAAAAGTGGGGGCTGCAGGCCCTACTGCACCTCGTGTCTCTTTTCCCAGGTGCAGCCTCAACCTTGACAAAAACCTCCGCATGGACCTAGACGTGTCTCAGATACTTTGTGGCTTGCAGTACTGTATATTTAAAAATAGCAAAAAGAGAAGATTTTAAATGTTGCCACCACAAATAAATGATGAATACTTGAGGCACTGGAGATGCTAATCATCCAGATTTGATCGTTCCACAATCTACCCACGTGCTGAAACCTCACATTTTATGCTATAAGTATAAAGGATTGTTAATTGTCCATTAAAATAAACTGAACCAACAAAACAAAACATTTTAACTTACTTGGGATGGCTTATATTTCTGTATTTGCCAATACCTGCCAGTTCTTGCAGTCTGCTGGCGAATCTCCCCTCCGTTGTGATATTGGTGCCTGTGTGTGAGTGCGTACCGCACACGATTTTGAATATTGGATCTAAATAAATGAGATGAGAGTATAGCACTCCTGTCTGTATCTTGTGAGATTCGATTGCAATTTCCATGCTGGCTTTGTAAGTTAAATTGGGAAATGCTCTTCAACTCTATTGCCCTGGAACAGCGTAAGGGGCACACACATCACTTGTCTCTTTCCATGTTATTCTTCATTTCTGAGTGACGTGTGCTGCCGTGAGTGTGGGGGCTGCTTTCTCGCCCCACAAACTTGCCAGTCCCTTCTCACTGCATTGCCATCCACCTCTGAGAATTAGTGCTGGCGAGCCATGTTTTCCTGAAAAATGAAGCTTCTCATCAAGACTTTAAACACCAACAATTCACAGGTTTATCCATGCAACTGGGGCCATGTCCTCTTTCTCATATCCTTCTGCATTTATTTTCTCTCCCTTTGTAATTTCTAATTTTGGAAAGTTTTATTTTTATTAAAGTTGGCTCCTAGCTTTATTAATACATTGTATTAATTTTTATCTTTAAAATTTCAGCTTTGTCATTTAATATGTCCAGGTACTGCCAGCAGATCTGAGGCAGCAGGTCTGCCATCAGGGCAGACCCTGGGGGGGTTTGCATGGAGAGTGGGGTGAGCATGCGAGAAGCACTGTCCATGCAGGGAGCACCTGCCCGGCTCCCCTGGGACCACACCTCCTTTCCTAGCACCCACGGCAGGCCAGGGTGGATCCCGGCTCTGTGATGCCGGGGAGAAAATCAGCCCTCTCAGAGGTCGTGGGACATGTCCAAAGGGGTCCCAGTGGACAGGATCCCAGGCCTGGAGGTCGTCTTTGAGGCCCACATCTCTTCTACTCATTGCAGCTCCAGACCTGGGGTCCAGAGGACACGGGACCCTGGCCCTCCCAGGCCCTGACTGTGGTTGGCGGTATGCAGGAAGTCCCTGTGGATTAACCTCCCGGACCCTCGAGCTGAACCTCCACCAGGAAGCAGCAGCTGCTCTGAAGGTGGGGAGCAAAGGTCTGTCTACCTGCCCAGGTGAGGCCAGGGAAGGACCCCACCAGAGGCAGGGACCGCATTGGTGCTGCCGGCTGTGCTTGGACCTGGGTTATAGGTGGTCAAGAAGCCAGCTGGGAAGCTAGAAGGAGAGGTAAAAAATGCCGGTGGCGTCAGAGTGAGAAAAAACAAAACTTGACAGAATCCAACTTATTACCCCAAATGAACACATTACTTTGAGTGTGTATACCCAATCGGTATCTTTCCCTACATTAATAAGCTTTTTATTAGATTATTTAAATGACAACAGTATTTGTCATTAGCTCCTCCATGAATCATTTGAATTATGTATGTGGTTACTGAGATAAAATTCAACCTTAAAGCACGTTGTGATGTATTTTTGCAATAAAAATATCAAGTTCATTTAAACAATTGCTTTTTAAAACACTGTCTCTCTCCCAGTGGGTTTTCATTGATCAAATTAGGAAAAGACAAAGGCTGTCTGGATTATTATAAATTCCGAATATGAGGCAGATAAAATGATGATTACGTTGACTCACCGGCCAGCCTCAAACCCACATGCCCAAACTGACCTCAATGACTAATAAATTGTATTATGAGTCTGCAAAAGGAAAATTAGAGCTAGAGTAGGGAACAACAAAAGGCTATACGTTGAGGGGTTTAAATCTATTAATGCTCTTCTCTGAACATGAGAGTTCAGAGTGCTGATGTATCAGCACCACCTTCTCCTGGGACACCTATAGCTCTGACAGCTGTGATCCTGCTGCCCGGCATGTGCAGAGGTCACAGGTCTGGAGGTGCGACGCGGTTCACGGGTTTGAGGGATGGGTTGTGTTCCCCCAGTTCTCAGCCATGGGCCGCGGCATCACGGCGGGCTCTGCTCCTTCAGTCCTTGTGGTAGCAAGGCCAGGCCTGGAACATGCTCCTAGCCTTGGAGCTTCTGTCTGCAGCCCCTGCCAGGCTGATGCTCTGGGACCTTCCAGGCCATTGCGTCTTAACCCACGTTTCTCAGAGCTGCTGTCGCGTGCTAAGGAAATGCACATGGGGGTCCAGGAGAGACATGGCCTCTGCACTCTGGACGTGAGTTAATTTGAAGGTTTAGGGGAATGTCTCGTGGACAGGCCCAGCCCTTCCTGTGGCTTGCAGTGTGCACCACCTATGTGCCCCCGGCCTGCAGGTGCTCCAGTGTGGAGTGGGGTGGGGGCCAGTGCAAACCTCCAGATGACAGGGAGAGAGCAACGGGGTCCTACGCCAGGGGTGGGGAGCGGAGATGAGTGTCCCCCACATCTACGCACCCCTTGCTCCTCACAGCAGCCTGGGTGGCAGTGGATGGGTGTCCCGGGGCTGCCTCACCCCACGAGGGGTTAAAACCACAGAAGCTCATTCTCCCTGTTCTGGAGGTGGAAGCATGAAGCCAGGGTGAGTGCAAGGCCGTGCTCCCCAGAGACTCTAGGGGAGGATCCTCCCTGTCCCTTCTGGCTTCGGATAGCCGGGGTGTTTGCATCTCTGCCTGCATCTTCACTCGGCCTCTCCCCTGCATCCGAGCCTCCTCTGTGTCTCTCATGAGGACACCTGTCATTGGGCGTCAGGCCACTTGGATAATCCGGGATTATCTCTTCTGGAGCTCCTGAGCTTCATCACATCTGTAAAGACCTTTCTTTCCCAATAAAGTCAAGTTCGCCGGTGCCAGTAGATACTGCAATCCTCCTACTTACAGATGGGGAAGCGCCTGTGCAGAGGGGAGGACGGGAGCGAGGGGCACACGGCAGAGCGGGGGCTGCCCTGGGGGCCTGCGGCCAAGCCCAGGCTGCCACCCGGGACATAGCCTGCCCTGCAAGCACATGGACCCACGTGAGGGGCATGGACAGTTAAGGTCATGCCTGAATTACATACGCCCTGTGAGCACAAGGGCCCTGGGAATGGGAGTCAGGGCTGTGCGTTAGCTACCGTGTTTCCCTTCTCAACTCAATCACAGGTACAGGTGAGAAAGACGAAGGCAGCCTCTGTGTCCAGACCTGACTCCGGCTGCGGTGGACCACAGTGTCGTCACCAGGGGTCTGATGTGCACAGCGGGCCATGCTGTTCTCCCGTCGGACGTGAATGCCCTCTGGGAATAGACCAGGTCACCCTGAGCCTGTGATAAACGGACACATCACAGGTCCACTTCATAATTTTTTCTAAGCACCGACACCAGCAAGGTCACGTTGCTCTTTCCAACACGTCTAGTCTCAGGCCCCTCAGACTTCCTGGCAGCAGCTGCCTTAGAACAAACCGCTGCTTCTTTAAGTCCTCCCCAAACCCCAACCAAAGCCGCGGGTCTGCAGCAGGCTCCACCACTCTCTGCGGGACCCACATTTCAGCCTCTGCAGTGCACACCTGCCTCGCTGTGGGGGCCCAGCCCACCTGTTCCCTGCAGCTGCGCACCTGCGGGCCTTTGGCCTGAGGCAACGGGGAAGACACAGACCCCGTCCTTGATAAGCTTATGGGATGCGTGGAGCCATATTCCCCCAGGGCATTAGGAAGAAGCTGATCAGCGGGCAGGAAAGGCAGGGCCACTCGGAGGATAGGGGGCCTTTGGGAGGGGCCTGACAGGGTGAGATCTGACAGGCAGGGCTGGGGATGGGACGGCAGAGATGCCCGAGGAAAATGACCAGGGCGGTCCGGGAGAGGGAGGGGAGGGGCCGAGGCTAGGGATGCAGGTCAGGAGGGCCTGGCCATGGCCCAGATCACGGAGGACACCCAGGTGTGGCAGTTGAGCAATGGTGGGACCAGAGGCCAGATAGGCTTGAGGGGACGCAAGAATCTATTCGGGGCATTTTGAGTGTGAGACGCAAGTGGCTCCAAGAGCAGATCCTTGTAGGTGTTTGGATGATCCAGCCTGGACTGGGGGTGAGGGCTCTGGCAGGTTTGGATGATCCAGCCTGGACCGGGGGTGAGGGCTCTGGTAGGAAGCTGGGCTCATTGTCGTGCAGGTGGAGGCAGAAGCACACACCCCATGGCAGCCACCATCCAGCCAGGGCCACGGGGTGCGGGGGCAGAGAGCCCAGCTGGAGGGTGTGATGAGACCACGCGGGGCAGGCCTCCAGACTTCCTGTGGGCAACACGGCTTCTGCCCTCCAGGTCTGAGGCTTCGGGCCGGCCAGCAGCTCCACACGGCGGGCCCGGGGTAGGTCAGTAATGTCCTGCACCCCAGAGGGATGCAGCGTGGGGCAGCTCTGTGAGCCCTGAACAGCAGCTATGGAAAGGAGGGGCATCTGCGTGGTGTGGAGAGGGGCCAGGAGAGCCCCACGCTGTTCCTGAAGATGCTGGGAGCGGGGGACCACTGCTCTATGGCACTGCTCCCCCTGGGTGTGGAGGGAAAAACCTGGAACACCCCCTAAACCCACTCATGGTGGAAGTGGTGGCTGGGACCTCGGTGTGTGGAAGACGGGTTCTGCCTTCATTGTCAGTGGCTGCAGGGTCCTCAGGCTGCGGGTCTGCACCTGCCCCCAGTCCCTGGTCTTGGATTTGTCTTGGAACCCTTTTGAATGAGTCCCTCCTCCCTCAGCTCAGCATGCTCCTCCCTTATCGAGGGGCTTTGTGGAAAAAGGCTTCAAGGCTGCCATGGGCTCTAAGACTCAATGGCGTGAACGTGTCTCTTCTTGGTACAAGATTTACAAAGGTTCACACATGCTGGAACCAGGATTTTTTTTTAAAAAAAGAAAAGTTTTCGTTTTTAATTTTGTTTTTGGGTTAGAATCTCACTCTGGCACCCAGGCTGGAGTGCAGTGGCGTGATCACAGCTCACTGCAGCCTCAACCTCCTGGGATCAGGTGATCCTCCTGTCTCTGCCTCCCGAGTAGCTGGGACTATAGGCACGAGACACTATGCCCAGCTAATTTTTATTTTTTTTTGTAGAGATGGGGGCTTACTATGTTTCCCTGGCTGTTCTTGAACTCCTGGGCTCAAGTGATCCTCCTGTCTTGGCTTCCAAAATTGCTGGGATTACAGGTGTGAGTCACCACACCGGCCAAAAGAAAGTGTATACATCGACAATTCACAGAAAAGGCTCCAAGGAGTTTACCCACTTTCCTGGACTCAGAAACCTGTTATTTACTCTGTGATGTGGTAAATAATGAAGTTGGATTCCAGGTGAGCGACACCTGCTTTGTCCATGTGACTGTAAAACTGTCGGCGAGGCTTCAATTATTGGCAGAATGGTGGGGCCCAGAGAAATGTAATGAGCTGGGGACTATCTCCTCTGCTTCCAGGGTGTGTGTGTGGTTTACAGAGAACTGTTCTGTACCCTGGAGAAAGGCTGCCGACTTAGGTGCTGTCTTTAAATGACTGGCTGGCCTCAGCAGTCATAACAAAACAGCTAATAGGAAAAACGCAGGAGGGAGCCAGGTGCCAGCCAGCAACCCCCTGCTCGAGGTTCCATGGGGATCCGATGCACAACTGCCACTCCCCGGCTCTGATGGCACCTCCAGGAAGCAGGGGGTCTCTTTCTATCCTCCTTGGATTCAGTGCAGTGGTCTCCCCGCCATGGCCCGGTCTCCTGCTCGAGGGTTCAGCCCATCCTCCCTCTGGCTTGGGCCCAAGATGACTTCCCTGGAGAACTGTCTTTGGGCTGAAGGGGAAATGGGCCTTGGTGGGTGCGGGCTACTGAGTGGCAGCACGGCTGAGTCCAGCACCACGCAGCAGGGAGGGAGGTGCGTCCCCTTGAGGGTGCTGGCAACGGAAGCACAGTTACTTCCCACTCAACAATAGCAACAGGAGTGTCCCAAGCGAGGGCTCCTCTGCCCTTCGAGCAGGTCCCAGGGAAGACCTGTGCTTTTTCCAGCCTCATGGGCCCCTGGCATGACCTGTGACGGGTTCTTGGAGGCAGGAGCAGAGTGGGCAGCTGGGTTGAGGGTGCTTGTCCTCCTTGGTGGAGGCTGAGCGCCCCATCCCTCCCCTTCCTCCTGCCCTCATTGGCCCCAGGCCCTAGAAAACAGCCTTCTCCTCTGTTATTGTTAAAGGCACTTTGATTTTTAAAAAATATTTTGGTATTTCATTGATTCTGAGACTTCTTTTTCTCCACATTAACTTTTACAATCTGTGACATCTCACACTAGCTGCAGGCCAGGTTGCAGTCACAGGTATCCGCAAGCGACCCCAAACCTGACAGAACAGCCATCAGAGGCTCCAAGGCAATGCTCAGAGCTGGGCTCCTTGAACCCCTGGAGATGGGATGGTGTGAGGAGGGTGAGAAGGCGGTGAATCCAACGTGTTTAGCAGCATTCCGTGAACAGGAGTCAAACCAGGCTCGCTCTGCAGAACTGGATGCGGGGATTGGATCCCAGACCCCATGAGGGTAGCGCCTCCCTTAGTGTCCTGTGAGAAATGTCCCTCTGCAAGCCTCCTGACATCACAGAGGCTGATATTGTTTGGAAAACAGAGATCAATGACTCTGATTTGAGAAAGATTCAGAGGGGTCAGACCCTGAATGTGGAGTTTTAGAAAATCCTATCCAATTCGTATTATATATAATATAATCATAATATATCATATATTATATATAATACGAATTGGATAAGATTTTCATATCATATACAATAATATAATATATGATATATTATATTTATTATATTATATTGTATATTATAAACCAACATCACATTATATTATACATATTAAAATTATGTACAGTTAAATACATAAATCTTAAGTTTGTATTTAATGAATTTTGATAGATACACCCATGTAACCCACAATCCAATCGCAACATAAAATATTTCCATCACCCACAAGGATTCTTCCTGCTTCTTCCTGGTCATCCCCAGCGCCTCAGCCTTGGAGGCAACCTCTGTTTGGACTTCTGTCCCGTAGGTTAGTTTGGCCTGCTTTAAACTTCATGCATACAAAATCCCGTACGATCACACAGGACGCATCGTATGAAGGTGGCGCATGCACTGGGAAAAGCGTCTGTGGGGTGAAACTAGTTGGTTGAATCTTTTGTAATCCTAATTTTTTTCTACTTGTTCTATTTTTGGATTTGTCTATTCTCCCTCAGTGTCTGCCAACTTTCGCTTGTGGATTTGAAGTCCAGGTATTGGGAACAGATACCTCAGGATTGTTGCATCTTCTGGATGATCAACCGTTTCATCCTTGAGATGTGGCTCTGCCTTCCTGCCTGGCGTGGGCTCTGCCCTTAACGCAGCACGTGGGCTCTGGGGAGTGTTGCCGGCTGGGTCCCCACAGCCCTTCGCTTTTAGCCTTGGTAGCAGGCTAGAATCCGATTCGTTTTGTGCCATTGTTGTTTGTCTGTTTTGAGTCCAGTCTGACGACGTTGGCCTTGCTTGAGGTGCTCAGGACATTTGCACTCAGTGTAATTGTGGTGTGAAGTCGGCCACATCGCTCCTTTCTTTCATTTGTCTCGTTTGCTTTTGGTTTCTCTGTTGCTCCTTTTCTTGCTTTCTGGCAGATTATTTAACCACTGTTCTAGCATTCCATTTACTGTCTTCTCTTGATTTGATATTAGATTCTCTTTTTGCATTTTAGTCATTGCTGTAATGGTTATAATATGAACTTGTCTTGATCTAGGAGGAGCGAACATCATACCACTGGGTGTAAGATGTAGGAAGCCTGCAGCACAATGCTTCCCTGTGCCTGTATCCTGGGTGTGATTATTGTCATGGATTTTACTTCAACCAATTTAAAAATTGCTATTCATTATTATCAGTTTACAAACAGTCACTTGTCATCTAAGTAATTAAGATTTCTTTTTTCTTTTGAGACAGAGTCTCGCTCTGTTGCCCAGGCTAGAGTGCAGTGGCACAATCACGGCTCACTGCAACCTCCGCCTCCCAGGTTCAAGCGATTCTCCTGCCTCAGCCTCCTGAGTAGCTGGGATTACAGGTTTGCACCACCATGCCCAGCTAATTTTTGTAATTTTTAGTAGAGATGAGGTTTCACCATGTTGGCCAGGCTGGTCTTGAACGCCTAACTTCAGGGTGATCCGCCTACCTTGGCCTCCCAAAGTGCTGGGATTACACGTGTGAGCCACCGTGCCTGGCCCAGAAAAAAAGTTTTAACCCCCGTATTTATATTTGGGTGCTCTTCATTCTAACTTGCAAACCTGCTTCCAACACTGTTATTTCCTTCAGGCAAAGGGCTGCCTTTTGTATTTTTCGTCTTATGGGTCTATTGGATACACATTTTCTCTGCCCTCATTTATTGAAGAATATCTTTATTCTATCTTCGTTTTTTTCTGGATCTAGAATTCTAGTTGGTCTGGGCGCGGTGGCTCACACCTGTAATCCCAGCACTTTGGGAGGCTAAGGAGGGCAGATCACGAGGTCAGGAGTTCAAGACCAGCCTCGCCAACATAGTGAAACCCCATCTCTACTAAAAATACAAAAATTAGCTGGGCGTGGTGGTGCATACCTGTAGTCCCAGCTACTCGGGAGGCTGAGGCAGGAGAATTACTTGAACCCAGAAGGTGGAGGTTGCAGTGAGCCAAGATCACACCACTGCACTCCAGCTTGGGCAACAGAGTGAGACTTTGTCTCAAAAAAAAAAAAAAGAATTCTAGTTTTGCAAAATTTATTTTCAGCTCTTTGAATCCGTTATTTCACCATCCTCTGGCCTGCCTGGTTTCCGATGAGAAGTCAGCAGTCACTCTTCTTACTATTCTCCTGCGCAGGTGTCTAGTTTTCATTTGGCTGCTTTTTAGACTTTTTTCTTTATCTATAGCTTCTGTCAGTTTAACTCTGATGTGTCTAGATGTAGTTTCCTTTGAATTGATCACATTTGGCATTGATTAAGCTTCAGGAATTTGTGGATCGCTTTTGTTCCTTAATGAATTTGGTAAATTTCTAACAAGTACATCTTCATAGCTTTTTTTTTTTTTTCCCTGCCTTAACCTTCTTTTGCTTTCTGGAAATTTAATTCTACATAGTGTAGACTGGTTGAAATTCTCCACATGGTGCTGATTCTATGTTTGCTTTTGTCCAGCAATGTTTTAGATTTTTGAAAATAAACTATTGATTTTAGAACAGTTTTAGATTTGCAGAATTATTGTAAAAGTAGTGTAGACAATTCTCATGTACCCCACCTCAATTTGTCCTATTACTAATATCTTACACCAGGATGGTACATTTGACGCAATTAACGAACAAACAGTGAAGGTTATGATTAACTAAATTCACCGTTTATTCAGATGACCTCTGTTTTCCCCTCATGTTTTTTTCTGCCCTCAAATCCTGTTCAGAATACCATGTTCCATTTAGTTGTCACATCTCCATAGGCTTCTCTTAGTTGTGACAATTTTTCATACTTTCCTTTTTTTTTTTTTTTTGAGACAGAGTCTCACTCTGTCACCCAGGCTGGAGGGCAGTGGCGTGACCTCGGCTCACTGCAAGCTCCACCTCCTGGGTTCACGCCATTCTCCTGCCCCAGCCTCCCGAGTGTCTGGGACTACAGGTGCCCGCCACCACGCCTGGCTAATTTTTTGTATTTTTAGTAGAGATGGGGTTTCACCATGTTGGCCAGGATGGTCTCGATCTCCTGACCTCATGATCCACCCGCCTTGGCCTCCCAAAGTGCTGGTATTACAGGCGTGAGCCACTGCACCCGGCCTCAAACTTTCCTTGTTTTTGATGACCTTGATGGTTTTGTGGAGCACTGGTCAGGAATTTGGCAGAATTCTCTCAATTGAGAAATGCTTCCCTAATGATCAGACTAGGGGAGTATGTTTTTGGGAGGAAGAGCACGGGGTAAAGTCCATTTTCATTGCGTCTTATCAAGGGCACATGCTATCAAAGTGACTTATCACTGTTGATGGTGACCACAATCATCTGGCTTGAGGTGGTGTCTATCAGGTTTCTGCACCACAGTTAATCTTTTCTTTTTCTCTCCATTTTCAAACTGCTTGTTGGAAGAAGGTCATTTAAGGAGTGGGAGTTACACTGTAGATGGGAGATCTTCCATAAAAGAGACATTTCTATCTTCTCCAATTTATTTATCTATTCATTCAATCATGTGTTTACATCTTTATTTTTATTCTTTTGGTGATAGTATGACACCGTTTACTTTATTTTGTGAGAGTTCTTTTAGCTGGTTCTTGTATTCTTCTGGCATACGCCCATCTTTGTGCGTTTTGTTTGTTTGTTTGCTGGAGCTCTTCTGTACTTTATGGCACTAAAAGGTGCTCCACACTTTTCTTGCATATTTTCTGTCCCTGTCCTAGAAGAAGCCATTTCTCCAAGGAGGCTTGGTTCCTTTTTCTAGAAAATGGTATTAGAGACCAAAATCTGGGAACTAGGTGTGCTTATCACTAGGCTGATGTCACTGCTTCTAGGACTTGTTAGCTGATAGAGCAAGACATGAGTGTCTATTCATCCTCTTAGATGAACAGGTTTGTAAGTATTTCTATTTGTAACCATCTGTATCTATGTTAAGCTCAACATGAGCTCTTACTGATGCTTCCATGTATGTTCACTTTTTGTGCAATCTATTTCTTCTCTCTCTCCTTAAGCTTGGATTTCTATTGACATTAACTTCATGGGTCATTGCTTTTCCAGTCTGCTTTCTGCTATTATCTTGTACATTTTGGCTTTCAGACATTGTGTTTTCAATTTTAAGTGTCCATTTAGTTAGTTTTAGAGTTTCAATTTCTCTCCTGAAATATTCTCTCTCCACATTTTCTCTCCACCTTTCCTGGGAAAGTCTGTAATGTGTCTACACTAAGTGTTCTCATACCGTTGTTGACTGGTTCTAACCATTGTTGGCTGGTCATTGAGATCTGCTCCTACTCACTGTGTCTCGTTTGACTCTGGGGGACACGTGTGGCTTCCATGCACGCTGCATTATCATTTTCAGTTGGTTATAGACATGGTTTGTGAAGCAGAGACTGAAGGGTAGCTTTTTGTTTTGCTTATTTCCCAGGGGCTTCTAGGCTGATTTTTCATATTTCCAAGCTTATAGTTGAGGTGGTGCTGGGTCTCTGCTTTAACGAAATTGAGCTCACTGTCATAGCCAACTTGTCACACAATTTTCTGATCTTGCCAGTATTTGATCCAGGAGGGGGTTGCCTGCAGTTTCAGATATTTTTGTCTCTGCTTTGGATTCAACTGCAAAAGAACCATGGAATTCAGCCACTACAGGATGAAACAGGATTAGAAAGTTTCTCTCTGGCTAGCCGCTCCTCTGCTACTGTGTTTTTTTGGCAAAACTCAGGTAGGAGGTGATTGGGAGGAATCGTGGGGCTGAGTGATCTGTCCTTGCCTCTGGAGTTCTTGCAGATGATGAATCAATCTCACCAACTTACACTGTTCCTCAAGGCTGTGATGACAGCCCTTCATGTCTGCAAAATTTCCACACCTGTTGCAGCCCCAGGCAGCGAAGTGTTCACAGTTCTCTCATTTCCTGTGAAAGGCTCTTTGACCTCTGAAACTCAGCTCCCTAAGCTTCCTTCTATTGCTACTATTTGTTAGCTCCATAAAAAGTAGAGGCTGGGCACTGTGGCTCCTGCCTGCAATCCCAGCACTTTGGAGGCCGAGGTGGGCGGATCAGTTGAGGTCAGGAGTCTGAGACCAGCTTGGCCAATACAGTGATACCCTGTTTCTACTAAAAATAGAAAAAAAAACACAGCCAGGTGTGGTGGTGTGTGCCTGTAGTCTCAGCTACTAGGGAGGCTGACGCAGGAGAATTGCTTGAACCTGGGAGGTGGAGGTTGCAGTGAGCTGAGATCGTGCCACTGTACTCCAGCCTGGGTGACAGAACAAGACTGTCTCAAAAAAAGTATAATTCTTGTTTTGTCTTATTTTAAATTTGTACTACTTACTAGTGAGAGACTTTAAGGTTGAAGCTCTGCCTCGGATTTAGAAACTAATTTACACTAGGGGGATACGTCTTTTGGTGTCGTAGTATCACTAACTTGTCAATCAACGCGTTTCAAGGGAAAATGCTTGAGGGTGAAGTAACCCAAAGCTTTTCTCAGCTAAGCCCAGCTTGTCTCAAACATGACCCATATCAACCAGGAAAGACCAAGTTACAATAAATGAATGAATGAACAAAAATCGTTCTCATAAATTGAATGTAATTTGTACATTTAATATACAAAATTTAATTTAATGTAATTTAGGTATAGTATATTACATCATGAATTTTTTCCCCAAATTTTTCAGATACCATACTGAAACCATCCATTAGTCTCTTTTTGTGTTTACTCTTAATGTGCTGGTTTTCTAAAATCTTGTTGTGTGGTCTGGGACCTCAGCTAATATCGTGGGAAAGTAAGTGGTGGTGGAGTGTGGGGTCTTGTCTCTTACTCTGTATTAGTCCGTTTTCATGCTGCCAATAAAGACATACCTGAGACTGGGTAATTATAAAGGGAAGAGGTTTAATGGAATCACAATTCCATGTGGCTGGGAAGGCCTCACAATCATGGCGGAAGGTGAAAGTTACATCTTACATGGCAGCAGGCAAGAGAGAAGGAGAGACCAAGCAAAAGGGGTTTCCCCTTATAAAACCGTCAGATCTTGTGAGACTTATTCGCTACCATGAGAACAGTATGCGGGAACCACCTCCATGATTCAATTATCTTCCACTGTTTTCCTACCACAACACGTGGGAATTATGGGAGCTACAAGTCAAGATGAGATTTGGGTGGGGACACAGCCAAACCATATCATACTCCAAAGTTGAATAAGATTTCACGTACTGAAGGGAGCCCAGACTGTATGAATTTCCAGGTAGTTTGGTATTTTCAGGGAAAAAAAAAGAGAAAGGAAGAAGCATTATTCACATATATTTTATGAGTATAGACTGTATATTCATAAAAGAACTATGCTTTTTCAAAAAACTTAAGTCATTGTGTGCTTCAAGGCTTAGATGTGTTACATGGAACATATTTTTCAGTTTACAGTGGCTTAAAGACCCGTTGGTAGGCGGTTGTCTTGACAAATGTATCTTTACATCACATGTGGTACTATTTGTGTTTGAAACATTTGTATTTTCCGTGGTTACACATTTGAGGAATTATCTGTCCAAGTCACAGGAATGAATCAATGATGCCAAATCAGTTTTTTGATCAGAAATTGCCTGTGTACCTTTTGAGTGCATGGGCAGAAAAGACAGCAGTGTTTCTTTTTCACTCTGCACAGCTCACATCGGTGAATGAGATGAAGCAGAATATGCCACTTGCACTGGTGACCCCAGCATTGGAGGTTTTGGGGCTCACTAGGGTGGGGCTTCTTTGTGGTGCACATAGAACCTGGGACTTTCTGAGCCTGTCATGAACCTATCTGTGTGGGACAAGGTACTTTGTGTGGGGTTTAATGTGCAGGGTTGGATGTCCCAATATTGTGTGAAGACTTAGCTGGATCTTCGGTCATCAAGACTCTTTCTGGGCACGTGAGAATTTCATTCATTCACTGGGAAAGCCAATGCAATGTATTTTTAAACATATTTAAAAATTGCATGCAAAAGCTGCCACAGGTCACAAAGAAGAAGGTTAAGTTCTGATGTACATAGGGAGTTTTGCAGGAATCCATGATTTGGAACCAGTGCACCTTCTGGGAATGCCCCACTGAGAAATTACTCCATTATCTTTACATTAATGCTCGAACAAAAACTCAGAATGGTGGACAGAGGTGCCTTTGCCACCGTGTAAGTATGCTGGTGAAATGCTAAGAGACCATGTTTGCTTATTTTAAAATCACATTCTCAAATTTTACTTATTGATTTGTTTTAGGATTGCAATAGATCTTTAAAAGTTTAGAATCAGTGGGCTGTGCCTTCTCTGTGGTCTATTCAGGCTAAAACTTTGAGAAACACCTATAGGTCTAAGAGACACAACGGCCCTTGATTTCAGCAGGGTTGTTTTTATTTCCTGGTAGTAGTAGCAGTGACAGTGGCCGTAGTAGAAGCTAACAGTTATTCAGATTATTAGGTGTCAGGCACAGATCTCAATCACAGTACTTAACATTTTTAGTCAACGCTGTATCTTCATTCATAGGCCCTGTTTGAAAACATTGAAGAATGATTAATGTGGTAGGTATTTTTCAGAAATTATCGATTAGACAACCTTGGAGCTTTATTAACTGGCAAGATTACCAAGGACAAAACTGTGTTGTACTTAACTACCATTTTGTACTTTGTAAATCTAAGTCACTTTAGTAAATAAAAATCATCCATCAAGACTATATTTTAGACCTTTTCCAAATGAAATAAATAATAGTATAGAGAGAAAACTCAAATATGTTAATTTTCTATACCTGAATTTAAAAATATTTCTAGTTATCCCTCATTCTCAAACAAAACATTAAAATTTATGATCTTTGGATAAAATACACTAAAGTCTGGAAATTAGCCAAATTATAATAATTATTAACATAGAAGTGATGTTCATGAATATCATAGAGCAGAATTTTAGACAAGATATAACCATGAAAATGATGGCATTTATTTTCTCATATAGTCAACCTTACGAATCCAAATTAGCTTCATCTTCCAAGTTGGTCACCTTGGGAACCAATATCCTTATTAAAACAATGTATTTTCTCTCCCCCAAGTCTGTTTAGAACATTCAAATTGTATTATCCTTCACAGTAAGTTTGTAATCATAGATACACACACATCTTATCATAACCGATGTTGGTAAAAGAACAATTTTAAAACTGAGAAAAATGTAGTATTCTGTGGTGTATGTGTACCACGTTTTCTTTATCCAATCTATCACTGATGGGCATTTGGGTTGGTTCCATGTCTTTACTATTGTGAACAGTGTTGCAATAAACATACACGTGAATGTATCTTTATAATAGAATGATTTATATTCCTTTGGGTATATACCCAGTAATAAGAATGAGATAGTGTCCTTTGCAGGGACATGGATGAAGCTGGAAGCCACCATCCTCAGCAAACTAACACAGGAACAGAAAACCAAACACCGCATGTTCTCACTCATAAACGGGAGTTGAATAATGAGAACACATGGACACAGGGAGGGGAACAACACACCCGGGCCTGTGGGGCGGGGGCGAGGGGAGGGAGAGCATCAGGACAAATAGCTAATGCATGCGCAGCTTAAAACCTCAGTGACGGGTTGACGGGTGCAGCAAACCACCATGGCACACGTTTGCCTGTGTAACAAACCTGCATGTTCTGCACATATATCCCGGGATTTAAAGTTAAAAAAAAAAAAAACTTAGAAAAACACATCTTTGTATTTTGGGCAAGTCAGAATACCCCCTCCTCCCTCGTGTTTCGTGGAATTTACTTCTCTCTCAGATCGTCCTGGGCTGCAGCTCTTCCCTTCCCGTGCCTATAGTTCAGAGGTTAAGATGGCTGCATGGGAAAAGTAAGACCGCAATGTGGGTGGAGGGAGCCGAAGATGCTGGAGGCCCAGGCTCTGACCCGCCAGGGGCCCCTGGGACGCATCCCCAGGGAGTGATGCCTGTGCTGAAAGCCCAAATTACAACTGAGAACAAGGTGAGGTACTGGTGGGAATCTGCGGCGCGTGGACGCACGGGGGCCAGGGTTGGGGGCAGGACGAGGGGGTCGGCTGGCGAAGCGGGGGCGTGCTCAGGTAGAGCATGGGATGGCACCCGAGCCCCACACACTGCTGCCATCAACATCCACCCCAAGGACCCTCTGGGACTCCTGAGTAGAGCCAGGGGCCCCTCCAAACACCTCCCACCAGTGTCTTCCTGGTGAGGCTGGCTACTCCCTTCTGACTCTGTAATTGAGGCTCCTTCTGCTTTTCTTCATCCCAAGCTTCCCACGGGCATTCTGGGGGAAAAGCCTGAGGTCTGGCCACGTTGCTGCTGGGCACCCACAGAGCCACGTGGCCCAAGCTCAGGGTCCCCGCCCCGCTCCTGGCCCCCGTGCGCCCACACACCGCCGATTCCCACCAGTACCTCACCTTGTTCTCAACTGTAAGGGAATCGAGGTGCCTCCCACGCCTCTCCATGAGTGGCCCTCGGCTCACGTTTCCGCGTTCAGCACCCATCTTGTCACCATTCACGCCCCCGCCTGCAGCTGACAGCACTGCCACGCCGTCACCAGTGCTGTGACCCAGCGGCCAGCAGGAAGGGCGCCGTGCTAGCGGGGTCTCCACGCGTCCTGTCTCAAGCAATCCTGGCGTTCTCCTCTGCATCCGCGTACAAATACACAGGATGTGGCTTCAGGAGAGTTTCTCTTTTACTTTTCTTCAGGGAAGTGAAGCTCTGAGGTCATTACAGATGCTGTTGAAAATGCAGGCTTTTACTTGAACATTTAGAAACATAAATAAATGACAGTTATCTGGGGATTCACAGCAGCGCTTTGCCTCTGCAGGGGCTGTCACTTATCTGTAAATTTATCATTGCTTACAAAGTCAAAGATTTCACTAGACATTTATTACACTTATAAACTTTTGGGACAAAAGTGGCACGTGGAAATAAGAGGAAAATAAAACTAATTTTTCGGGACACACGCTGATCACGAGCCTTTGACTGACGTGAGCGGCTTGCCGGGCATCACATCTGGTCGTTGTTAAAGGCGTTTTGTGGCCATGTCCACAACATACGCAGGGATTCCACCGTCTTCCATAAATCCCGTGATCCTCGGCCTGAGGTTTCAGGCTCCTCACAATACGTCCTTAGTGGCAGCATCTCCTTAGCAGGTTTGGGCAAGGATTCGCTTAGAAAAGGCACAGAAAGGGCTTAGCCCAGGGCCCTGTACATAGAAGAGGCTTCGTGGACGTGACCCTTCATTGTTTCCTACACGTGTTATTTTCTCATGAGTGGCACATTTCTCATGCAGGGAAATGTGCATGGGAAACGCATTTACCATCAGAAGTTACCACTGGGTTAGAACAGACTGCGGGTTGACAGGCTTGATGGATCCAGTTATTCGCATTTGTGGAACAAAGTGGAGTGCCCTCCACGGCTCTCAGTTCACAGAACAGTAGCACGGCCAGCATCCTCCTTCCTCCCCAGCCCCATCTACAGAAACAGGCTGCTGACTGGTTGTGAATCAAAGCTTGGGTCTATGCGAGTGTGACTTGGTGGATGAAGTTCAGTGTCCTGGTTTCAGCCTGTTCCTTGGGGAAAGAGAGGTAAGAAGATGTCAGATGCTGGAGAAAGGAGCCGGGCTCCCTGAGGGGCTGCGCGCTGGGGCCAGGGCTGTCTTCCGGCTGCGGGCAGGCTCCGTGCAATGCTTTGCCTGGGTTATTTTATATAATCATCGAGGGCACCTCATGGTGAACCTGCCATTATTATCCATGCCCACGGACAAGGAAACAGAGACTGGAGATGGGAGGAAATCTGTCCAAGGTCATCCAACTCTGATGCAGATGGTGGGCTGTGATTTAAACCCAGGCATCTGTCTTGAGGGTCTGTGCTTTCAAATTTTGTGCCTCCTGCCTCCCCATGTAAGATCACAGACAACACTAACCACTTGTCCTGGCATGGTCTATAAAACAGAAGCGGGGAGTGCCTGTGGCTCTGGTCTTGGGTTGGCAGCAGTGGACTCTTCTGTTCGGATTTTCCTGTTTCCTGCAGGGAGGAGATTTACAGTTCCAAGATAAACAGCGGAAAGTTCTGGAGAGGGAAGTTCTTGCTTCTACCTGGTGGGAGAAACACATGTATTATGACTCCTGGGATTCCAGCATGTTCTCTATCTATGATTTCATACCATTTTATCCTCTGTTTCAATATTTGTCTCCAATTTCAAATCCACTCCTCATGCTAACTCCCGTGGCTAACTTCTCCTGGGGGTCTGACCATCCCCGAAGCCCACCCCTCCTCGATCACCTTGTAGCACCTACACCTTCCACCCATCCCATCGGCCTGGAGTGATGGCGTGGCCCCTGCCCCCATGCGCTTGCTAAAGGTGCACTGAGCAGCTGGCAAGGCTGCCTTCCCCGTGCCCCCATTCTGCAGGCACTGGGGGGAGCCCGAGGGAAAGGGGGACTGAGAAGGAGTGTGAAGACTTTTCTCCCAGCAGCACTGTTGCTCCACCGCTGCATGAGGGGGGACTGAGGAGTGTGAAGACTTTCACCTCGCACCGCTGTGGCTTCCTCCGCTGCGTGGCAGGCCGTGTGTTCAACCGCAGCTATGAGCTGGGCAGCACGTGGTGAGAGGCTCGCCCCTCCGTAAGATGCTTAGATCAGGATATTTTACGATGAAAAACCTCTCTGAGTCCATGGGGAGGTGATTCTCTCTCAGCACATGAGATCTTTTCCTTCTCCAGCCCTGCAGTGTCTGCTTCTCTCCAGCAGCGAGGTAGGTGCTTCTCCAGGCCGTCAAAAGAGGGCAGTGAGTGTTTCCAGGCCCCAGGCCCAGCTGGGCACTGTGTCAGCTGCTGGGGGGTTTCAGGAAGGGGAAGTAAAAAGAATGGCTCATGCCTACACGGAACTGCAGTCTACTAGGATGGATAAGATATTAAACATGCACACACGCCCCATACATCATGAACAGGACATGATGGAAAAACGTGAGGCGGCACCCGGGTCAGGCGAGGAGTCAGAGGGTGCCCTGAGGACCAGCCCTCATCCATCCAGCCCCAGAGGCAACAAAGGCAGCAGGGCAGAGACCCAGGAGGACGATTAAGTCAGGAGTTGCACCTGCAACGTCTTGGAGGCAAGAAAGCAGGTTTCATGTGAGGAGCTGGGGAAGTCCAGCATGGCTGAGTGAGGGAGGCTGGGGAGCAGCTGGGAGTGGGGGCAGGGGCCCAGCAGCAGGGGCTTGGGGGCCTGGCTAGGTATGTGGATTTCCTTCAGGCAGTGGGAAGCCACCCAGCTTCCAGGTAGGACATGGGAAGGGCTGCCTGTCTGACAGTGGTCATGGGTGCTGGAGACCAGGGAGACGGAAGGCAGGAAGGGCGCTGGATGATAATGAGCGTGTCGGGGCTGAAGAGGGTGGTGGGGCAGGTCAGTGGCAATGGGAAGGGTGGTTGGATGGGAGAGGCCGGGCTGGGACAGATTCCGCAGGACTTGTTGCAGGTTTGGGTGTTAGGATGCGACGAGGAAGAGGGGGATGTTAGGCAGAGTGAAACCATTTGTCGAGAAGATAGCTTGCAGGGCCAGGGCCCTGTCCTTTTGGTCATTCAGGAATTCCCTGGCCCAGAGCAGCCCAGGGTGGGCGTGGCAACAATATCGCTGAGTGTTCCGTGAATTACAAAGGATGGAGGAGGGATGGTTTTGGAGAAGAATTCCAAGAGGTTGCTTTTGGGCGCTTTCGTTAAATGTCTGCAAGGCATTTCAAAGTAGACGTTGCCAGCACCTGCTGGAGCTCAGGGCAGACCTGTGTGTGGAAGCAGAAGTGTGAGGCTGACAGGCCTATGGGCCGAGTCCAGGCCTCAAGAGGGGATGGGATCCGCAAGGAGAGGGAACAGAGTGAGGAGAGAGGGATAGGAGAGGACTGCGATGGGCAGAGTGCTCAGCAGAGGCGGCGGGAGAGGCGAGCGTGCACCAGGGTGGCCAGGAGTCCTAGGAGAGATCCCAGCATCTGCTGCGGGAAGGACATAGGGAGACTGTGGCGAGAGCTGCAGGGAGATCAGAGACTGCCTGTTGGATTTAGTACCTTGGCCATGGCAGTGAAGAGCGAACCAAGCTGGGGGGGCACGGGCTATGTCACTAAACAGACTGTGGGGCAGGGGGTGTCTTCTGGGAAAGGCTTGGAATCTGATGTTGGAGCTGGTTTCAGCTCCAACACGAGAAGCCTATCAATTCCTCCAGGGAATTACTTACTTCTCTGGGTCTGTTTTCTCATCTGTAAAAGGGGGGATTTGGGCAAATCACATCAATGCCCTCTTCCTGTGCTTGCTTTCCATGAGTTTTGTGGAGGGTCTGAGCAAGCTACCAAAGGGAGTCCACTTGTTTTCTTCTTTGATTCCTCTTGCTGCTAAGAAACCCACAGCTGAGTTTTGGTGCTCCCAAAAGCCCAAATGAGAAGTTAGGCATCAAATGCTGCTGGGAGACCTGAACTGGCCGCACCGCTGGTCTCATGGGCCAGGCAGAAGGAGATGGGGAAGTAACACCAGCCAGTTACCCATCCAGCCACTCGCTTACTGCCCCTGCACAGTACTTTGGTGGAGGTTTTGCAGTCCTCATCCCATGGATGCCAAGCGATGCCTGAATTCTTAAATAACTTCCCCAATGTAGAATGGGTTACTCCAGTTTGAGCCAGGCCTCAGCTTGCGCCCCTAGCCCTGTCCCTGGGAAGCAATCGGTAAGAAAATGATGAACAGTCGTCCACCCCAAGGACTCGCCATCCCAGACTCATCCAGGGGCCTGCACCTGACTACGGCCAGTGTGCCACCAGCCTGGCTGTTGTGAGAAGACAGAATAGAAGTGTCTAGAGGTGGAGGTGAGAGCACAGGACTGCACTTGGTTCCCGAGTCTGCAGAGATAGCTCAGCTCAGCACTTTCCCAGTTAGTGAAGACATGAAAATGGACTCTGTAAGCACTTAATCTGGGGAGTTATTAGTTATGTAATTGACTGAAATTAGCTTTATGTACTGAGCATGATGGAGTTAGCTTTCTAAACAGGAATACTTTTTCTTGCTCATGTCAAATCTGTCTCTTAAATCTCACACTCCAGAGACTGTCCTTCTTTTTTTTTTTTTTTTTTTTTTTGAGACGGAGTCTCACTCTGTTGCCAGGCTGGAGTGCAGTGGTGTGATCTTGGCTCACTGCAACCTCTGCCTCGTGGGTTCAAGTGATTCTCATGCCTCAGCCTCCCGAGTAGCTAGGATTACAGGTACACACCACCACACCCAGGTAATTTTTGTATTTTTAGTAGAGACGGGGTTTCACCATGTTGGCCAGGATGGTTTCGAACTCCTGGAAAGACTCCTCCTTGCAGACACGTTGGGCTTTTGTTCAAAGACACTCTGTTCCTGCAGAGCCAGGGGCCTCTTTGTCAGCACAGGCCAGCACAGACGTCCAGTGGGACTCGGACATCACTCCCACTGGCAGTTTCTGCATGGAATTTTTTTCTGCCACAGAAAGCTCTGATTATAAAAAGAAAATGGGCTGAGAAATTAGATGGAAACAAACATCAGTTCTGTTCTGTCAGGGAACATGGGCTCGGCTCTACCCGTGGCCTCAGCTTGCAGATCTTGCCTGATTCCATTTTTATTAATGGAATCTGAGCAAATAGGTGTGCGTTTGCAAAGGTGCCCCGCCAAGCAAAGGAGGGCGCGATCTCTGTGAATGCATCTGGAAAGGAGGGGAGGGGCTCGGTGGCCACAGAGGCGTGAGCTGAGTCTTGCCACCCACGGGGCTGAGTCATAGTTGAGGCTTCGCGGAGCTTAACCAGTGATTAATCCCCTGACCACAGCTCCAGCCAGACAGCACATGGCTTGAAAGCAAGTGCTTTCTGCTTTCTGGGACTCTCCTGTCCCTCTCAGGGGCTCCCCATTCTCCTTCTCTCTGAAGCACGGGTCCCCAAAGCCATGTGCTCTTCTTTGAATAATGAAAGATTTCCCTTTAGCCTCCTAAAATTACTGTGAGAAGCATTTCGGCTAACTCCTCGTAGAGCTCTAAAAACCGCAGAGCTTATCACCTCAAACCTAAGTGGTGCCGAGAGGCATTTTGGGGACTCTGTCCTAATTTGCATTTTGTGCATTTGAATGTTTGCATCAGAATGAGTCTGAGATGGTCTGAAAAGAATGTTCCTGGCCTCGAGTACCTTCTTCTGCAGGTGAGACTTCAGACAGACTCTGGGCATTCAGACCATTGCAGATGTAGTCTAGGAAGTGATGCTTAGGAGGAAAATGCCTCTGGAAGGAGGCTGAGCCTGCTGGCTTGCAGAGCTTCATTCTGCTGTGGTTCTTGGCTGCATGTCACTCGGCACGGGGAGCTGCGGGGTGAGGCAGGCGTTGGGGAGGACACAGCAGGCTGTGTAGCCTGCCTGCCCCTCTCTGTTCACCAGGAACTACTAACCAAACGGAACCTTCAGAAGACAGCCCATTCCTTTTCAGGAACTCGGCCCTTTCCTCTTTCCTCTTACCTGTGTGAGCAGGACCCGGCCCCCTGCTCGGACTCCCACCTTCCTTAGAAACCAGTGCTACTAAGACCTGGGCTACTGGGCTCTGGGCTCTAGTGTTCTGGATTCTGGCCCCAGAGCATGAAGTGCCGCAGTGTCAGGGCAGGTTCTGATGCACATGGCCCTGGATGAAGGGCTGTGCTGCATTAACTGGCTCATTCATTTGTTCATTTAGAAAACAGTTGTTGGTCTTTCAGGGACAAGAATTCATGAATCACAGGCTGACACACTGGCTGCTCCTGGTATCCGGATAGTCAACCTGGAGCCCCTCGGGGCATGACAGGGCTCTTCCTCTCTGGACTGAGGCTGCACAGGGCTAGGGGAAGGTGACCAGATGACCCCAGGGGCACACTCAGCTGGGGTGTCTTTGAGTCTCTAGTGAAAATGGAGGTTTGGTGATCGGGTTCCAGTCCTGGTGGGACCCTGGCTCAGCCCAGCTGAACTGCAGACGCTCAGCAGCTCCTGCTGGCTCTGGGGACCACCAGAGGGCACGTCTGACCAGCACTTTCCATGACTTCCCAGGGGGAGCTGGAAGGCTCGGGACACCTGACATGCCTCTCAGCTGTCTCTGTCTGCCCACCTGGGAGCCTTCGCATCCAAACTTGAGATTCTGAATGAAGCCAACACGAGGCTCCTGCGCTGGCTTCTGCAGTTTCAACGTGCGCTGCCATTTCTCCAAAGGAATCCCTCCACCAGAGGCTCTCCAACCCGGAATGGTCTCTGGAAACTAGCGCCCACTTCACTGAGGCCCAAACTGTGTCCTTTAGGGGAAGGCGATTACCCCAAATGCACTCAGCTGGCAGATGACAGAGCAGGAATAATATCTATGATCTTTCCTTTAGCAATGCTAATGCCCACACCAGCCAGAGCGCCTGGGTTGCCAGATGCCTGTCCATTAGGTCAGTAATAGAACTCCATCCTTCACAGACAGATGCAGACGGACTGTTCTCCTGCCTTTTAGTAGACCCCATGGATAGAGAGAAAAAAGGGAGAAATAAAAATGAATCATTTCCCACAGTTGACTGTAGTCTGTAGAGCTCTTCTATATTAATTTGTAAAATAATTTTCCTCCATCTCACAACTAAATGGAATTAAGTGGAACAAAGGATATAAACCTCCTAAAATGACCACTGGTACATAGCAGGCATGCATATGCACACCACACACACGCATCACACACTCATAACACACATAACACATGCACACACACACATGCAAACATACACAACACACACAGAACATACACATACAACACATGCAGACACACAAGACACACCCATAACACACAGCATATGCACACACATTAACCATACACACCACACATATACATAACATACACCCAAAGCCCACAAGACACACACATACACACATAAACATACACACCACACACAGAACACACAATACAACACATGCACACACAACACACACCCACAACACACAACACATGCACACACACCTACAGCACACATAACACATGCACACACATTAACATACACACCATGCAAAACATACATATACAACACATGCACACACAACACACACCCACAAAACCACACAACATATGCACACACACATACAACATACACACCACACATACACAAAACATACACCCACAACACACACTGATGACATACCACACACAATATATACACACATATGACACACACACAATGCACACATTACACACATAACACATACACACTCCCTCTACACATGCACAGAATGGTCCCCAACCTTTTTGGCACCAGGAACCTATTTTGTGGAAGAAAATTTTTCCATGGACTGGCAGGACAAGGGATGGTTTTGGGATGAAACTGTTCCATCTCAGATCATCAGGCATTAGATTCTCATAAGGAGCATGCAACCTAGATGCCTTGAATGCACAGTTCACAATAGGGTTTGTGCTCCTGTAAGAGTCTAATGCTGCTGCTGATCTGATGGAAAGTGGAGCTCAGGTGGGAATCCTTTGCTCGCTGGCTGGTCACCTCCTGTTGGGCAGCCCAGCTTGTAACAAGCCATGGACTCATCCTGGTCTGTGGTCTAGGGGTTGGGGATCCTTGCTTTACTCCTTGCAGGGAAACTGTAAAAGCAGACCATGGATCACTTTTCCAGAAGAGGAAACCAGGCATGAGAGGCAGAGGAAGTTGTTGTGAAATTATGGCACAGAACCAGCAAGGTGCCCCGAGGCACTCTCCTAGGCCAGTGGTCTCGCGTGTATGTTACACGAATGTACACAGTGAAACAGCTAGCAAGGGATCGTGTGTCTGAGTCACTCTAGGCTTTTCGGTACTGCTGTGCTTTCTCCCCAAAGCCATCCCAGCTGCCCACGTTCCTCCTCTGCCATTCACTCCATGCAATATCTGTCTCATTTAAGGGAGACTTTAGAGTGTCACTTCTGAGCTGTGTTTCCAGGAGACCCAGCTTACTAGGGAAGGCAGGGTGAACACACGGAGATCATTAATTATCGTTTCACAAGTTCTCTTCATTAATATTTTAGAAATAGTAGTATTAGTGTTAAAACTATTTTGGAGATATAAAACATACATGAGATTGTTAAATATAACTTTAATATTTTAAATGGAAATGTTATATGCTTCTTAGGTTCAGGAAAATTTCTAAAATGTCCCCTAATTTTTCTGGTGTTTTTTATGGAAAAGATCAAAAACAGCAAAACCTAGAAATTGCATAATATTTGTTCTAATTTAAAACTATAATCTGAGAGATTGCTGAAATAGATAATAGTGTTGAATACTGGAATAATATTTCCTCATTATTTGTGCTGTTCCAAATGTAACAGCTACAGATAAAACACAATTTTCTGTTTAATCTGTATTGTTATCATTGTTTCCATCACTCTCCTACCTACACAATTAACAAAATAATAAACCAAGCCCTGATTTGTGGCACTTACCAATTTCTGTGGTGTAAATGCTCCCACCATGACAGACTTCTGAGTTTAAGCTGCTCACCTGGCAGTACTGAGCACAGAAGTGGGAGGAGATGCATGAGAGTGCAGCATGACAGAGCGCTCCCACCACGCAGACACGATGGGCATAAAACACTTACAAGAGCACAGATAATAGTAACGTATGGAAACATAATTGGAAAATGATGGATTTTGGACACTTACTGCCTTTGTTTTTAATAGGATTTATTTAAAAGTGAGATATATAGGGGGGAGGAGCCAAGATGGCCGAATAGGAACAGCTCCGGTCTACAGCTCCCAGCGTGAGTGACGCAAAAGATGGGTGATTTCTGCATTTCCAACTGAGGTACCAGGTTCACCTCACTGGGGAGTGCCAGACAGTAGGTGCAAGACAGTGGGTGCAGCGCACCGTGTGTCAGCCAAAGCAGGGCGAGGCATCGCCTCACCCGTGAAGCGCAAGGGGTCAGGGAGTTCCCTTTCCTAGTCAAAGAAAGTAGTGACAGACGGCACCTAGAAAATCGGGTCACTCCCACCCTAATACTACGCTTTTCCAACGGGCTTAAAAAAATGGCACACCAGGAGATTATATCCCGCACATGGCTCAGAGGGTCTTAAACCCACGGAGTCTGACTCATTGCTAGCACAGCAGTCTGAGATCAAACTGCAAGGCAGCAGCCAGGCTGGGGGAGGGGCACCTGCCATTGCCGAGTTAGTTGTTTGATTAGGTAAACAAAGCGGCTGGGAAGCTCGAACTGGGTGGAGCCCACCACAGCTCAAGGAGGCCTGCCTGCCTCTGTAGGCTCCACCTCTGGGGGCAGGGCACAGACAAACAAAAAGACAGCAGTAACCTCTGCAGACTTAAATGTCCTCGTCTGACAGCTTTGAAGAGAGCAGTGCTTCTCCCAGCATGCAGCTGGAGATCTGAGAATGGGCAGACCGCCTCCTCAAGTGGGTCCCTGACCCCCGGGTAGCCTAACTGGGAGGCACCCCCCAGTAGAAGCGGACTGACACCTCACACGGCTGGGTACTCCTCTGAGACAAAACTTCCAGAGGAACGATCAGGCAGCGGCATCTGCAGTTCACCAATATCCACTGTTCTGCAGCCACCACTGCAGATACCCAGGCAAACAGGTTCTGGAGTGGACCTCTAGCAAACTCCAACAGACCTGCAGCTGAGGGTCCTGACTGTTAGAAGGAAAACTAAAAACGGAAAGGACATCCACACCAAAAACCCATCTGTACATCACCATCATCAAAGACCAAAGGTAGATAAAACCACCAAGATGGGAAAAAAACAGAGCAGAAAAACTGGAAACTCTAAAAATCAGAGCGCCTATCCTTCTCCAAAGGAACGCAGCTCCTCACCAGCAATGGAACAAAGCTGGATGGAGAATGACTTTGACGAGTTGAGAGAAGAAGGCTTCAGATGATCAAACTACTCCGAGCTACAGGAGGAAATTCTAACCAATGGCAAAGAAGTTAAAAGCTTTGAAAAAAAATAAGACGAATGGATAACTAGAATAACCCATGCAGAGAAGTCCTTAAAGGACTGATGGAGCTGAAAACCAAGGTACGAGAGCTATGTGACGAATGCAGAAGCCTCAGTAGCCGATGCGATCAACTGGAAGAAAGGATATCAGCGATGGAAGATGAAATGAATGAAATGAAGCATGAAGAGAAGTTTAGAGAAAAAAGAATAAAAAGAAACAAACAAAGCCTCCAAGAAATATGGGACTTTGTGGAAAGACCAAATCTACGTCTGATTGGTGTACCTGAAAGTGACGGGGAGAAAGGAACCAAGTTGGAAAACACTCTGCAGGATATTATCCAGGAGAAAGTCCCCAATCTAGCAAAGCAGGCCAACATTCAAATTCAGGAAATACAGAGAATGCCACAAAGATACTCCTCGAGAAGAGCAACTCCAAGACATATAATTGTCAGATTCACCAAAGTTGAAATGAAGGAAAAAATGTTAAGGGCAGCCAGAGAGAAAGGTCGGGTTACCCACAAAGGGAAGCCCATCAGACTAACAGCTGATCTCTCGGGAGAAACTCTGCAAGCCAGAAGAGAGCGGGGACCAATATTCAACATTCTTAAAGAAAAGAATTTTCAACCCAGAATCTCATATCCAGCCAAACTAAGCTTCATAAGTGAAGGAGAAATAAAATACTTTACAGACAAGCAAATGCTGAGAGATTTTGTCACCACCAGGCCTGCTCTAAAAGAGCTCCTGAAGGAAGCACTAAACATGGAAAGGAACGACCAGTACCAGCCACTGCAAAAACATGCCAAATTGTAAAGACCGTCAAGTCTAGGAAGAAACTGCATCAACTAGCGAGCAAAATAACCAGCTAACATCATAATGACAGGATCAAATTCACACATAACAATATTAACTTTAAATGTAAATGGGCTAAATGCTCCAATTAAAAGACACAGACTGGCAAATTGGATAAAGAGTCAAGAACCATCAGTGTGCTGTATTCAGGAAACCCATCTCAAATGCAGAGACACACATAGGCTCAAACTAAAGGGATGGAGGAAGATCTACCAAGCAAATGGAAAACAAAAAAAGGCAGGGGGTTGCAATCCTAGTCTCTGATAAAACAGACTTTAAACCAACAAAGATCAAAAGAGACAAAGAAGGCCATTACATAATGGTAAAGGGATCAATTCAACAAGAAGAGCTAACTATCCTAAATATATATGCACCCAATACAAGAGCACCCAGATTCATAAAGCAAGTCCTTAGTGACCTGCAAAGAGATTTAGACTCCCACACAATAATAATGGGAGAATTTAACACCCCACTGTCAACATTAGACAGATCAACAAGACAGAAAATTAACAAGGATACCCAGGAATTGAACTCAGCTCTGCACCATGCGGACCTAATAGACATCTACAGAACTCTCCACCCAAATCAACAGAATATACATTCTTTTCAGCACCACACCACACCTACTCCAAAATTGACCACATAGTTGGAAGAAAAGCACTCCTCAGCAAATGTAAAAGAACAGAAATTATAACAAACTGTCTCTCAGACCACAGTGCAATCAAACTAGAACTCAGGATTAAGAAACTCACTCAAAACCACTCAACTACATGGAAACTGAACAACCTGCTCCTGAATGACTACTGGGTACATAATGAAATGAACGCAGAAATAAAGATGTTCTTTGAAACCAACGAGAACAAAGACACATCATACCAGAATCTCTGGGACACATTCAAAGCAGTGTGTAGAGGGAAATGTATAGCACTAAATACCCACAAGAGAAAGCAGGAAAGATCTAAAATTGACACCCTAACATCACAATTAAAAGAACTAGAAAAGCAAGAGCAAACACATTCAAAAGCTAGCAGAAGGCAAGAAATAACTAAGATCAGAGTAGAACTGGAGGAAATAGAGACACAAAAACCCTTCAAAAAATTAATGCATCCAGGAGCTGGTTTTTTGAAAAGATCAGCAAAATTGATAGACTGCTAGCAAGACTAATAAAGAAGAAAAGAGAGAAGAATCAAATAGATGCAATAAAAAATGATAAAGGGGATATCACCACCGATCCCACAGAAATAGAAACTACCATCAGAGAATACTGTAAACACCTCTACACAAATAAACTAAAAAATCTAGAAGAAATGGATAAATTCCTCAACACATACATCCTCCCAAGACTATACCAGGAAGTTGAATCTCTGAATAGACCAATAACGGGCTCTGAAATTGAGGCAATAATCAATAGCTTACCAACCAAAAAAAGTCCAGGACCAGATGGATTCACAGCCAAATTCTGCCAGAGGTACAAAGAGGAGCTGGTACCATCCCTTCTGAAACTATTCCAATCAATAGAAAAAGAGGGAATCCTCCCTAACTCATTTTATGAGGCCAGCATCATCCTGATAACCAAAGCCTGGCAGAGACACAACCAAAAAAGAAAATTTTAGACCAATATCCTTAATGAACATCGATGCAAAAATCCTCAATAAAATACTGGCAAACCAAATCCAGCAGCACATCAAAAAGCTGATCCACCATGATCAAGTGGGCTTCATCCCTGGGATGCAAGGCTGGTTCAACCTATGCAAATCAATAAATGTAATCCAACATATAAACAGAATCAAAGACAAAAACCACATGATTATCTCAATAGATGCAGAAAAGGCCTTTGACAAAATTCAACAACCTTCATGCTAAAAACTCTCAATAAATTAGGTATTGATGGGACGTATCTCAAAATAATAAGAGCTATCTATGACAAACCCACAGCCAATATCATACTGAATGGGCAAAAACTGGAAGCATTCCCTTTGGAAACGGGCACAAGACAGGGATGCCCTCTCTCACCACTCCTATTCAACATAGTGTTGGAAGTTCTGGCCAGGGCAATCAGGCAGGAGAAGGAAATAAAGGGTATTTGATTAGGAAAAGAGGAAGTCAAATTGTCCCTGTTTGCAGATGACATGATTGTATATCTAGAAAATCCCATCGTCTCAGCCCAAAATCTCCTTAAGCTGATAAGCAACTTCAGCAAAGTCTCAGGATACAAAATTAATGTACAAAAATCACAAGCATTCTTATACACCAATAACAGACAAACAGAGAGCCAAATCATGAGCGAACTCCATTCACAATTGCTTCAAAGAGAATAAAATACCTAGGAATCCAACTTACAAGGGATGTGAAGGACTTCTTCAAGGAGAACTACAAACCACTGCTCAATGAAACAAAAGAGGATACAAACAAATGGAAGAACATTCTATGCTCATGGGTAGGAAGAATCAATATCGTGAAAATGGCCATACTGCCCACGGTAATTTATAGATTCAATGCCATCCGCATCAAGCTACCAATGTCTTTCTTCACAGAATTGGAAAAAACTACTTTAAAGTTCATATGGAACCAAAAAAGAGCCCGCATGGCCAAGTCAATCCTAAGCCAAAAGAACAAAGCTGGAGGCATCACACTACCCACTACCTGACTTCAAACTATACTACAAGGCTACAGTAACCAAAACAGCATGGTACTGGTACCAAAACAGAGATATAGACCAAAGGAACAGAACAGAGCCCTCAGAAATAATGCTGCATATCTACAACTATCTGATCTTTGACAAACCTGACAAAAACAAGCAATGGGGAAAGGATTCCCTATTTAATGGTGCTGGGAAAACTGGCTAGCCATATGTAGAAAGCTGAAACTGGATCCCTTCCTTACACCTTATACAAAAATGGATTCAAGATGGATTAAAGACTTAAATGTTAGTCCTAAAACCATAAAAACCCTAGAAGAAAACCTAGGCAATACCATTCAGGACATAGGCATGGGCAAGGACTTCATGTCTAAAACACCAAAAGCAATGGGAACAAAAGCCAAAATAGACAAATGGGATCTAATTAAATGAAAGAGCTTCTGCACAGCAAAAGAAACTACCATCAGAGTGAAGAGGCAACCTACAGAATGGGAGAAAATTTTTGCAACCTACTCATCTGACAAAGGGCTAATATCCAGAATCTACAATGAACTCAAACAAATTTACAAGAAAAAAACAAACAACTCCATCAAAAAGTGGGCAAAGGATATGAACAGACGCTTCTCAAAAGAAGACATTTATGCAGCCAAAAAACACATGAAAAAATGCTCATCATCACTGGCCATCAGAGAAACGCAAATCAAAACCACAATGAGATACCATCTCACACCAGTTAGAATGGCAATCATTAAAAAGTCAGGAAGCAACAGGTGCTGGAGAGGATGTGGAGAAATAGGAAAGCTTTTACACTGTTGGTGGGACTGTAAACTAGTTCAACCATTTTGGAAGTCAGTGTGGTGATTCCTCAGGGATCTAGAACTAGAAATACCAATTGACCCAGCCATCCCATTACTGGGTATATACCCAAAGGATTATAAATCATGCTGCTATAAAGACACATGCACACGTTTGTTTATAGTGGCACTATTCACAATAGCAAAGACTTGGAACCAACATAAATGTCCAACAACAATAGACTGGATTAAGAAAATGTGGCACATATACACCATGGAATACTATGCAGGCCTAAAAAGTGATGAGTTCATGTCCTTTTTAGGGACATGGATGAAACGGGAAACCGTCATTGTCAGCAAACTATCGCAAGGACATAAAACCAAACACTGCATGTTCTCACTCACAGGTGGGAATTGAACAATGAGAACACTTGGACACAGGAAGGGGAACATCACACACCTGGGACTGTTGTGGGGTGGAGGAGAGGGGAGGGATAGCATTAGGGGATATATCTAATGCTAAATGCAGCACACCAACATAGCACATGTATACATATGTAACAAACCTGCACATTCTGCACATGTACCCTAAAACTTAAAGTATAATAATAATAAAATAAAATAAAAAGTGAGTTATATAATTTAATTTTGAGTAATGGTCATGTTTAACCAATGAACTGCAAAATTTCTGATTGTTGGCATTTTTACAAGCTGATACAAGGATTCAGGCTGAGGCAGTACTAGTTTTCTGGAGCATGCTCTTCTCACTGCGGAAAGCAGAACATCAGGAGGATGAGCAGAGACACAAAATGTTTCCTACAGTCCTTTGCCCTCACTTCCTCTCAATGCCCATTGGCCAAAGGAAATCACATGATCAGGCCCCAAGTCAATAGAATGGGCTATATTATAGTTCACCCTGAGAAGAGTGGTAAGGTGTGGAGCCGAGGAGAATTTTAAATGAGTGATACCGTCTACTAAAATTTTGAATGGTAATTTAGCTGGGTATAAAATTCTCCATTGACCTTAATTTTACTGTAGCATTTTGAAATTGCCATTCCATTATCTTCTGACATATATTATTGATGATGAGAAATTCACTCTCATTCTAATTATTCTGTAGGTAATTTATCTTTCTTTCTAGTGGTTTTAAAGATAGTTTCTTTGCTCCTGATCTGTATTTTCACTATGATTAATTTAAGTATGGGTTTGTTTTTTCCCACTTAATACAGTGTGCATGTTTTTCATCAAATCTGTAAACCTTTCAGGTTTGCTTCTCTGTCATTCCCTTATTTTTTTCTAAAATTCCTTTCAACTTCATATTTGAGCCTTAATTATCTCTTTCCATGCTGAATTTCATTTGAATTCCACAGTGCTGCCTTATGTTCCTCTTTGCTTCCCACATAGAATTGGTAAATCTATTACAATTTCAATTTCATTGACTGTTTATTTCCAAGATTTATTATTGATTCATTTTATACCCATTTGTGTTTGTTTCATTTCTTTCTGTTTTTATCTTCCACTTTCTTAATTATTAATAAACACTATATATCCTAATTTGTCTTTTTGAGCACATAAAATACAATTGTTTTAAAGTACTTTTAGTCTCTTTTGCAGAGTGATTTTTCACCTAGCATAAATCATTGTTGTAATTATTGATTTCGTTGGCTGTATTTTTAAGCCTTAATAGTCCTTACATGTTCTGAATTTTTGTTTGGGAGGTAATTTGTCCAGTTGGTTCTGTTGCTCTGTTGTTTATTTCTCCTATTGTTTATTTCTCCTTCTAGCAGTGTTGTGATTGCCTTTGGATCCCCAATCCAGAACCAAATCTTTGAAGGTGGTTCAGGGCCTCAGTTCTGAGATGGTATTGAGGCCACATCACCTCCAATCACCCAGTGAGTGAGTGAGTGAGGGAGTGAGTGAACAGGTTTATGTAGCTGCTGGCTGGAGGTGTTTTCCAGTTCTTCCTGCCTTTTTGCTCATTTATTTTCACAATGGCCTGGGGTAGCAGTTCACAGTGTTGTGATGTGCAGCTTTGTTGTATGAGTGGGAAGAGTCACATTCCACACCCTGATTTTACTCTGTAGCCTGACTGTGCTGCCACATCTCATGTGGAGCATTTTTAGTCACCTTTGTCCTGTATGAACCAAACTCCTGCAGCTGCTGCTCCCTGCGCCTGGAAGCCAGTGATGCCCTGGTCTCAGCCCTGTTTACTGCTCAGCATTCTGCTATTTCTGATTCACAAAGCATGATTTATCTTGCTTCTGAGCCCTGCACTGTCTTTTCTTTTTTTCTCCTATTTATATTTCATCTATTATTGCTATGTTTTGGGGGCAGAGGAGATGCATCAAAGCATAACTTTACCACTATGTCAGCTTGACTAAAATCCAGCCATTTGATCTTGGCTGCTAACTGGGCTAGAGGATCCCTGAGTCTAGAGATGAATCTTTGTAGTGATGTGAGAACCAATTAACCCATGGGAAACCAACCCATATGTGCTTGACTCAAAGATGAATATCTTACAAAACATTAGAGACACTGTGGCAAACCACACCGTGAAGAGATGGGACACAGTTGCTTTTTGTTTACAAGCCACAGAAGACTTGAGGGAATTGAGGGAAAGTTCCATTTATGTAGTCATTTGGAAAAAGAACAGATAAGAGTTGTGAAGTTTAAAATATGCCTCCGTGTGGTTGGCTACCTTATACGTCTGCATAAGTAAAGGGATAATACGTGACCCACAGAATAACATAATTTTCTATTTTGCAAGAGAAAGTAAAACAAGCGTTTTATCTCATCCCTGCATTGTCCTATCCAATCACGTCCTTAAATTTCCTTTCTGATAATTTTGTCTACCAAAGAGTAGAAGATCTGAAGAGACTGCTCCACAGGACAAGAGGGAATCGATAACTAAAATAGGTCACGAGAAGCTGGAGAAGCCGTCTTGTCGCTGAGGATTTGTGAGGATCAGAAGAGGGAATCAGAGCCCATTAGCCACGGCCCTGACAAAGGAGCTTTCAAACACACTAGGGCAAGACTGGAAGGTGGGCTCCCGTGGCCGGAGACCATTGGAGGGAAGGGAGCACAAGAGCATTGGAAAGTCATGATAAAATGCAATTTGTTTGTGTCATCATACATTAAGGAGAAAAAAAAAGAAAGTTAACCTAAAAATATCAAAGTCTTTCTTCTGAGGAGATGTTGAAAAAGGTAGTGACAACAATGGTTATGACCATTGAAGACAGACTCCACAAAGTGTGTCAAAGAGGTGGGTTCTTAATGAGGCCTGAAAAACATGCCAAGAGAGAAAACACTATTCTAGATGTTCTAGGCAAGCAAACGTATCATGCCTGTTCAAGTGTCCTGTTTGGGGACACCGATGAGATGGTGGTGCATGAAAGTTCTCCTCAGTTCCGAGTTTGCTCCTATTGTCACTTAAGGGAATGGTCTTCAGATAGCAGGGAGTAACCTTGTCATTGGTAAAAGTGGTGCAGAATGTTCAGAAAATGAGGGGAGGTCATATGGCGGCCCAGAGGACATCCTGGGAGCATTGGCCAAGAAGCTCCCTGCACCTGCACTATGGACATTGGAAGCCTTGAGAAGATCAAGCAAAGCACCAGTGGCTGAACAAGTACACCAAACCAGTCCAGGTTTCAGTGAGATGCCGGAGACGGAGATGTGGGGTACCTCCTTGTGGGTTTGATGGCAATCATGGGCGAGGTTTAAGAAGATGCCGTTAGATAGTTGCTGTGTTTACAAGTAGGAAAAAAGAAGCTATCATGGGAACAAGCCTGAGTTGACAAAAACAAGCTTGGCCAATTACTGTCATTTCTTTCTTGGTCAGTTTAACCAGAAAGACAGGCAGGGAGTGTAATTGATATAGCTTCAGAGAGACTTCAGAGCTGATGTAAGTGTCCACCTGCTGGCTGTATTTCTGGCCTGGGCACCAGGCAGGGTCACGATGTGACAGGGCAGCTCTAGAAAGAGATGCCGTCTACTCTGTGACTTTCCTTTTTCTGCCTAAACATCTGAAGTTCTTTCAAGTTCATCTACACCTGGAATGTTCAGCCCTGAGCATCGCAGAGTAGGAGGTCATGTTTCCTGGAGGGGCAGCCCTCACGGCCAAGGGATGCAAGCACGCATCCTTCCAGAGACACACCCTTCTCTTAGGGTGTTTGCCCAGGTGATGCCCAAGACTCAAGGAGCCTGGCAGCAGCCATGCTACACTAGCTCAGAGGGCATTTGGGGTCAACCAGAGTTCCAACTCCTTTTTTTCTCAAGAGCTACTTTCTTTTAACCTTTGAATTATTGTAGAAACATTAACTGATTAATTCTCTCAAGTTATCACCATTAATCTGAGAGCAGCCAATGGAAGGAAGGGTTGGAGATTAAGTCTGATCCAGAATAAGGGCTTCTTGTTTGGGGTCTGGAGTCTCATTTGGATGTTGTATTTGTGGCATTTTATTGGAGGTTGCAAGTGGAGTCAGGCTTCCGACATTCTTCAAGGGGCATTAGGATGCTCCATAGTGCAGACACAGGTGCTATGGGAGCCCTCCGTTCAAAACAGGAGAACTGGCCAAGCCCATCCACAGAGGTCTTCAGAGTGCTGCACAGCTGGAGAAAACGCCAGTGGACAGGTTTATCCTGAGCTTTCCTATATTTACCGAAGCTGCCCATGGCCTGCTCTGCCCAGCCAAGAGAGCACAGGACCAGTCACCGGATTTTTAATGTGAGGACAACGTAGCAAGCAGAATAAGGGGAATTGCATGCCCCCATCCTTCGCTATCTCTGGGGAGTTGGACGCAGCTGTAAGGCTTGAAGGCTTAGTGTGTGGCATGCTCTGTGCACAGCCACAGTGGGCTGAAGACCAGGCAAGGGAGAGCCTGGACCATGGGAAACTGCATAGCACAGCGTGAGGATAAAGTCAACCAAATGAACATTGAGATGTCAGACCAGCTTGTGTGGAGAAGATGCATATGGAAGACAGGCCTGGCCGCCCGAGGATCTCTTGTGTGGAGACTGCCTGAGATGGGTGCTGTAGCCCCATGCCTCGTCCACAAGTCTTTCCTTATCTTCTGTGGCATCTGAGGTGGTGTCTTAGTTTGGAATCTTCCAGAAGCCGACTCTGAGGGAAGCATTCTAGTGCACATAGTTTATTAACAAGAAGCAAGCATTGTCAGGGGCACAGGGACCTGAAATGGGGAAGGGGAAGAACCCATGAATGGGGCGTTCTCAGCCCATCACCAACAGTGACCAGAGGTGAGCCCATGGGAGAACTCTGGAAAATGGTGTAAAACATGTACTCCATGGGATCCCCTGAAGGTTGAGGGAACTGGGGTGCTTGTACCCCAATACCTGTGAGTCTGTGGTTGTGGGTAGACCCCAGGAATGGGAATTCCTGGTACTTTACCTGGGTAGGTAAAGTCCAGTGGGTGTGGGCAGGGAGCCAATGGCACCTCATCGGCTACCTATGGCCTGATGGCTACAGGCCGGTCTCTAGAGGTTTCCTCAGCCTTGGAGCATCCACGACCTGCAGAGACTGCCTGGGGAGCTGCTCTCCTATGGCCCATGACTGCCTCCTTTGTGCCTGGTGCTTCTCCTTCCAGTGGACCTATTGGATCACCAGGCTGGGTCCACCAGTCTCTTTAGCCATTGTACTATTGGATTCAGTGGCACTCATATCCTGGCTAATTCATACATTCCAAGTCCATTCAGAACCTACTGTGTTTGCCAGGATGGCCGTAGTGGTGACCACAGACAAGCTCCTGCAAATAACTACGTACAAAGTAGATGACAGGTCCTCTCTGAGTGATGTAAAGGGCAATGGATGAGTCTATCAGAAAATGGAGAAACCTGCTCTAGTCATTTTCATGTAGTCAACATAAATTCATGGGCCACACACCGGCCATGCTGGGGATGCAGAGGTGGCAAACAGACAGGGGCCTGGTCAATGTGCTTAAGAGGGAAGCTGCAAGTGCAGCTGTATTTTTTTTTCTTTTTCTTTTTTTTGAGACAGAATATCACTCTGTCGCCCAGGCTGGAGTGCAATGGCGTGATCTCAGCTCACTGCAACCTCCACCTCCCAGGTTCAAGCGATTCTCCTGCCTCAGCCTCCCGAGTAGCTGCGATTACAGATGTGTGCCACCACACCTGGCTAATTTTTGTATTTTTAGTGGAGATGGGGTTTTGCCATGTTGGCCAGGCTGGTCTCGAACTCCTGACCTCAGGTGATCCGCCCACCTCGGCGTCCCAAAGTGCTGGGATTACAGGCATGAGCCACCGTGCCTGGCCTGTATTTTTTGGAGGGACCACTAGGCTGCAGTGTGGAAAATACCTTTAGCAAGATGTGGAGTGTGCAGCGGGAGTGTGGAGAAGCTGCATAGCAGAAGCGATCCTCACACTGTGTGAGAAGATACAACTCTCTGGTGTGTTTCATGGAACAGGAAAATACGACCTCGTAAAGCAGCATTGCTAAATCAAAAGGTTATTAATTATCTCATAACGGTGATGACAGGGGAGGCACATAATTTTCTCACCAACATTGTAACTCGAAACATCACCCATAACTCATCCAAGCACCGTGCTGAAACTGTAGGAATTACTCTTGATTCATTCCCCAATTCCCCATTCCCTCTATCACCAATCAATTTCCAAGTCCTGTAAATTCTGCTCCTCCATATTTGGCGGATCTATCCAGTTTTCTATTCCCTGGTCTAGACAACCACCATCTCTTATCTGGTTTATCCCCACTGCTCCTGACACATCTTTCTGCTCTCATGTTTACCCACTTGGGACCTCACTCCTCCCTAAATGTCTGACCAGTTCACTCCTTCCTGGGGCTCTGGTGTCTGGGGTGAAAGCAGTGAGGCTGCCTCGATCCTCAGTCCTACGTACTCCCTCTGCCCAGCTCCAGTAAAAGCTAATCCAGCGCTCTCTGTGATGCGTGGGTTACAGATGCCAACACACAGAAATAAATGTACATGCTTGCACTCTGAACTTTTTGGAATTCCAAGAAGCATATTCATTTTTTCAGATCTTGCAAGGTGAAATTTCAGAATACATCTGCTTCTTGAAGGCTTGTGTTTGCAGGCTCACAGGAATAGACTTTTATGTAAGCTGAGGTTTCTACTTCCAGTAGAATTATGAGGCCATTACATTATCTTATAAGGTATTATTTCTGTAGTTCCACCTCTGACCAGGACTGATGAGTGAATATGTACCTTAAATGAAAAATAATTAGGGAGATAATTGAACTGTTTTAAAATCTTAATCTGAATTTGAACTCAATTGTTTTTTAGTTCAAAATGTAGGCAGACTCAATAGGGGATGAGAATCTCCTTTCATTCATTTCTGAACTTCTATTTCAGGCAATTACTTCGGTTCTTGTTGGTAATCTATTTCCTTTTAGTAACAGATTAGTAATCAAAAGTTGAGAGCTTTCAATTTGCAGTTTCATTTGAAAGTTAGGAGCACAGAGTTTGCTAGCATGCAACCACTCTCTTCAAAATTGCCATAATATTCCTGTTGCTAAAAGAACATGTAAGAACAATAGGCAAGGTAAGGAGAAAGAGAGAGAGAAAGAAAGAGAGAGAGAAGACATAGGAGAGAGAACAAAAGTATATTCAGCTTCCTGAATTTTCCTCCAATTTTTGCTGACGTTCTAAAAGGGCTAAAAAATTATTGGGGGCATCGTATTTTGAAGGAGAACACCGAGGGGGGGATTTGCTGTGTGCCAGTGTGTGTGTGCGCGCGCGCACATTTGTACAAGTGCGTTTGTGCAAATGGGAACATTCACGCTGATATTTAGTGACTTGTGCATGGGAACAAGGAGGAGAGCAGAAGCAGCTGTCAAATGCAGGTGCAGAGAAGGACAGAAAAATTCTGCCTGGAGCCAGCAGGTATGGAAGGGGTCACCTAGGAAAGCCCATGCCTCACCCAGGTCAAAGTTTCTGAATGAAATAGGCATATTCTCTCTTCACTGTGGAGACACCTTGAAGGAAGAGCTAAGGACGTCCTGGAAGGGCTGCCTGCGTGGGCCCAGGATCCACAGGAAGCCAGGTGTCCTTGACAGAACACGGACCCTGCCTTTGCAGAAGATGCATATTCAATAGCTTCTGCCTTTAAAATCAGCTTCAAACAACCCCACACTTGAATGGCTCTGGACATCTTCCACCAGGCCTGAGCATTCATAAAGTTTCTGTGATGTGGGTGAGCCTCTGGTTGCTCTGAATTTCTAGGAAAAAACATAGCTCTGTTTTAGAACCAGATTTAAGATTGCGTCCATGAAGACACGGGACCCTATGACGCAGTCCATGACGATTCGCCATGCCTAATTTCGGGGTGATGCTGGGCTCTCGGGCTGGGCCGCAGGCTGACTGTGCACGTTCTGGGACTGCGTTGGACGCCAGTTGGCCCCGTTTGCCCCTTCTTTTGATGACCCTGGTTCTGCCATGCGTCCACCTGCCCCACCCTGTGTTGGTGTGGGGGGCATCAGGTGGAGCCCCTCTCCTTATGGCCTCAGAGATGCCAGCCAGGGAGACAGACCTGAAACACACAGAGGCATACACATCAGTGTTTAATTGAAAACTGTCGTCTGTGCTAAGAGGGTAAAAACAGTGCGCTACTCAAAGGGTTCCAGGGGAGGGAGCCCCTGGGTCCATGTGCAGAGCCTGGCAAAGCCTGCTTGGAAAGGCTCAATTCAGCTGAAATCTGCAAATCAGGCCTTCATGACAGAGGGAAATGGTCAAAGGTGAAGTTTTGGGAAAGAGATGGTGGCTGGACAGGCTGAGATGGCAGCCGCTGAGGGGCCTGCTCTCTGCTGCCATTCTGCATCCCCAGGCTGCCTCCATGACCCCACCCTGTCCCTGACTCCATCCTTGCTGTTTGCCCCAGCCCGTGCTCCCAAAGATCAGAGTCTGCTACCTGGTTTTAGGGGTGCAGTTTTGGGAAACAGGGTGAGGGCCAAACAAACGTAGCAGGAAAGAGTGGGAAGCTGTGGGCTCTGTTGCCAGCTGCACGGCAAAGACCCTTCATCCTCCCACCCAGTCCTGAGATGCCTCCTCCGGGGTATCGGAGGGCCTCATCCGATCGCTCGTCAGGCTGGGAGGGGCAGCGCAGAGGCGCCCTGGGTCAGCACATGCCCTGTGGTGCCTCGACTGCCGCACAGGCCTAGGTCATGGGCGGATGAGTGTGGATGGGGTGGGGGGTGCTCCTGTGACATTTCATGCCCCGGACTTGACAGGGAGGCTCTTCAGGGGTGAGAGGCATGAGGTGGGAGCTGTCAGGTGGCACCAGGTGGGGACGGAGCTCATAAAGCTGCCCCTTGCTGAGGGACGGACAGAGCAGAAGGCAGCGTTGAGATGGAGGACAGGCATACAGGGCCTGCTGCACCACCCTGAGCTCTCTCTTCCATAACAGAGCCCGGAGGATAGCCCATCAGTAATACTGTGCCCTCCTTCCTACTGGCCTTACTACAAACTCCAAACCGTTGATCATGGTCCAGGTGACTGCTATGGTTGGAATGTGTGTGTCACCCCCCAAATTCACATATCGAAGCTGTAACTCCCAAGCAGATGGTATAAGGAGTGGGGCCTCTGGGAGGGGAGTAGGCCACAAGGCAGGGCCCTCATGGATGAAATTAGTGCCTTATACAAGAGACACAAGAGAGACCATCTCAGCCACCTTCCAGGTTTTCAGGATTCATGGGCTGTAATTCCACCAGAGAATCCAGGGGAATCCCACGCTGCCCAACCATCACGTCCACCTGGCAGAAGCAATGCTTTCTGCAGACCAGGACCCCTGGCTCCTCTCCAGAAGCTTCTGCACATGCAAGTGGGGAAGGTCCTTCCATAAAGCCATGACATTGAACACCCAAGAACTGTGGGCATGAAGACCAACACCCGTACATCGCCTTATCTCCATAAATCCATCACACTGAACATCCAAGAACTGTGGACATGAAGATCAACACCCATACATCACCTTATCTCCATAAAACCATCACATTGAACACCCAAGAACCGTGGGCATGAAGACCAACACCGATACACCTTCTCTCCATAAAGCCATGACGTTGAACACCCAAGGGCATGAAGACCAACACCCATACACCTTCTCTCCATAAAGCCATGACATTGAACTCCCAAGAACCGTGGGCGTGAAGACCAACACCCATACACCACCTTATCTCCATAAATCCATGACATTGAACACCCAAGAGCTGTGGGCATGAAGACCAACATCCTGACATCACCTTATCTCCATAAAGCCATCACACTGAACACCCAAGAGCCAGGGGCATGAAGACCAACACCCATACACCACCTTATCTTTTGGTTCACAAGACTATTCCAAAGAGAGGCCGAAGTAGGTCCTCAGCAGAGAGGAAAGCCATTGACCCAGACATTCCATGTTTTCTGGAGGCGGGACCTCTAGGTGCGAGCAGGTCTGAGGCCTCCCCAGCACGTCTGGCAGGACCCAGGCAGCACTCCCTGCACCACTGTGTTTGGAGGAGTGAGGGGCAGTGGGGTCCCCTGGGCACAGCTCCAGAAGACCTCTGTAGATAGAGCCTGCCCGCCTGTCCATCAGCTGTCTGCCAGCATCACAGGAAACACCAACCCAGGCTGCAGGCCCAGCTTCTGACATGCCTCTTCCCAACCTGCCCCTGCTCCATCCCAATCTCCCTGCTCCAACACTGGGCACACTGGGCCTTTCCTGGAACATCTGGCTTGATTCCACAGCTGAGATCCTCCTCTTCAAGTACATTCTGTTTCTGGACCCAAACCTCTGGCTGGCATTAAGTGTTGACAAGGTGGCTCTGGAGCCTGGCAAAGCTGGGAGCACATCTGGGGTCCAGCACTTTCTACCTGTATACTGCGATTGAGTTGCTTCTCCTCTCTGACCCTCTGTCTCCTTCTCTGTCTGGTGGGCTTAGTGAGAGCAACAGCAGGCCAGCGTGTTTGCAGGACTGCAGGAAATAATGAACATACAGTGCATGGTCCAGAGCTGGGACGCACCTGCTCTCAGACCCCTGTGATGACCCCTGTGCTTGGCTTGGACAGCGCAGAAGCTGGGTTAGGGTCCCAGCCCTGCACTTGCTTGCTTTGTCTCTGGAACTCCTGTGGCCTCAGTTGTACCTGGGAAAATGGGGATTGACAATGGGACCTCGCCCGGAGGATTGCCGTGAGAATTACAGGAACGAAACCCTGCAACATGTGTGGGGCAGCTGCTGGCGCATTTGGAGAGCTCCATCTATGTGAACGCTTGTTATTTGTCCCTTTTATGATACCCTCCCCAAATGCGATCCCCACGCACTCCCATTTACCAGCGCTCTTCAAAACCTATTGCCAAGGGAACCAAGCGAACCCAAATTATAGAGGCCTATTTAGATTCCCGATAGAATCTTGAATATTATTCAAACCAAAAATGGTTTGGACAGGGGAGTATGTTCTGTTAATATGGGAAACTACAGCCCGCTTAGGGATGGGCTTGATAACAACTAAAAATAGATGCTGGAAACTATTTCTGCAGAAGCTCACTAAATCCAGGAGTCCCCTGGGTGCAAGTAATGAATTTCTGCAGAGAAAATGGGGCCTTTTTTCTCCTTACCGCATTTAGCCAGCCACCTTCTCTGTGTTAACTGATATTATCCTAGAAATTATCAGGAGGCTGACGGAAAACTCACCTGCCATCTACTCATTCCAGTTCAGTCTTCCAGAATTTCTTTCAAGTCCAGATTTGATGTTCATATTTGTGTCTAGGACTACCAAATTCTTTATGAAGGTAGAAATGGGGAATCATTTAGACAATGGCTCGGAAATTTCAAATATATTAATTCTGAATTCATGCTAGGAGTAAAAACCAAATTATACTCCCCAAAAATACGTATTAGATAAATCTGTATGAGTAGGTAGGATTAGATAGGAGTCCTAATACTTGTCCACACTCTTGTGTTTAATCAAAATGTATCATCATCCTAAATGGTAAACCAATAAAGACTTCAAATACAGTTTTAAGCATCTGAAAGCCAGAGGGTATTTGCTGTTTTTCTCAGTAACCGTATATTTTTTTTTCCTGTTGCCTACTTCCTATTTTCTATATCAGTAAAAACTTATTGAATATGACTTGGGGGTTTGTAGGAAACTAATTGAAATAATGTTTTATGTAATGACAACATTTTGGAAAAGCAGTAATGATAAAAAATCGTGAACAAAAGACCACGTCTCACAACTTCTCCGTGCCTCCTTGTCCTTTATTTTTAAATTGTTAATCAAAGCCACTGATTTATTGCTTAGGGGGAGATGGAATCAATCTTTACATCCCCAAAGCTTTTTAAATTATTCACTGTGCTTACTACTTCGCTTCTGAAGGGAGATTATCCCTTTTAATTGGAAATCTTCTATTATTTGTGCCTGAAATGTTTGAAATAACAAGTTAAGGCTCAGCCACTATTAATAGCCCGCTGCCAGGGAACGTAATGAAAAAGACGAGGCTCCATGAAAGCCATTCATCGCAAGGCATATTAACCCAGTCATTTTCATTAATCATGCCCCAAACCTGCTGCACAAACGGCCCCAGTCCCCTCTGTATTTTATCAAGTGTTTCATAATTCCAGCCCCTCTCTTACTGAAGGCAACACTGTCATTTCCTCAGTGATATCACTCTGAGGATTAGGTTATATTATCTTTCAACAGCACACCAAGCACACAGACACACACAGACACACACACAGACACACAGACACACACACACACATAGTGTTGTCCTCATGGGGATGGATGCATGGATCGTGCCTGTGCCTTGCTTCAGGAAGTCCAGCCTGCGGGAGTGTCACCCACACAATGGCAGGAGCATGGTGCTCTTTGATGAGTGGGGACCAAGAGGAGATCCCAGGCCTCCAGTTGCAGATTGTAAAGATCACGTTTTTCTGGGTCATGCATCCTCTTGTTAGTAATAATATCACACCAGTCCCTGAGAAGGCTTTTGTCTCAAGTAACTTGATGATCACTTTGGATCTCAACTGCATTCTTTGTTGGCGTCTATCTAACACATCTAATGGGTAGCCAGAGTCTGGTGCAAAGAAGAGATTCTGAAAGACACTGGGACTCAGAGAAACTAGGCAAAGGCTTCTAAGGAAAACAGAAAGGAGGCCAGGAGCACAAGTCAGCTCAGTGATTCGGGAAGGCTGCGTGCCCTGGAGCCTGAGACCTCGGCCCCACCCTGCTCAGTGGCCCTGGTTCTCTCATCCTCAGGGTGGGATAATGTGAGACTAGCCGTATGGAGCTGTGAAGGATGCACAAAGTCATTCATTGACGGGCTCACTTAACACAGCCCCTCGCACGCTACTCAGTTAATATTTGCCATTACTACACAACTTTCCAATGCAATGGAAGGGTGCCATAACTTTTCTCTTTCTTTTCCTTCCTCTTTTCCTCCTACTCTTCCTCCTTCCCTTCCTTCCTCCCTCTCTTTTTCTCTCTTTCCTTCTTTCCTTCCTTGCCAAAATCTGTGTAGCAACAAAATTGTACACACAGCATTCTTTCTGAAAAGTGTCCATGCCCCCGTCTCCCCTCACACACTCACACACATTTCTCCTGAAAATTAGTACTGGATTGCCACCGTGAAGGTGAGAATAAAAGGGAATTCACCCAACATGCTCATGTGAAATCTTCTGGGTCAAGATGAAACCCAGGCCTTTGGTTTTCAGGCCCAGGCACACACGTGGCCTCCCTCACAGGCACTCCTGTGCCTGCAGAGGCATAACTTTGCAAGCCCATCGGCCCCTTGCATCCTCCATGCCCTGAGCCCAGCACTCCGCAGGAGTGTCACCTGAGTATCGGCCCCACATGGAGGGCCCAGCGATCCCCAGAAATAGAGTTGAGGATGGCTTCATGCTAGGGGCTCATGTACAACAGGTCAGCCAAGGACATCGTCTGATGGCTCATCTGTAAAACTGCTGGAACCCTTCCCCATTTCACAACTCACAATTTGTCCTAGAATTTAGCAGGAGGAAAGTGATACTTCCGCAGTGGCATGGTATTTTCCTTGAATCAGACAGGAAGAATGATTTCCCTTTGAGTCACGAAGGCCAAGAAGGTGAGTTCCAAATTTAATATTTAAATGGAGTAACTACAGAGAAATATTTTGCTGTAATTATCCAATTATTTCCTCATATTGCAATTACCTAATTAAAAAAATTATACACACATACACATTTTTTGTTTTAAAAAGTACTATTGAGTTATGATTTATATACTATACATTCACAAATTTGAAATGTACAAATCAATGGGTTTTAGTGTATCCACAGATATGTGCAACCATTGCCACAGTTAAATTTAGGGCATTTTATTTTTTCTTTTCTTTTTTTCTTTCTGAGATGTAGTCTCACTCTGACTCCCAGGCTGGAGTGCAGTGACATGATCTTGGCTCACAGCAACCTCCGCCTCCTAGGTTCAAACTATTCTCATGCCTCAGCCTCCCGAGTAGCTGGGACTACAGGCACATGCCATCATACCCGGCTAATTTTTGTATTTTTAGTACAGATGGGGTTTCACCATGTTGGCCAGCCTGGTCTCGAACTCCTGACTTTGTGATCCTCCTGCCTTAGCCTCCCAAAGTGCTGAGATTACAGGCGTGAGCCACTGCACCTGGCCAAGGACATTTTCATTATAACAAAAAGAAACCCCATACCTCTTAGCTGCCACCCCAATCTCTCTCCTACCCCATTTTGCACCTCCTGGCCCCTGGTAACGGCCCATCTACTTTCTGGCTCTGCAGAATTTCCCTATTCTGAACATTTTGTGTAAATGAAACCGAACGATCCATGGTCTTTCGTGACTGGCTTCTTTTGCTTGGCACAGAGTTTTCAAGGTTCACCCGTGTTCCGGCATGCACCGGCGCTTCTTTTCTTCTTACGGCTGAATCACATTTCGCTGTGGGGCAAGAGCACACTCTGTGCATCTTCACCCGCTGATGGACAGCTGAGCGGTTTCCACATTTTGACTATTGTAAATAATGCTGCTGTGAACATGAGTGCAAAGGTTTTATATGAACACATGTGTTCATTTCTACCAAGCATATGCCTGGGAAGGAATTTCTGGGTAATGTGATAACTCTGGGTTTCACCTTTGAGGAATAGTCCTTTCCAAAGTGGCTGCTCATTTCACACACTAGCAGTGTAAAATGAATCTAATGTGTCTACATGCTTAACAATACTTGTTTTCCTTTTTTTTTTTTTTTGCTGATTAAAAATGTTTGATTTTACTTGACTTTGTTTGCAGGTGAGGAAAAATAGTCTCTTCAATAAATGGTACTGGGAAAACTGGATATCCATATGCAGAGGAATGAAATGAGACCCTTTTCACCATATGCAAAAATCAAATAAAAATGGAGTAAAGACTTAAATGAAGACCTGAAACTGTAAAACTACTAGAAGAAAATATTGGGGAAACCCTTCAGGTCATTAGTCTGGGCAAATTTTTTGGGAGGAGGGGGAAGACCTCAAAAGCAGGCAATGAAAGCAAAAATAGACAAATAAGATTATTTCGAACTAAAGAAACCTTGCACATCAAAGGAAACAATCAGCAAAATGAAGAAGCAACCTACAGAATGTGAGAAAATATTTGCAAACTACTCATTCTAACTTTTGAAAATAGCCATCCTATTGAGTGTGAAGTGGTAGCTCATGGTTTTGATTTGCATTTATCTGATAGTTAATCATGTAGCACATATTTTCATGTGCTTATTAGCCATTTGCTTATCTTCTTTGGATAAATCTCTGTTTATATCCTTTTTCAATTTTTAATTTTGGTTATGTGCCTTTTTATTTTTCTACTGGGGTTAATTGTAGGTCTTTGATCTACTCCAAGTTAGTTTTTGCATATGGTGTGAGGTAGGGTTTCAACTTCATCCTTTTGCATGTAAGTATTCAGGTGTCCCAGCACCATTTGTTGAAAATGTCATTCTTTCTCCTTGTTTAATTATCTTGGCCCTCTTGTCAAAAATTAATTATACATAAATGCATGAGTTTATCTCTGGACTCTCAATCCTATTCCATTGATTTATAAGTTTGTCATTATGCTAGTACCACACTATCTTGATACCTGTAGCTTTATAGTTAAGTTTTGTAATTCGAAATTGTGAGTCCTCCAACTATCTTCTATTTTGACTATTCTGGGTCCCTTGAATTTCTACATGAATGTTTGGATCAGCTTGTCAATTTCTGCAAAGAAGTCTGCTAGGAATTTGATAAGGATTGCATTGAATCTATGATCAAATTGGGGAGTATTGTGATCTTAACAATATTAACTATTCTAATCCATGAATATAAGATGTCTTTCCATTTGTTTGTCTTTAGTTTCTTTCAATAATGTCTTGTAGTTTTCAGAGAGTGAGTTTTCCACTTCTTTTTTTACATTTATAAGTATTATGTTCTTTTTGATGCTATTATAAATTGAATTGTTTTCTTAATTTCATTTTCAGTTTGTTCATTGTTACTGTATAGAAACAGTCTCCTGTACTCTTACCAGACTTGTTTATTAATTCTAGCAGTTTCTTAGTGGATTCCTTAGGCTCTTCTGTACACAAGAGCACATCATCTGCAAGCCTAGTTTTATTTCTTCCTTTCAAATCTGGATGGTTGCTGTTTCTTTTTCTTGCCTAATTGCCCTGACTACAATTTCCAGTACCATATTGAATAGAAGTGGTAAGAATGGAATCCACGTATTGTTTCTGAAGTTAGTGGGAAAGCATTCACTCTTGTTAGTAGGTACAGGTTTAGCTGTGGGTGACTGTAGATGCCCTATATGTATATCTTTATCTGTAGTCCACTGCACACCTCTCTTGGAATTAGGCTGAGTGTCATTTATGAATAAACACTAAGGCCAAGCCACACTGACAGATTTTTAAGAATTTTTAATAACCACTATTGGACTCTTGAAGCTCATCTTAACATTTCCTTAGGCTCAAAGTTTTCAGTTGTGAAAATCAAATTATTTCCCTGCATTAGGGAAACATATACTTCAGAATAAGTTGTAAGGGAAGACTTGATTCCTATGCCTCTTTTCTAACAATATCATATTTTAAAATTACTTTCCCTGGAATATCGTATTTTTTAAAATTCTTTTTCCTGGAGACAGGATGGGCACTTTTGCACCATATGCGAACTCAGTGAGAGCCAGGGGGCGCTGCGTGGAGGAGGCTCTTCTGAGCACCCACTTTTCTGACTTCATGCCACTCCCAATTTTACTATGTTGATTCATAGACTCCTTTTCCTTATGAAAAGAGAAATGTTAACAAATTATAGCGTGATAAACCTGATATGAGTAATAATGCTGTCTATTCAGCATGATGGTTTTAATTCTTCATCTGAACTCTTTGAACTTTGACTGTAGTGAAGGATGTGTATTGGGGAAACACCAGTGGTTTTGAAGTAGGGTATGTTCAGAGCTCAACCAGTGCTTTAAAGAAAGGGATGTTTCATCACGGTCAAGGGCGTGCCTCAGTTTTGGCACCTGCCATCTGAGCCTGCTGGTGAGGAAGATGGGTCGGCTGCCATGGGTGGTCCATGCTGTGGCAGAGGCCAGGGCTCTCAGGACTGAGGGAGTTTGGCCAAGGGACTGTGGGGCCCAGACAGGGAGAGGGTAGCTCTCTTGTTTCCCTGTAAGTTATGGCTACTTGGGTGTGCAGTCGGAAACACAGGCAAGCCCTAGAGTGTAAGACTTCCTTAAAATAACTCATTTTAGAACTTTTATTTGGAGAAAAGTGGAGGCATGAAATAGACTGTCTACAATGAGCTCAAAGAGGAGCAGATCTTTGGCTTGTTTATGCAAGAGAGGGCTCCAGGAAACTAACTAAAGCTCTGATTAGGCTGTGAAGATGTTTATAGCAGTAGTGGGTGTATACATGCACACATATGTACACATACAAACACATATTTACAAGACATGTGCATATACACAAATGCACACCTATAAAGGCACACCTATGCACAAACACACACATGAACACAGGCACACTCACAAACACACATAAGCACATGAATATACATGAAGACATTCAGGTGCACATGCAGATACCAACACACACAAATATACACATAAAGTACACACGTGAACATAAACACACATACATATAATGTACACACGTGAACATGAGCATAAACACACATACACATGTACACAGGCAAACATAAGCATAAACAAATACACATAATGTACACATGTGAACATGAGCATAAACACACATACACATGTACACATGCAAACATGAACATAAACACATACACATAATGTACACATGTGAACATGAGCATAAACACACATACACATGTACACATGCAAACATGAGCGTAAACACATACACATAATGTATACATGTGAACATACACATAATGTACACATGTGAACATGAGCATATACACATAATGTGCACATGTGAACATGAGCATAAACACACATACATGTAATGCACACATGCAAAAATGAGCATAAACACACATACACGTAATGTACACACGCAAACATGAGCATAAACACACATACATATAATGTACACATGTGAACATGAGCATAAACACACATACACGTAATGCACACATGCAAACATGAGCATAAACACACATACACATAATGTACACATGCAAACATGAGCATAAACACACATACACATAATGTACACATGTGAACATGAGCATAAACACACATACATAGAAATTTCCCAACCACACATACTCACATACATATACATATACACCCTCCTTCATGAAAACAAATGCATATACCACTCTCTACACACACATGGGCCTACATTCATGCACATATATATGTACACATGTTAACACAAATGCAAAAATACACACACATAAGTACATACATATGCACCATTTTGCCATCAGAGACTCAATTTGTCCTTATCACAGGTCACAATTTGTTATGAAAAAGAAACATTGAAACGCACACATAAGTCACACAATTAGTTAGAGTGAATGATACATTTTTTACACACGTCACTTATTTGTTCCTGTTCTTTTTTAAGAAGAAGGGGGAGGTTTGTCAGTGGTCCAGGAATTGTGTCTGAGGCCTGTGATACAGAAGAATGCCATCATCCTGTGATTAAACAGTGACCTTGGTGACTTTTACTCTCATTTTCATTGGACCCATCAGTGTTTTCACCAAGAGATTGTCTGGTTGAGTGAAGAGATCATGGGCATCAGTTGAGCTTTGCCTGCTCTACGAGTGAGGAGGAGGCAAAGAATGCATTTCAGAGCAACACCAAGCCCACATCTATGACATCAACAGCAGAACATCCAGGCAAGTCCATTTTGAAATAATGCCACATTGTGTTAGTTGTGTTAAAAATCTCTAAAGTCTATGTGTTGTATTTTTACACTTTACACTTATTCTTTAGGAACATGCCCTTACCTTCCTTATATAAAGAGTACGGATCTGAAAGAGAAATTAAAGGCTGTTTCTTAAGTTCACTTCTTTTGGAAAACAGATGAACCCTTAAAAAGTGATAATCTCTTGAGTTGAGTGGCTGGCCTCAGCATTCGAATGCTTATAATGAGTCTTTATGATTTTCAACCTACCCATTTCCCCTTCCACATAATTTTTTAAAATTGACAGATACTTTTATTTTAATTTTAGAACACTTTTTTTTGGTAAAAATCTAGGTCAGCGGTAAGAGCATGACATTTATGTGAACATCTCCGGTCATGATTTAAATGGTGGGACAAGATTTAGTAGAGCTGCCTGGAATAGTTTAATGGGAAACACGTTTAGGGTTATTTATCATCTTAGTAACCTCGTTAGTTAGTTAGGCTCTTGGATGCATTTTTCTAAGTGTCTGTATGGTATTAGTTAAAGAGATAAATTTAAGTAATCTTTTTCTCTTTATTTCTCTCCTTGAATGTAGTTTTAGGTCTGAATATATATTGTACTGAAGATTTTATTGTAAGTTCAAGTGTAATCTTTATTAACCTTCACTTTATAAAGGAAGCATTTGGACTTTTTCTTTTCACAGGTTTTATACAGTACCCAATTATGTTGGGTAATAAAGTAATTTTGAGAAAAAAGAAGTGGGAGTATTGACAAGTAGTTTTCAATGACAAATTTGTGTACTTTTACAACAGAATGTGTATATAAAACCAAATAATAGCATTCAATACAATGGCATCAGAATAGATTTTGAAAATTAATTTTTGAGATAGATGCTTTTAATTTTTCACCTTCAAATGAAGCTAACATATTTATTATTTTCTTGTTTTCTTTCTAAATAACAAAATATGAGAGAAGGTTCCAGAATTTCATTTTCAGATATTCTATACTTGCACTCATTGTGAGGGTTGACTATTTTTTGTATATAAATAAAAAGCCAAATTGGCAAATCATATCTAATTTTTAATTTTATTATTGCTTTCTAAATATGGACACATTACAATGTGTTTAGAAAATTTTGAATGAATGACTATAATTTATGAATGTGGTGAAGATCATCTTTAGGCAAATTTGCCAATTATTATAATTTTACACTCCTCTCTTAATTCTATTTCAGTATTAGTGTTTCCTAGTTTACTGATTTTAATCAATGGTTTACTGCATTCATAAATTTGAAGATATAGTTTCATAAAACAATTTAATATTCAAAAATATCACGTAGTTAGAATTGTTCGGTGGCAAGTTCTAAGACCAAGTTATCTTGCTTGACAATGACCACTCAGCGCTTAGTGATTTATTTAAAAGAGGAAATCACAAATTAATTACTATATTTGTTAATTTACAAAATATAGTCTTAAAATATCTTAATATCTTTAATAAGGAAATCCCCATCATACCATGAGTTGCATAAATCCTCTCTGGTGGAAGCCAGAACATATCCAGGCAGGGTCAAAAACCCACAAATAGAATTCAGAATGGTATCATCACAAACGTTGCTTTCCAATGAGCAGATGGACATGTGTTCAAAGCAGAGACAGCCATCCATCCATCCACCCATCCATCAACTCATTCATTCATCCATCCATGCATCCATCTATCCACCCATTCATTCATCCACCTACCATTCATTCATCCACTCATCCATCCATCCATCCATCCATCCACCCATCTATCCATCCACCCACCCATCCATCTATCCATCCATCTATCCATCCTTCCATATATACATACATACACTCATCCATTCATCTACTCGCCCATTCGTCCATCCACTAACTCATCACTCCATCCATCCATGCATCCATTCATCCACCATTCATCCACCCATCCATCCACCCATCCATCCATTTATCCATCCATCAATCCATCATTCACCCACTCATTTACCCATTGATATACTTATCCATCCACCCAAGCATCCATCCATCTTTTCATGCATCCATCTACCCACCCATCCACCCATCCATCAGTCCATTCATCCAATCATTCATCAATTTATCCATCCACCCATCCACTGACTCATCCTTCCATCCATCCATCCATCCATCCATCCATCCATCCATCCATCATCCATTCATCCATCCACCCACCCATTTGTCTACCCATCTATCCATTCATCCACCCATTCATCCATCCGTCCACTCACCCATCCATCTGTCCACTCATCTATCCATCCATCCATCCATTATCCATTAATCCAACCACCCACCCATCCCTCCATCCATCCACCCATCAGTCCACTCATCTATCCATTCATCCATCCACTCATCCATCCATCCATCCACTCATCCATCCATCCATCCACTCATCCATCCATCCATCCATCTATCCATCCATCCATCCACTCATTCATCCATCCATCCATCCACCCATCCATCAATCCATTCATTCATTCATTCACACACCCATTCATCCAGTCACCCATCTATTCATCCATCCATCCATCCATCCATCCATCCATCCATCCATCACCTACCTTTCCCTCTATCCCTCCCTTCATAAACCAATTCATTGATTTTTCACCCATCCTTTCTTCCACACACCCACCTATCCAACCTTCTGTCCATCCATCTATTCCTCTTTTCATCCATCCATTCATGTTTTCATCCATCCATCTATCCATCATCCCCTCATCCACCCATTGCTTGATCCATTCATCCACTCACTCGTTTATACATCTCTTCAAATGTTAATCTAGTACTAGGTAATGCCAGTCTTTGTTTTGTTTTTGTTTTCTTTTTCTTTTTTTTTTTTTTTGAGACGGAGTCTTGCTCTGTCACCCAGGCTGTAGTGCAGCGGCAGGATCTTGGCCCACTGCAAGCTCCACCTCCTGGGTTCATGCCATTCTCCTCCCTCAGCCTCCTGAGTAGCTGGGACTACAGGTGCCCGCCACCACGACCACTAATGCCAGTCTTTGGAACAGATATTGAGGGGACAAAATGAAGTTCTGATGTCAACTGTCTTTCAAATACAGTGCCACCATGAAAGACTTATCTTTCTTGGTCAGACATTGTGCTGAGTATCTTCCATTTGCCTTATCAATTGCACTGTCCCTCTTTTGCTCCCTGCCCCATGCCCCAGGAAGCTGATCTGCAGTATGGACTGCATTATTAGGCTTCATGTGCTCTATGCTTCTTGTTCGGCTCAGCCAAAGGGAGCAAAGCAGGAGGTGCAAGGTAAAGAGGTGTGATCAGGACGGCTGTACCCTGGCCCTTCTCTGAGGTGTCCTGTCTAGTGGTTTCTTTACTCAAACCTTTTCTCTCTCTCCCCTTTTCTCTCTCTCTCTCTCATGCTCTGTCTATATAAAGCACAAACTACAGAGTAGTATCTTCCTGCTTCCTTACTTCCACATTTTCTTTATCGACCTGATTAAAGGACTGCTGTTTCCATTCTCCATTGTGGTGGATGCACAGAGTATAAACTACAAAGGCCATGGTGTCTTCAAAGCATCACTCACCACATCCCTCTCTCATGGATGTTTGTACAGAACTAGAATTATGATGTTCATAGCTTTATCTGACTATCATCTAACCTAAAATTTACTCACTCTGTGTGTCCTTTGATTCAATTTCCATTTCAAGAAAGATTGGTTTATCATATTTCCTCCTTTTACTTAGAGATGCATTTTAATTGGCTACCTATATCTCAGCAATGCCCAGATCTTTGAAAAAGCATAGAAGCTTCTAATTTCTCTGGAATTGAACCTCAGCCAGCTGAACCTTCATGTTCCTTAGCTTCTCTGCTGAGCCTATATCTTGTATACTAAAATTATCAGAATCATTTTAAACCTCCTTTTTTATCTTCTCATGTCCAAAATGGGTCTTCAACTATCAGGTTGCACAACTGTTAAGCAGCGTATTTTCTCCACGTGGTCATACACATCACAAAACTCAAATGCTTTATACTAAGGACCCTTTGTGAACAAACGGGTTCAGGCATAACCTCACTTTTGAGGACTTTTTCATCATAATACTTGTCATATGGGGCCAGATGCAGGTAATCAAAGTCCCAACAGAGAAAATCCCTGTCCCCGAGGCCCCACAATTAAGCTGAGGAGGAGACACCTGTGCTGACCTGGGGAAGCTGCGTACCGTGTGGTTCAGCCTCAACATCAGATCTGTGTCACGGCTTAAAAAGTGCAGATTGGCAATCACAATGTGACTCCAAAATGATTCGAGCTTTTCCTTGCATTTTAACCATTGAAGGGATCCCCTTCTGCCCCATTAATCACTCTGATTTCATCCATTTATCTACTGTAAAGTTTTTCTCCTTACATAAATTAGTGACAAAGATATTCTTTTTCTCCCTCAGCCTTGTCTAGCTCTCAGCTTTACCAGTTTTGGCATCTACAGCAGTGTCTTTTTCTCTTAGGAGACACTGCAGTAACAGTAAATATACTATTGCCAGTCTTGGGGAGACTCCAAAGGGCCTGCTCCCCCAAACTGAATGCTGAGCTTCTACTTAGAGTGACAATGATGGCTCCTCAAGCCCATGGAATGATAAGGTTGATGATCTCTCAGTTGTCTCTGAGATGCTACCATCACTACACTAGCATGCCCTGAATCAACAGGCCAGCACGTGGGACATGTAACATGTGTTTGCTGTGGAGAAGTGCGTTCCTTTTTCCTGGCTGCCTGTATCAGAAAACTGTTTGTCTTGAGCTGGCTAATCACCCTGAAGAATGCTCCCGTGACGGATGTTTAGGCTGCATCCACTGAGCCATTAGCTGGAGGTAGTAGCTCATTGCCAGACGCAGAAGGAGCCGCATCAATCAGCGAGCTGCTGGCCCTGGGCCACTTAAGGCTGTCCTTGTTCCTCTTAAATGATGTAAATCAAATACAAAACCCAGCTCATTATTACTTGAAATTTGAGAAATATGCAAATGAGCACTCCCTAAACAAGGAAAATGACAGTGCCTTTCTCATCATCCCTATTTAAACAGAATAACACACTCCCATAAGCTGTGACATTTCCACGATGATATTTCAACAGGGCCATTGGTTCATCTCTGTGGGCTGTTGAGCTGTTAGTGCCTGCACCATTTTATAGCCTGGAAGTTAAGAGGAAAAAACAAAACCTTCCTTTGTCGCTCACTAAGGAAGTCACGTTGTGATCCGAGGAGTTTTTAAGGCAGACTGAAGTATGAAGAATTGGAACACTGAAATACATTTTCTTGCATTTTACCTGGATTCCTCTGAGCTTTCTAGAGATGGTTTCTGTGCCATATTCTTCCTTCCCTGACCCTGTCTCCTTTCCCCTCATTCTATCCTGCTATTCAAATCACACAGACAGCAGCACCTCTTGGTTAGATTGGTTCACAATGTTTCTGCCTAAATTTTAACAAGGGTGCCTCATTTCAAACTCTGACCCTGTGGTAGGGGAGTATAGTCAATCTAGAATGACTCTCCTTACCTCGAATTTAGCAGGATGTGGCCTGAAAGCCAGATTGAGCACAGAGCAGCTTGATCTGCAGCATTCTCATCTGCTGGTCTAGTCATGAGTTTGGCATTGGGAAGCTGATGGCTGCTGCATCCAATTACCGGATTAAGTTTCTGGAAGACGTGGATGGCCTCCATGGACTTACATGGATTAGGGAGGCATAACAGGTAGATATTTTTTAAATAAAAAGTCCTAAAGCCAAAATGTCTAAGTTTTTATTATTTTTAGATTTTTCAGATCCAAAGTAGCTATCATAACCCTTCAAAGCAAGTGACGTGTTCTCATTTCACTCCATTCCAATAGCATAAAAGTCTCAGTAGAGAAAAGACCCTAGACCAGGTGTGGTGGCTCATGCCTGTAATCCCAGCACTTTGGGAGGCTGAGGCCAGTGGATTACTTTGAGCCCAGGAGTTTGAGACTAACCTGGGCAACGTGGTGAAACCCTGTCTCTAGAAAAAGTACAAAAAAATCTGCTGGGTGTGGTGGTGCACACCTGTGGCCCCAGCTATTTAAGAGGCTGAGGTGAGAGGGTCACCTGAGCCTGGGAGGCGGAGGTTGCAATGAGCTGAGATTGCACCACTGCACTCCAACCTGGGCGAGAGAGCGAGACCTTGTCTCAAAAAAAAAAAAAAAGCCCCTAAATAGATTAAATGTGCTCATTATTATTCATTAAGTCATTTTAATAAATAAAGCCATTTAATCTGGCTCCTAACTCAACTTTGAGAACATTTGAGAATAAAACAAACCATCCTTCCTCACAGTGCTGGTTCCTGGTCTTGGAGACACAGCAGAGGAAAGGGAGTGGCAAATGGAACCTGAGGCAGGAGAGCGCTCAGCACCACTGTCTTAGCTGCATGGCTCTGAGGGGAGGAGGAGATAAACACATTTTACTCTCAGTTTAAAACTTGCAGGACTACTGGTGTAGCTTGTTTCATGTTAGAATCTGTGGGCTGTGAAGCGAAAGCTTTTAAGACGTCATGCAGTCATAGTCTCTATGCTGAAATAGCCAGGAAAGAGAATGTTCTAGGACTCGGTATTAGGGTTGCCAATATCACAAATTTCAGGAAAGGAAACCAAAGGAAAAAAAATCTTAAAGTCAAAACCCTCTCCTCCTCTCCTCTCCTCTCCCCTTCTCTCCGTCTCCTCCTCTCCTCTCCTCTCCCCTTCTCTCCGTCTCCTCGTCTCCCCTTTTTGAAACTTAGCGTGCCCTGTTCAGGAGGCCGAGGGTTTAAAGAAAAGAAGGGGCTGGCTGTGGCTGCTGCTCTCACACTCCCAATGCCAGAGCTTGGGGGAGCCTGGATTTGGATCATTCAGGCCATGGTGATGTTCTTCCTCCTCCCCAGGATCACTGGGTGGCATTAAGATTGCCCCTGCAGAGATGCCCAATGCTCCCTCAGCTCTCCCACTTTGCAGAGGCACACGAGGTGCTTCCACCATTTCACAGTGGACTCTCCTCCATCCCTCACTGAGTTGGGGAGGCCCCTCTGGCCGAGGTGGTTGGCTGAGGACACCCAGCATGCTGGGCATGAATGTCCCTTCAGCTAGTCACTTTAAAGGACACTTTGGGCTCCTGTGAGCTGCTAGCTGCAGAGGCCAAGCTGGGGCAAAGAGAGACAGAAAATAGCCAGAAAGTTCACAAGAAGGGGCTAGCACACGGGAAGGGCCATGCTCCTGGCCTTTTGTGGCTGATCCCTGGACAGCAGAGCGAAGGTTAGAGACACAGACATTGCAGTTGCCATCTGTGGCATCTGTGCTGCTCCGGGCTCTGTTCCCATCACAGGGTCTGTGATCACGGGGGAGCCTGGGAGAGGAGGCTAGAGGTTGCTGACCTGACACAGATCCAGAGCCAGAAGGGGTTACTGAATGCATCAGCAAGGACAGCATTTATTCTACAAGATGTGCAATGTATTCTAATCAACATCATTTAACTGTCATTAATTGTTGGCCAAACAGATCTCTTTGGCAAATATCCAACAATAAACTTCCTGACAAATTTTTAGCAGTCGCAGATGGACACTGCATAATACAATGATATTTATTAGAGAAATGTCATTTTTAGCTACCTTGTTACACATGCTCCAACTATTCTCTTCCTGCTGACAGTGGGGCTCACCATGGCATCAGCGTTTGATGGAGAATGGAGGCATTTCAGCCAGTTAAGGGTGGGCTGTGTTAATTCCTGTAGTTATAATTGCACTTAAAAGACAACGTCTTCTTTCCTTTGCGCTCGAACCGTTTAGAGGACCAGATGAGCACTGTGGGTGACAAGCAGCGTTTAAATGAAGTATGATCCTGTGACTTATTTAGGTCACAGTGCAGTTAATAATTAATGAGGCCAGGCTCTGCTGATTTGAAGAGAAGTTCTGAAGGACTCACTCACTTTGTTTCAGACGCTTGATATTCCAGACAGTCTTCCAGATTCGGCATCTCTAATGAGCTCTACCTTCCAGGGCACTAATCATGTTAGGTTGTAAAAGGCAGCGAGGAAGAGGAAAACTACATTAAAAACAAAACCCCACACGCACACACAAGAAGGAACTCACCACCCGGCACTGCAGCACACGCAGCTATGGCCGTGTTACCTTCACTGGGAAATTCAGCCACTGTCAGTTCTTTGGGGGAAGGGTTTGTCTCTTTCTGGTATGTTTAGGAAATTGCATCATTAAAAGGAGGTAATGCCACCCAGTGGAAAGGCCCAGGACTGGAGGTCAAACAGACCCAGATTCAGGTCCCAGCCCTGCCCGTGAGTATCTGTGGGACCCCGAGCAAGCCACTTACCCTCACCTGTTAAAACAAGCAACACACACACAAGCCACCACCCACCTCCGTTGATTGATTTGGTTTTTGGTTCAAGGTTGACTCATGTCAGCCTCACGACACTCAGGGTCAGTGCTGTTATTTCGGTCTGTCTGGGCTGCCATGATAAAATACCATAGATGGCATGGCGTATGCAGCAAAGGGCAGAGTTGGTGTCTGGAGAGGGCCTCTTCCTGGTTTCCAGCCGGTACTGGTACCTTCTCATCATGGCCTCACGTGGCCTTCCTCCATTGAATGCACTGGAGAGAGAGAGATTTCGAGTCTCGTTCTCTTTAAAAGGGCGCTAACCCCCTAGTGAGGGCCCCGTGTTCATGGTCTCCTCTAAGCCCAATCACCTCCAAAGGCTCTACCTCCACAAACCATCACACTGCAGGCTGGGGCTTCAACCTGAATTGTTTTGCTGGGGACACAGACATCCAGTCCATGGCAGCTATTATCTTCCTCTTTTTACAGAAGAGGAAACTGAGGCACAGAGGGCTGAGGGCTGAGTGGCTTGCAGGAGCTTCTGTGACCTCATTCCTTGTTCTAAATAGCACTGAGACTCATGCCACTTTTGGAGTACTAAGAACGCAGGACACACAAAAAGACGCAGATGCCTGAAAATGATCACCAATGAGAAAATCGATACTTGCGCTGCATCGATCATTCATCAAAGCTCCTGAGCCGGGCATTAGGATGGGCTGAGTGCAGAGAAGTTGGGGATGTCCACCCCAGGAGCCCATGTCAACGCTGGGTCACTGAGTGGACGCAGGTGTCTCTTCACCACCGCTCACAGCCACAGTCAGAGGTCACGGAAATTCCATCTATCCTGCAATTTACGCTGTTTGTTGTGAATTTTCTGTTATTAGTGAAAACTTTTATGAAGCTGCATTAAGTACTAAGTCAACGTCACGTATGTGTATTTTTGGTGCCCGGGGCCTGTTGCTCTCAGAAGGCACTCGTGAGTCCTGGCTGCCAGGGGGCCGCAGGGGTGAGTGTCTCGAGTGTGGGGTGGACTTTTCTGCAGTTCTTGGCTTCCATCAGGACTCAGCAGTCATCCAGCTCTGGAATGTGCAGGTGTCCATGGCTGCCCAAGGAGGTGGTAGACTCAGCCCCTCATTGCAGGTGGTCAAGGAGAAATGGCCAGCAAGCCTGCCATCAGGCCCACCCAGGCCCTCAGGGGACGGCATTTGAGGCAATGACTGATGGATGGAAAAGAGCCCCCTTCAGCCATCACCTCTGTGTGGCCTTGGGACTGACAGGGGGAGGAGGAGAAACACTACCTCTGCCTCCTACCCTTGTGCATGGCACGCTGGAAATGCACGTCCCGGCACCTTCGCTGGCTAGGATCCATGAGGGACATTTTCAGGAGGAATCTGAGCCCAGAGAGGCCACACGTCACCCTTGTGCCTGGAGAGGCCACGCGTCACTCTCATGCCTGGAGATCACACGTCACCCTCATGCTTGGAGAGGCCGTGCGTCACCCTTGTGCCCTGAGGTCACACGTCACCCTCGTGCCTGAAGAGGCTGTGGGTCACCCTCATGCCCTGAGGTCACACGTCACCCTCATGCCTGGAGAGGCTGTGGGTCACCCTTGTGCCTGGAGTCCCGCTCCGTCAGGCTGCTCTGCGGTCTCCAAGCCCCACTGGTGAACGCACCCTCGCTGGGTTTAAGTGTCACTGTCAGCACGCTGGAGAGGAGCTGTGCTCATAGGAAAAAACAATAAAAGTGTACATTTTAGGATGAGTTTCAAGTCCATGGGCCGGAAACAAACAGTGTCCCCAGGCCTTCTTGAACGAACCGTCCAGCATGCACCCTGACCTCTAGGCCGCAAGTCTACACCACACGCAGCGGAACCGAGGTGCTAACTGACCACATAAATCAATGCCATTTTATTATTTTTGAAAATTCTCCATAATTCGATGTGTGGGGCACCATTCAGCCGGGCAGTCTGTGCAGGAGAGGGATGTTCTCCTTTCGGATTTCGGGCCAACGCTCTTTCCTGCAGCTTCAGTGTCCCTCAGTGTGTGTGTTGGAGGTAATTAATCAGCGCTGTAATAACTGGGCTCACCACGACGCTGGTGGAGGTAATTATCTGTTTAGCTTCTCCAGCTGGCCTGTGCAGATGCTGCCATGCTTTCTGGGTGGGAGGCATCTTCCCTGAGTGCAGGAAGGGGCCGGCTCCAGGAAGCCCCCACGCGGGATGACCCACTGCTGCCGAGCTCACCAAGGAAGGACATGGCCGGATAGGCTCTGTGCAGCCCCAGGCACCACGTTGCACTGCCCACTCGGCGCCCGGGGCAGGCCTGGGTGGGGGTATGGCTGTGTGGGTGGTGGGAGACATTTAAAGAACCCGCATCCTAAGCTCTGCAGAGCTGGAGTGCCTCATGGATGTGGGCGGGTTTGTCCTTCATCTTCCCATCCCAGACCCCACCAAGGTTCCCAGACCCCACCAATGCCTTCCCACATGGAAGGGTGTGATGGTGAATACTGAGTGTCAACTTGATTGGATTGAAGGATGCAAAGTATTGATCCTGGGTCTGTCTGTGAGGGTGTTGCCAAAGGAGATGAACATTTGAGTCAGTGGGCTGGGAGAGGCAGACCCACCCTCAATCTGGGTGGGCACCATCTAATCGGCTGCCAGCACAGCTAGAATAAAGCAGGCAGGAGAAGGAATGAGGTGACTCGCTGAGACTCCCAGCCTTCATCTTCCTCCCATGCTGGATGCTTCCTGCCCTCAGACATCAGGCTCCAGGTTCTTCAGCTTTTGGTCTCTTGGACCTTCGGCCACAGACTGAAGGCTGCACTGCCAGCTTCCTTACTTTTGAGGTTTTGGTACTCGGACTGGCTTCCCCGCTCCTCAGCTTGCAGACAGCCCATTGTGGGACTTCCCGTTGTGATTGTGTGACTCAGTACTCCTTAGTAAGCTCCCCTTCACACATCCACCCATCCAATTAGTCTTGGCCCTCTAGAGAACCCTGACTAACACAAAGGGCATTTGAGGATGCTGATTCTGGCTCCAGCTGCTGAAGTTGGGACCTGAGGACCCCGGGATGCTGCCTCTACCCTGCTGCTGCCCCTCGAGCATTTGTCCAGGGCCCATGCACCCCTCTTGGAGCCCCCTGGGTGTGTTTGTAATTCCAGAATTCCCAAGACGCTCTCCTTTGTTTCCTGCTGGAGAAAACTCAGCACACCTGTTCCAGCCCTGCTCTGAGAGGGCCTTTGAGGCAGAGCCACAGGCTGCGTGTGTGCAGGGAGGGCACACGTGGGCTGGGAGGGGGAGGGGTATGGGTGGGGGTTGGGTTGGGGGAGGGGCGTGTGTGTCCTTCGGTTGGAGCATCTGGAAGGGTCCTCAGAGTTCCCTGCACACCCAAGCCCGGCCTGCACAGTGTGGACTCTGCCTGGGCCATCTTGGTGTGGCTCTGCCAACAAGCTCTGCACACCCAGAGGGCCGGTGGCCATGTCCTCAGCTGCTGGGTGTCCTGAGTCACTAGGTGCCAAGACCTGGAGAACATATGGAGCCCGCTGAAGTCCCTGGACAGAGAGGCCACTTCTCACTGCCATTGCGGAGCCTCCCTCCAGCCCTGCCATCCCTGCCATCCCTGTGCCCCTGCGGCTGGGGCTGGGCTGCTCCTTCTTTCAGGTGGGAGGCAGCAGCCTCTCAGCACTGGGCTTACCTGGGGCTGTGAAGCGGAACCTCATGGAATGAGAGAGCTGCGCTGGGGCACCGCCTGGCTCAGTGGCACCTGTGCCGGGTTCCGGAGGTGCTTTGGGACAGACAATCATTCTGTATTCGGGATGGGGACAGCTGGAGCCACCAGGAATGGAAGGAAATGCTCTCCTCTGCTGGTGGCCTCCGGTGGGAAGACTTCCTGGCTCCATGCCCTGGAGACAAGCACCTGCCCTGTGGCCTCCCCCAGAGTCGCTCCCAGGCCCCAGCATCATCTGTCCATCGGCAGCATGACCACCACCAGTTGCCTCTGTGCTCGGCACAGGCTCAGTCATGGGACCTCATTGTTCAGAAGTTCGTGGTGATCTTTCTGGAGTAGACACCCCTTGATCTGGCCTCCCGACCTCTGAAACACAAGGTCACCTTCCACATGTCACGGTCTTCCCCAAGGGAAGGGAAATACCCAGCTCAGCCCACTGAGGCTGTTCTGTCCCATCTAAGCTGGGAGGGACAACAGAGGCGTGTGCTTGTGAAGTGAGACACAGGCTCTCGGGAAGCCGGAGACCTACTCGCAGGACTATAGGCTGCTCTCCCCTACCCAGCGCCGCACCGCCACATCACCAAGGTCCGTATGGAAGTTTCTTGCATTTGGCGCATTGTGTCTGCATATCAAAAAAATTATAAGGCATATTAAAAGGCAAAAAAGCACAATTTGGAGAGACAAAACCAGACATGGCAGAGATTTTAGAATGATCAGACAGTGAATTTAAAACAACTGTGGCCGAGCGCAGTGGCTCACGTCTGTAACCCCAGCACTTTGGGGGGCTGAGGCGGGTGGATCATTTGAGGCCAAGAGTTCAAGACCAGCCTGGCCAACATGGTGAAACCCCGTCTCTAATAAAAATACAAAAAACAAAACTAAAACTAAAAATAAATAGCTGGGCATGGCGATGCATGCCTGTAATCCCAGCTACTCGGGAGGAGTCAGGAGAATCACTCCGACCCGGGAGGTGGAGGTTACAGTGAGTCAAAATTGCATCATTGCACTCCACCCTGGGCCACACAGTGAGATGCCATCTCAAAAAATAATAAATAAATAAATAAAACTGTAAACCAAAAATAAAATCTTAAGCCCCCGACCAACTGGACAGACCCTCTCAGGGCCAAGGGGACCTCAGAGAAACGTGAAAAATGGAATTCCTGACCGTGATAGGAAGGGAGGTCGGGAGGTTGGGAGGTCAGGAGGTCAGGAGGTCATGCATGTCTCATTATACCCGCTCCCTTTTGGAGTTTAGGAACATGACCAGCACTAACTTTAAAGTGGAGAGCACTAGGCTGACAAAACAGACTTGTAGCAATCAGATACCAATTTCCAAACTGACTCTGGTATAGCATCACATGTCAGACAGCAGGCCCTGAAAGAAATCAAAGCATTTTACTCCGAAATGTAATGTATTTCTTTCACATATTTTGAAATGGCCCTTCAAAGCTGTCATTTGTGGGGGAAATTTTGCCATCTCCAAAGAATCTCCATTAATGCAGCCAGGCCTTCCCAGATCTAGGAGAGATTAACTGAGAGTCTGTCGCCTTTCAAGATCCAAAAAGAGACACTGACCTTCTATCCTCTCGGAGGGCTGCCACCACTGAGGCTTCGTCAACTTAACACGAACCTTGGCCTCCATGGCCCCCCTTACCTTAACTCAAGCATTTCTTTTACTGACGTCAAGTCTTTAGACAAAGTTTCACTTTTTAAACCAACTGCCATTTAGAAAATCTTTGAATCCACCTATGACCTGTAAGCCTTCCCCCACCAAGAACTTCAAGAATCTTTGCCTCTTTAGGCTGAACCAACGTACACATTTCATGTATTGATTTGTGATTTTACCCACATTTCTTGGCTCCCTACAATGTATAAAACCAATCTGTTACTCGACTGCCTCGGGCACACATTCTGAGGACCCCAGGCCAAGGTCACTTGTATCTTGGCTCAGAATCAACCTCTTAAAATATTTTACAGAGTTTGGTTTTGTTCCCGTGAATATGAGTATGATTAAAATGCTAAGGGCTCTGATGGGTAAAACAGGCAGCACTTAAGAACAGATGGGCAATTTTAGCAGAGAGATAGAAGTCCTAAGAAAGAAGGAAAAAGAAACAGAAGAGATAAAAATGCAGGGGCAGAAATGAGCAGGGCTTATTAGTAGACTGGACGCCGCTGAGGAACGACCGTGTGAGCTCGAGGACACACCCATAGAAACTCTGGAAACTGAAAAGCAAAAAGAACAAAGAATGAAAAGAACAGACCATAGTATCAAAGGGCTGTGGGACAGCCACGAAAGGTGTAACAAAGATTAATGAGAATATCAGCAAGAGAAGAAAGAGAGAAGGAAGAGAAGAAATACTGGAAACAATAGCGTCTGAGAACTTCCACAAATTAATATCAGACACCAAACTACCTATCCATGAAGTGTAGCTCACCAAGCAGGGTCTGTGACCCCAAGCCTACACCTAGACATGCTATTTTCAAACACAGAAAAGCAAGGATTAAAAAAAAGTCCTGAAAAAAGCTAAAGGGAGGAAAAAAACCCAACACTTTACCTGTAGAGGAAAAAAGATGAGAATTAATTCTGTCTTCTTCTCAGAAACCAAGTAAGCAAGAAGAGAGTGCAGTGAAATATTTGAAGTATTTAGAGGAAAAAACACCCCGGCACAGAAATCTGTACCCTGCAGAATTACCCTTCAAAAGTGAGGGAGAAATAAAGACTTTCTCAGACAAACAAAAATTGAGGGAATTTGTTGACAGTAGACCCGTCTTACAAAAAATATTTTAAAAGATCCTTTAGAGAGAAGGAGAATAAAAAGGCCAGAATCTCAGATCTGCATTAGAAAAACAAAGAGGGCCAGGTGTAGTGGCTCACTCCTGTAATCCTAGCACTTTGGGAAGCCTAGGTGGGTGGATCCTCTGAGGTCAGGAGTTCGAGACCAGCCTGGCCAACATGTTGAAACCCCGTCTCTACTAAAAATACAAAATTAGCCGGGCATAGTGGTGCATGCTTGTAGTCCTAGCTACTGGGGAAGCTGAGGCAGGAGAATCGCTTGAACCCAGGAGGCAGAGGTTGCAGTGAGCCAAGATCATGCCACTGCACTCCAGCCTAGGCAACAAGAGCAAAATTCCGTCAAAAAAAAAAAAAAAAAAAAAGCTCTGAGAAAGGAAGAAGTGAAGGTAAAATGGAAGCTTTGATTTTTCATAACCTTAATTGACCTGATTGATAGGTAAATGTGTTCAAAATAATAACAGCAACAATGCATTTGATCATGTATGTTCATGTATGTATTTAATGTTTTATATATATTTGCACACACACATTTATGTCTGCTGATATATCAATGAAATGAATGACAGCAATGACACAGGGACTGAGGGGTAATTAGGCTTATTTGGTTGTTTTAAGGTACTCACGTTACCTGTGAAGTGGTGTAGTGTTTTTCAAAAGTGGGCTTAGATTAGTTGTAAATCTATATTGCAAACTCTAGAAAAACTACTAAAAAAAAGGTTAAAAAAAAGAATGTGATTGACCTGATAAGAAAGGAGAGAAAATGGAATTATATAAAATCTCAATCAAAATCAACTAAAAGGTTAGAAAAGAGTGGAAGACAAAAATAGGAGCAAGGTATAAAGGCAACAAATAAAAAACAATATCAAGTATGGTAGATATTAATCCAACTATATCAATCATTACTTTGAATGTCAATGGTCCAAATGCACCCATTGAAAGACAAAGATTATCAGAGTGAATGAAAAAGCAAGACCCAACTACATGTTATCTATAAGAAACCCACTTTAACTTAAAAGAAACGTATAGATTAAAAGTAAATGGATGGGGGAAATATATGCCATGCTACAACCAATGAAAAGAAAGTAGAAGATGTATTAATGCAGACAGAATAAGCTAGGAAAGCTACCAGAAATAAACAGGGCATTACATAATGATAAAGGTATCAGTTCCCCAAGTATATCTAACAATCCTTAACGTGATTAAGAACGGAGTCAAGCCAATGAGGCAAAAGCTAATAGAACTGCATGGAAAAATAGATGAACACACTGTTGTGGACTTCAACACCCTCTGTCAGAAATGGACAGTTCCAAGGGGCAGAAAAATCAGTAAAGACATAGGTGAACTCAGCAACACCAGCAATAACCTGGAAATAATTGGCATCTTAACATGTGAGTAAAAAAAGAAAGCTTAAGAGAAATTTAGAAATGTTTAAACAAAATAAAAATGAAAACACAACATACCAAAACTGTGATGCAGTGAAAGGAGTTTTTAGAAGGAAATTCATAGCATTGAATTCATATATTAGAAAAAGAGAAAGATCTAAAATCAACAATTTAAGTGTCCAACTTAAGAAACAAGTAAAGAAGAGCAAGTAAAATCCAAAGTAAGCAGCAGAAAAAAGTGGTTAAAAATTAAAGCTGAGATCAATAAAATTGAAAACAGGAAATGGACAGAGAAAATCAACAAAACCAAAATAGAGAGAGGACACAAACTTCTAATATCAGAAAAGAAAGAGAGATATCACTACAGATCCTATGGGAATTAAAAGAATGATTTTAAAAATGCTATGAACAACTCTATACCCACAAATTTGAAATCCCATTTAAAATGGACCAAATCCCTGAGAACACAATTTGCCAAAAATCACAAAAAAGAAATAAACAGTCTGAACAGGACTATGTCTATTAAAGAGATTGAATCAATAATTAATAACCTTCCAAATCAGAAAGCCCCAGGGCCAAATGGGTTTATTAATGAATTTTACCGAACATTTAAGGAAGATATTTTACCAGTTATCTAAGATCTCTTTTAGAGAATGGAAGCAGAGGGAAAACTTTCTAATGCATTCTGAGAAGGCAGTAATACCCTATGATAGGGTTTGTCTGTGTCCCCACCCAAATCTCATCTTGAATTGTGGCTCCCACAATCCTCACGTGTCATGGGAGGGACCCGGTGGGAGGTGATGGAATCATAGAGTGGGTTTTTCCCCTGCTATTCTCATGATAGTGAATAAGTCTCATGAGAGCTGATGGTTTTCTTTTTTTTTTTTTTTTTAATTTTTATTCTTTTTTTTTTTTTTTGAGACATAGTCTTGCTCTGTCGCCCAGGCTGGAGTGCAGAGGCGTGCTCTCAGCTCACTGCAAGTTCCGCCTCCCAGGTTCACGCCATTCTCCAGCCTCAGCCTCCACATAGCTGGGACTAAAAGCACCCGCCACCATGCCCGGCTAATTTTTGTATTTTTAGTAGAGACAGGGTTTCACTGTGTTAGCCAGGATGGTCTCGATCTCCTGACCTCATGATCCGCCCGCCCCGGCCTCCCAAAGTGCTGGGATTACAGGCTCGAGCCACTGCGCCCGGCCAAGATCTGATGGTTTTATAAAGGGCATTTCCCCTGCACACATTCTGTTTTGCCTGCTGCCATGTAAGATGCCTTTGCTCCTCCTTCACCTTCTGCCATAATTATGAGGCCTCTCCAGCCATGTGGAACTGTGAGTCCATTAAAACTCCTTTTCTTTATAAATTACCCAGTCTCAGGTATTTCTTCATAGCAGTATAAAAATGGACTAATATACCCTAATACCAAAACCAGACATTTTAGAAAAGGAAAACTCTACATCAAAATCTCTCATGAACATAAATCCCAAATCCTCCACAAAATATTAGCAAAACAAACTCAATAATATATCAAAAATTATGTATCATGACCAACTGGAAATTATCCCAGGTATGCAAGACTGGTTCAACATTCAAAAATCAATTAATGTAATCCATCACAGAAACAGGCTAAAAAGGAAAAAAAGAGATCATATTAATAGCTGCAGAAAATGCAACAAAATATGGCAAAATACAGTCCTCCTTTGTAATAAAAACTTTCAGTAAACTGGGAACAGAGAAGGACTTCCTCAGCTTGATAAAGAATTATCTATGAAAAACCTACAGTTAACATCATATTTAATGGTGATAAACTTGAAGCTTTCCCACTGAGACCAAGAGCAAGGCAAGAATATCCCTACTCACCACTCCTTTTCAAACACTGTACTGAAAGGCTTAGTTAATACAGTAAGACAAGAATAAAAAGGTAGACATATTGGGAGGGAAGAGATAAAACTGTATTTGTTTGCAGATGACATGATCATCTATGTAGAAATCTGAAAGCATTGACAAAAAAACTTGTGAAACTACTAAGTGATTATAGCAAGGTTGCAAGATACAAGGTAATATACAAAAGTCAATCACTTTCCTACATATCAGCAATAACAAGTGGAATATGAAATTTAAAAATAGTATTATTGGCTGGGCATGGTGGTTCACACCTGTAATCCCAGCACTTTGGGAGGCTGAGGTGGGAGGATCAGGAGGTCAGGAGTTCGAGACCAGCCTGGCCAACCTGGTGAAACCCCATCTCTACTAAAAATACAAAAGTTAGCCGGGCATGGTGGTGCATGCCTGTTATCCCAGCTACTCGGGAGGCTGAGGCAGGAGAATTGCTCGAACCTGGGAGGCGGAGATTGCAGTGAGCCAAGATCTTGCCATTGCACTCCAACTCTAAGTGACAGAGCAAGATGTCGTCTCCGAAAAAAAAAAAAAAAAAAAAAAAAAAAATATATATATATATATATATATATATATATATATATATAAAATTTACATTAGCACTCTCAAACAGGAAGCACTTAGGCATAAATCTAACAAAATATGTACAAGATATACATAAAGAAAATTACAAAACTCTGATGAGTGAAATAAGAGTTAAATACATGGAGAGATTATCGACATTTATGAATAAGAAGATTTGATATTGCCAAGATGTCAGTTCTTTCCAACTCGATCTACAGCTTCAATGCAATCTCAATCAAAATCCCAGAAAGTTATTTTTTAGATATTCACAAACTGAATCTAAAGTTGATGTGGAGAGGAAAAGAACCCAGAATAGCTTACACAACATTGAAGAAGAAAATTGGAAGATTGACACTACCCCGCTTCAAGACTTATTGTAAAGCTACAGAAATCAAGACCACATGGTATTGGTAAAAAAAAACAGACAAATGGATCAATGGAATGGAATAGAGATTTCAGAAACAGACCTACACAAATATAGTCAACCGATCTTTTACAATTGCTGAAAAGGAGCAAAGCCAATACAATGGTGCACAGATAGACTTTTCAACAGATGGTGTCAGAACGAGACATCAATATGCAAAAAAATGAATCCAGATAGACCTTACACCCTTCCCCAAAACCAACTTAAAATGAATCATAGACATAAATGAACAAAGCAAAACTATAAAACACCTAAGAGATAACAGAGGAGAAAGCCTAGGTGATCTTGGCATGGTGATGGCTTTTTAGATCCAGCACCAAAACCATGATCCATGAAGGAAATAATTGATCAGCTGGACCTAGTTAACCTTAAACACTTCTGCTTGATGAAAGAAAATGGCAAGAGAATAAGAAGAGAAGCAACAGACTTGGATAAAATATTTGCAAAAGACACCTATGATAAAGGACTCTAATTCAAAATATGCAAAGAAGTCTTAAAATTAAGCAATAAGAAAAGGACTTGATTTAAAAATGGGCCAAAGATATCAACAGACATCTCACCAAAGATCTATAGATGGCAGATGAGCATATGAAAAGATGCTCCATGCCATATATCATCAGGGAAATGCAAATTCAAACAACAATAAGACACCACTGCACACACCATTAGAATGGCCAGAATCTGGAACACGGACAACCCCAAAGGCTGGTGACTGAGTGAGGCAGCAGGAACTCACACTCATTGTTCATGGAAATGCAAAAAGACAATCTGGGGGTTTTTTACAAAACAAAATATACTCTTACATATAATCTAGCCATGACATTCCTTGGTATTTACCCAAAGGAGATGAAAATTTATGTTCACACAAAAATCTGCACACAGATATTTATAACAGCGTTATTAATAGCTGCTAAAACTTGGAAGCAACCAAGATGTCCTTCAGGAGGTGAATAGAGAAATGAACTGTAGTTCATCCATACTGGGGAGTGCTATTCAGCTCTAAAAAGAAATGAGCTATCAAGCCATGAAAAGACATGGAGGGAGCTTAAATACATGTTGCTAAGTGAAAGAGGCCAATCTGAAAAGGCTACATTATGTATGATTCCAAATATAGGACATTCTGGAAAGGGCAAAATTATGAAGACAGTAAAAAGATCAGTGGTTATTGGGGGTTGGGGAGGGAAGGATGAGCAGGTGCAGCACAGGGGACTTTCATGGCAGTGAAACTACTGTGTGTGATACTTCAGTGGTGGATACAGTCATTAGAGATTTGCACAGGCTCACGGAATGTCAATACCAAGAGCGGAGCTAAAGTGGGCCATGGAGTCTGGTTGGCCATGTGTCGATGTAGATTCCTCAGGGGTAACAAATGCCCCACTCTGGGAGGGAAGTTTCTTATGGGGGGCTGTGCACCTGTGGGAGATGGATAGAATTAATTTTGTCATAAGCCTAAAACTCCTCTAAAAAATAGTCTTACAAGATAGGAAGGGGCTAATCTCTGCATTTCCCTCCCAAATCATAAAACTAATTGACCACAGCCCCCAAGCCCTCCATCTAAATATCATGGCAGGAGCTTCTGCTCTTAGCCTACTGAGGGATTATATGAAAAGTAAAAAAGAAAGACAGTGAGATTAACAAAGTTATCGAATCTCTTCTTTAGAACCTAGGGCAGAAGGCACACAGGGTTCTGAGGTAGACAGCAGCCAGGCGAGGCCATCTCTGCCGTGTGGCCAGGAAGGGAAGCCCATGGGAGGGTTTAAGCCAAGGTCTGAGGGACAAGTAGGGACTGGCCTGGCCCCCGTGGTGAGGGATGCTTGTTCTATGGGGATGGCAATTTACCACGAGCAGCTGGGAAGAAACCAAGAGGAGCCCAGCTGGTGAGGCCAGGGGAGGGCCCTGGGCTACAAGATTGGAGAGGGTGACCAGGTGGGCCACATAGGATGTTGTGAACCATGGAAAGGAGCTCTTGACTGTGAAGAGAGCCAACAAACTATTGATCTCATTTGTTTTAAGCAAGCAATGGGTGCCGCAATGCAGAGGACAGAATAAAAGGAGTCGGACTAGAGTGGATCCGAGGAGAACCCTGAGAACTCAGGCTCAGTAGCTCAGAGGGGGTTAGCAGGCCTGGAGTGCACAGGTTGGGGATCCAGATGCCGGGGGAGCGAGAACTCAGGGCCTTCTGATGGGTCCATGGTGGAGGGTGAGTCCAGACCCTGAGGAATGCTCCCAGGTGATGCATTTTTGAGCAAGATTGAAGCACATTCCCTGTAACTAATTACTGCAATAGTCATCCTCTCAGGAGCAACCTCCTCTCCCAAATCAGCGGCATGTAGCAGCATTCTGCAGAGCGGTACCATCAAGGAAACTGCTCCTTCAGGGAAAGTACCAGCTCACGCACGGACAATGTCAGCAACCAACAATTCTGTTCCTTAGAATTCGGAGTCTGCCTGGCAGGAGCATCTCACCCTCATCACTTGAGGCAGGTTTTGGAGCTGGCCCTTGTGATAGGACAGGCTGTAGAGCTTGTATATTTAACTTCTTTCAGCCCAGGGAATGTCAGATTGGAGGCCCCTCTGTAGGGCACAGGGTTGCCCCACAATCCCAGCAATTCCTAATCAAGCCCTCTGTTCCGGACACCCCAAATCCCTTCTTTGCTGCATTGACATTAGTCCTGCATTTCTTCCCAGAAGAGGGGGGATCAACTTCACCTTCCCATGCCCCAAGCAGCCTCCAGCTCCGCCTCTCCTCCGTGTGGGTGATGGGATGCATGACCGACCTCCCCACGGTACTAAAATGCTGAAGAGAGAGCTGGTGATTAGCAAAGATCTCATGAGGCTGTCAATGTTAATGGTGTTAAGTGAACCAAGCATTTGGAAAACATAAACTTTAGATTCCATAAAAGCATTCGTATCTAAAATATGTAAGGAATTGAAACAACTCAATAGCAAAAAACAGGTAATCTGATTTAAAAAGATGGGCAAAGAACCTGAATAGAAATTTTGCCAAAGAAGACATACACGTGGCCCGCAGGTCCACACAAATGTGCTCAGCATCACTAATCGCCAGGGAAATGCAAATCCAAACCACAGTAGGTATCATTGAACACCTGCTAAGATGCCTCTTATCAAAAAGTCAAAGTATAGCCGGTTCTGGTGAAGGTGGGGAAAGGGCACCCTTGCACACTGTGGTGGGAAGGTGAATTGGTACAGCCATTGTGGAAAACAGCCTGGAGGCTTCTCAACAAATTAAAAATAAAGCCAGTCCACGAACCAGCAATCCCATTTCTGGACATATATCCAAAGAAAACAAAACCACTCTCGGGTACAGATATCTGTATTCTCATTTTCATCACCGGGTTATTCATGATAGCCAGATATGAAAACAGCCTAAGGGGTTGTCACAGGTAAACATTAAAAAATCCTTAAAGAAGTAGCTCTGTTCCTGTAGTGAGTTGAAAACCTTTCAGATTCACTGTCCTTCAGACTAATTAGCTGTTTCCTACAAACCACACGAGGGTGATTTAACACAGTACACATGCATCCTAGCAGATCAACTTGATGTAAGATACCAAAATATAAAATTTAAATTAAATTCATGGTATGAGTCATATATCCGACTAAAAGATAAATAGACAGACCTTATAAACATCAAAAGGCAGCTTTAAACGCTTCTAATGGATCGTATGAAGAATGAGTTACATGGAACTCTTTAACTTTTTTTTTTGCTCAGTCGTTCATGCATACAGTCAGATTATAGTAGTAGTCTCTGCGATGGCTAAAATAGGTCGCCAGTGAGAAGCATGAAACCTAGTTAGAGGTAAAGCTGAGGCTGCTGATTAGTTGAGGGGAGCTTCTGAGGAGTCGCATCATGGCTCTGTCAGTGGCTCTGTCATTAGCACCAAACCACTACACACGGTTTGTTCTACTCATTGGTGTTCATCCATCGTGAGTGGGAGCAGGTTCCTGTGAGAGGAAAGGAGCAGGTGTGATGCAGAAGAAACAGACAACAACCAGAAGCAAGAAGTGACAGGGGTAGGGAGAAGAGTGGGGAGGGAGGAGAAGAGAGAGAGTCAGAGAGAGACAGAGAGAGTGAGAGATGGAGAGAGAGAGAGGGAGAGAAGGACAGAGACAGAGGAAGAGAGAGAGACAGAGAGACAGAGTGAGAGATCGGGAGAGACATCAGGAGAGAAAGACAGACGGAGGGAGAGAGAGAGTCAGAGATGGGGAGAGACAGAGGGACAGAAAGACAGAGACAGAGGAAGAGAGAGAGTGAGAGATGGGGAGAGACAGAGGGACTGAAAGAGAGAGACAGAGGAAGAGAGAGAGGGAGATAGAGAGACAGAGTGAGAGATATAGAGAGACAGAAGGAGAGAAAGAGATGAAGAGAGAGAGACAGAGAGAGTGAGAGACGGAGAGAGACAGAAGGAGAGAAAGACAGAGACAGGAAAAGAGACAGACAGAGAATAAAAGAGTGTGAGAGAGAGACAGAGTGACAGATGGAGAGAGACACAGGGAGAGAAAGGCAGAGACAAAGGAAGAGAGAGAGAGAGACAGAGATAATGACAAAGAATGAGAGAAGGAGCGAGAGACAGAGACCTGAGACACAGTGCCATTGGACATAAGAACTCTAAAGCTGGTGTCACCATGCAGAGACAGGGTACGTGAGGACACATCCATGTTGTCATGGGTGCAATAACATTCCTATGACAAAGTCTTGCAGCCATCAAGAAAAAGTAAAATAAGCTCAGGAGAGTTCAACCTAGAATTCCCAAATGTGGGATTACTGTTAGAAAGATAGGATTTTCCAGTGACCTGGGATTAAAGCAGCGCTGCTTCACATCTGCCTAATCGTGCATTAAATACAGCAAGGAAGGGAGGGGCATACCCAGATGGAGACTCACAATGGAGACTGTTTTGAGATGGAAGCAGAGAGAAATAGCTGTATTCACTTTCATCTAGAAGAAAAGAAAAGTGTTCTCATGAGTAAGAGCTGAGTGATTCTGAAATATTCCATGGACTTGAATTTTACCAATGAATAATTTTCATGTTGAATTCCTTGAGTTAATGGGACTTCAGAGCTGGCTGTGGACGTAGAGATCCCTTTGTCAGGCCTCTTCTATTTGCATCAGCAGAGGCAGCCTCAGGAAGATGGAGGAGTGTGCACCCCACAACAGGGCTGGCTCAGAGCTGAGAGGGAAACAGACCAGCTCTACTGACACCCAGCCAGGGGAGTGGACTCAGAACTGGACATGTATGAGACAAGGGTCTCCTGGCATGGTGGAGAGAGGAGGCTCCAAGCCTGCTGCCCCTGAAGCAATCACAAAATGGACAAGTGACCGAAATGACCATTCCAGTGCCCTGGCAGTGGACCAAAGCCTTCCACCAGGCTGAGGTGCACTTATTCATGACCAACGGCCAGGCTCTGGCTAAGGGCAAGGGGGCTCTGAGGCATTCCTGTTCGGGGTGACTCCTGCCTGCTGCCAGCATCCCTGCCCAGCTCTGGTGGTCGTCTGACAGGCCAGGGCAGCTGTGGATTGCCGACAGCTGTGCTGTTGAAGGGGCTGGCTGGACACTGTCTGAAATGAGCAGCCATCCCAGTGGTCAGTGTGCAAGTGTGGCAGGCTGTTCCATGAGTCTGAAACATCTGGTCTGGGTGTCAGCAGTGACAGACTAGCCGGACATTTAACCAGGAGATACAAGAAAGGGTCCCAGGAGATACAAGAAAGGCTCCTGCTAGGAGCCGCGTACAGGAGAGTGAAGATGGAAGCAGGCTCCGTAGACAGCAAAAGTGGAGCAGGCTCAAAAGCTCCCTGAACTTTGAATGCACCTCTGAGCCCACACACATCCATCAGCAGTGGGTGGGGCTTGACTGGGGCACAGTATTTGAGCACAAATTCTGACCCATCATTAGTTGACCACTGAGCTATGCAGATGCAGGGGTGACCCCAGGAAGCTAAGCTGAAAAAGAAATAACAACAATAAACCCCAGACAAGAGGAGCGAGTTCTCACTGGCTGCACACTGGAGGGGCAACAGAGGTCCCAGAGCTGGTCCAGGCAACACCTCAACCAACAGCAACAACTGCCCTCCTGGGGGAAGCCAGAAGCCAGAGGTGCCGCAACGTGCAACCTCACAGATCTGGTGTTACCTGGATACCAAAGCCAGATAAAGCCATCACAAGAACAGAGGATGACAGGCCAGTACTCCTCACAGCACAGATGCCAAAATCCTTCACAAAATGTTTGCAAACTGAATCTTGCAATATATAAAATGGATTTTGGTGACCAGGTGGGCTTCATCCCAAGAGTACAAGGTTGGTTTAACAACTAAAAATCAACTAAGGAGGTAAATAATATTAATGAATGAAGGGCAAAATCCATGTGATTATCTAAGAAGATGCAGAAAAAAGCATTTAACAAATCCATCATTCATTCAGGACTAAGGACTCTTAACGAGCCAGGAATGGAAGGGAATTTACTTAAGTTGATAAAGCCGTTTACCAAAACTTCTCAAATAACATCATAATTAATGCTGAAAGACTGATTGAGGGACAAGCCAAGGACGCCCACTTTTGCCATTGTTCTTCAACAAAGCACTGGAGGTTCTAGACAGCATGGTCACGCAACAGCAAAATTAAAGGCATCAAGATTGGAAAAGAAGTGAAACAATCTTTACTTGAAAATGACACCGTCCTGTATAAAGAAGATACTAAAGAATTCAGAAAAAAACGTACTGAGATAACAAACAAGTTTCAAAATGTTGCACAACAAAAGATCAACAGAAAAACAAATTGCATTTCTATGTATGAGCAATGAGCAATCTGGAAATAAAATTAGGAAAACAATTCCATTCACAAGAGCGTTGAAGGAATAAAATGTTTAGGAGTAAATCTAACAAAGAACACATAAGACTTGTACATGGAAAGCCACAACATATTGCTGAGAGAAATTAAAGGAGAACTAAATAAAGACATTCTATGTTTATGGTGAGAAGACTCAACATCGAGATGGCAGTTCTCCCCAAATTGCTCTGTAAAGCCAAGGCAATTCCTATCAAACTTTTAAAATAGAAACTGACAAGTTAATCCTAAAATATATAAGAAAATGCAAGGAGCATAAAATAACCAAAATAATTTTGAAAAGAACAACCTTGGAAGCCTTACTCTACCTTATATGGAAATTACTGCAAAGCCTTAGAGAATAAGACCGCGTATAGCGGTGTAAATAGAGGCATAGATATCCGTGGAATAGAATTGTGAGTTTAGACGTAAAACCTTACATATTTGATCCAGAGATTTTCAACAGAGGTGCAAATGCAAGTCAGTGAGGGAAAGACAGTCTTTTCAACAAATAATACTGGACCAATTCTACAAACATATGCAACATATGCATATATATTTTCTTATTGCACACCACTCACAAAAACTAACTCAAACTGGATTATAAATTTAATGTAAGAGATGAAATTAGCAATTCTAGAAGAAAATGTGGGATAGGTTGTTCATAATCATGGATTAAGCAAGGAGTTTTTAGGTACACAAATAGAGATATGATTCATAAAAGAAAAATGGATAATTTAGGCTTCATTAAAATTAAAAAGTTGTGTGCTTTAAAAGACATCATTAAGAAAATGAAACAACACAGCATAGACTCAGAGAATATATTTTTAAATTATACTTTATGTAAACAACTTACATCTAAAATACGTAAAGAACTCTTACAACTTGACGAGACCAATACCTGATAAAAATGGGCAAAAGCTCTCAATAGCCACGTCACGTAAGAAAATATGTCAATGGCTGAAAAGCACCTGAAAAGGTGTGCAATGCTACTAGTCATTGGGGAAATGCAAGTTAAATTTGCATTTATAAATGTAAATTGTAATGAGACACACTTGCAAACCTACAAGGCTGGCTATGATGAAAAATACAGGCAATATAGTGTTGTCATGAGTGAGGAGAAGTGGGCCCCCATGCATTCCTGGTGAGAATGTGAAATGGTATAGTCACTTTGGAAACTTGTTGGGCAGTTTCTTAGAAAGTTAAACATGTGCTTATAACATAACCCAGTGATTCACCCCCTAGACCCTCCCCAAGAGAAAGGCATACCTGTGTCCACACAAAAACTTGTACATAAATGTGCACACCAGCATCATTCATAATTTCTAAAACTGGAAACGATATAAATGTCCATAACTTGGTGACATAAATAAAATGCGGGATAGTCCTACAATGGGATACTGTTTAGCAACAAAAAGGAATGAACTGCTAATATATGCTAAACCTCAAACAGGTCAGACTCTCATACATTGTGGGTGAGAGCTCAAAATGAAGATGGAAAGTCAGATGCAAAAGGCTACACAACATGATTCCACTTCTAGGACATATCCGGGGCATCATGTGTGTAATTTATGAGACTGAAAAGAAAGCTAGGAGGTTTTCCGGGGCTGGGTTGTGGGACCTATGATTGACTGGAAATAGGTATGAGGGAACTTCTGGGGATGCTGGAAATGTCCTAAAACTGGTTTGTGGAGATGGTTGGACAAGTCTGTGGATTTACTAAAAAATCACTGCACTGCCCACTTTTTAAGGAAATGCAGATTATGCATCAGTAAAGCTATTAGTATTCAGACAGCATCAAGGTTAATATTTGGACATTAATATTTGGACAGAGGGAACCCCCCAGCTCTGTGGTGCTTGCGATAGCCCATCTCTGGGCGTCATTCTGTGGTCTGAGCAGAGTCTTAACAGCTTCTCGGGACTCCATCATCTCCTATTTGCCCTTTCTCCTTTTTCCTGGCACAAGTCACATGTTTCCCGTTATCTGAGGACAGCGCCTTTCAGGAGGCCCTGCCCGAGCCACCTGCCTCCCTGGCCAGTGTCCACCATGACTTCCATCACTGTCCTCCCTGGCGTGGCCAGAGAACAAGGTACCCAGCTTTGGTGCAAACCCTCTCATCGGCTTGTCTTTTCTGTCTTCTGTATCTGCCATCCACTTTCATCTTCCACTGGTTCTCTAAGGAAGTGCTGCCAGTGTTTTCTGTTATGAAACACACAACGCTATTTCTACACACTGGGGTGGACAAAGGAGGCATCTCTTAGCTGGAGGTGACCCGCCAGGGCACAGCTTCCCCATGTCACACTGGCCTGGCCCATCTAACTCCAGGAAGTCACAGCTACAGCTGGAGCATGACGCCACTGCACCCACAAGGGTGTCCTCCAGGATCCCCCCTCTGTCTGACAAGTGACTTGGAGCCAAAAGGGCAACTTCTCAAGGGACATGGACTCCCCTTAGTGTTAGAGCGAACTCACTTTGTGAGTCAGACAGCATTGCAGACAGCATTCAATTGTCCACGTTCCATCTTTAACTAGAAACTCTAAGATGCTATGAAATAAGCAGTTGTGAGAGGAGTTGAAATGTCAGCAAAGCCCATTGTGAGCTGTTCTGGGAGATGCTCTTGAGAAACACTTGCTATTTCCGAAAGGAAATGAGTCTGTTCCCGCCTTGGGTAACACACTCCCACCCCAGCACATACCTGGAGAGCCGCATATATTAATGCAGCTATCAGGGCTGCAATACCCCCAGTGCATTCAGCTTACATAGATCCCAGGGCCCACATGAAACTCACCGTGCACCCTTATCATGAGAATCACCGCTGAGAGTTGTCTGGGCACACTGAAACCTTTCAAAGGGAGGAATGACTTTTTTTTGTGTTTTTAAATATTAAAAACATTAAGACTAAGACTTCGCAAGAGCTGAAATTCCTCACCTGGATTCCCCTGGGATTGCTCTTGGCCACTTTTGTATTTAAATTGAATCTTCAAACATTGCAATTATTGGCTTTCCGCTTCAAATTTAATACATTTTGTAAAAGCAGCCTTTCTGGAATACAGATTCAGAGATGGATTTTCAAAGCCCAAGATTAAGCTAAGTCTAGACAGTGTGATATTTTGACAGAAAAGCATTAACATGCAGTTGTACATTCTGAGAGTTCAGTCACTTTTCTTTCTTAAGCACATTTTAAAGAAAGTCATCTGTCTAGGAGAGTTTGGAAGCCAGCCCTCCGTGGTGCAGCAGATCGGAGTTGATGGGATGTCTGTCTGTCCATGCAGCAGTTGTGCTTTGATGGACCTGATCCCTGAGGGCCTGCTCTGGGCACAGCTGAAGACGCTGGACCACAGAACACAACAGCGGCGTCAGAAGTGGTTAAATTTCACACCCTTCGCTTCTGAGTTCCCTGCGGCCGCACGGGCATTGATGGGCGGTTCTTGCACTGATACTCTCCTCTTCAGGTCCAGCCCTCCGAGATTATTAACCTCCCAGCACCTGAGCACATTTGAGTTCAATTTAGTGATGCTTTCCAGTATGTTCGCTTTGAAATGCTCCTGTCAGGCATGAGATAAATGTGTTGCTGCAAAATTGATCCAATTGCCTGAAACACTGGGGCTACTTCCTCCACGGAGGGTCACGTTTCACAAAGGCAACCTAGTCATCAGCATGATTACATCATTTTTATATTCAAAACAACTAGTTGAGGTTAATCACCTCCGCATCTCCACATTTGAGTAAGAAAAATTATTCAAATACAACATTTTGCCAGAATTTTTTAAGATGGACAATTGGATGTATAAAAATCTATGTCCTGTTTTAGGAAAGCTTAACATTCAGAGATGTAAACTCACAATCAGAAGCAGTTGTGCTTTGCTTCGTCTAAAAATTCTTTGGCTTAATTAGGACACCATCCAGCAGAAACAGCCCTAGTGGAACACAGCATCGGTTTAGAAAATGTGGCCAGGTGCGGTGGCTCATGCCTGTAATCCCAGCACTTTGGGAGGCCAAGGTGGGCGGATCACGAGGCCAGGAGTTCAAGACCAGCCTGGCCAACATGGTGAAACTCCATCTCTACTACAAATATAAAAAATTAGCTGGGCGTGGTGGCACGCATCTGTAATCCCAGCTACTGGAGAGGCTGAGGCAGGAGAAGTGCTTCAACCCGGGAGGCGGAGGTTGCAGTGAGCCAAGATCATGCCACTGCACTCCAGCCTGGGTGACAGAACAAAAAAAAAAAAAAAAAAAAAAAAGAGAAAAAGAAAATTTTAACTCTTTGACAACCTTGAGGCTGGAAATGACACCAACATACAGGGAGCCCTTATTATAAACTTTGAAACAGAGAGAGAGAGAAAGCTGATCTGAAGTTACAAATAAGCTTTGCAGATATCAGGGTTGCACAGGCCACACATGACACCCCGGCTCCTCCATGGGGTAAAACTAGAGTCCGTGTAGTCACTGGACCACAGCAGTCACTGCAAGCATCCCATTCTCTCCCATGAAGAACTGCGGTGGAGATGACCTCTGAGGCTTCACGCCAGGAACCTCCTGGTCCCCTGTCTCTATCCCGAGACCTCTCCAACCTCCCTACAGCTGCAGGATGATTATCTGCTTCCCGCACGGCAGTTAAAATGGGAGAGTCAGCTCCCGGTTTCATAACAGAGTCCTCATCACTCTCTATCTCAGTCATCTGTACAGACATTTTATCAAGAAGCATGCGACTTTTACTGCCAAGAGTTTGTTTTAGTGAAATTAATTGAACCCAATTATAATCTGAAGTACAATGTTTAGCCACAGTTTACATTTGCGCTGTTGCTTGCAATAGAGACATTTATACTGAGACAGAATGGCCGTTTGACAGTTGGTTAAAGATTTTAGAATAAGCAACTTCCACATAGGCGAAAGCATGTTAAAAGCCAGACAATTATGATAATGGGATGCATATTCATATTCCAGAATACCACACAGAAATGAACCAAAAAAGGCTTTTCTTTTTTTTAAAGCCAAGAACAAGCACAGGTATTTAAATCAAAGTAAAAAGTACTCCAGGAACCATCTGTACCAGGGGAAAAGCCGTAATGGGTACCGGGGCTTCGGATGATTAAAGGTTCTCAGCATATGGGGAGCGACCAGTTACTGAGGGACTGGCTCTGCCGGCAGCTGCCACATGGTGCAAATTACAGAGGCAGGCGAGGCTGGGGAGGTGAGCATGGGCTGTGCTGCTCCCGATGCCCTCAAGGAATCTGGGCCAGGCCAGTGGCTCACGCCTGTAATCCCAGCACTTTGGGAGGCTGAGGCAAGAGGAGTTTCCAAGAGGAGCCCAGGAGTTTGAGACTAGATTGGACAGCATAGTGAAAACTCCTCTCTACAAAAAAATTTTAAAAATCAGCTGGAAGGGGTGCCAGACGCCTGTGGTCTCAGCTACTTGGGAGGCTGAGGCAGGAGGATCACTTGAGCCTGGGAGGTCGAGGCTGCCGTGAGCTATGATCAAGCCACTGCACTCCAGCCTGGGCAACAGAGTGAGACCTGACTCAATAATAATAATAAAAAGAAATCTGAAAAAAGACCATTTTGACTATAAACCAAACACCAAAATGAGTACTTCAAACTTTTAATCCCGACAGCGCCCTCTGGACGTAGATGTGGGTACTACAAACTGCACGGATGGCGGTTCAAACTGAGGCCGTGGGAGGGGCCGAGGGAGAAGCATGAGCAAGCTGGCGCAGCTCTTCCGTGACAGGCGGGGCTTGCCTGCAGCAGGGGGCAGGGTCGCACTGAGCTTCTGGGCTGTCAGGGTCCAGTGAGTCTGGCACGTGCATCTCAGAGCTAGGGACGAGCCTTCACCCGCCACAGCCCAGTTGGATTGAGCTCCGCTATCTTAACTCCCCACAAAGCGTGATTCCGGCCTTGAGAGCCTGGGGGCTGAGGAGCCGATACCCCTAAGGGCAGTCCCAGCTGTGGTGGGTGGAACTCCAGGCAGGGAGGAGCGGGAGGAGCACAGGGGTAGTGAGCACCCCAGGCCGGGGAGGTGGCGCGAGTCAGGGCTGTGCATTTGGAAGACACAGCACTGCCTGGGAGGGAAGAGTGATTGGCAGCTGGAGGTCATGTCCTGGCTGGCATGCTCCAGGGGGTCCCGGGGCACAGGGCAGGGGCGGAGCAGGAAGCCTGCAGTCTGTGGAGCATCCCGGCGCTTCCCTCCACCCGGGAGTCCGGGCAGCACGGCGGAGAGTCAGCGACACTGTGCTCCATCCTCCGGCCATCAGTGGCTGCTTCTTCCCAGGGCATGGGAGTGCCAGCGGGGCCCAGAGCTTACAATGGCAGCTGGTTCAGAGGCCAGAGGGGCCGGGGAGGAGCGCCGCTGCAGAGTTCAGAACCTGTCCCTGCTCTGGGCCTCCCCTCAGGGCCCAGGCCACTGCAGCCCCGCCTTGCAGGGTCCTGTGAAGGTCATGGCGTCTGCAGGGGAAGGCTGAGCAGAGCTCCCAGCTAAGCGGTCAGTCGGGCAGCCTTCGTCATTGCCAGGGTCTGGCTGCTGGTGCTCCGCCTACACCCCCTCCCCTCAGCGCCATCCACCTCCCGCCTCTCTGCGCCTCCAGAGCAGGCCGTTCACAATAGTCTGCATCACGCGATGGCGCCAGGCCACCCGGCTTTGCTCTCTGCGGTCTACGTGCGAGTTCTGGAACTGGCTCAACCCTGCAGATGGGACGGGGCCGTCTTTTCCTTACTCTGGACTAGCATGTGTTCTCACAGGGACACCAGCCTTCCTCTCCTAAATGTGGGAGGCCCTCGGTGCTCACGGCTCTGCATCCACTGGCTTCCCCGTTTCGAACAGGAGCACATGTCTGCACCTGGACACCTGGATGCTGCTGAACACGGCTAGGCTGTGTCCCCACCCAGAATCTCTTCTTGAATTGTAATCCCTGTAATCCCTATAATGCCCAGGTGTCAAGGGAGATTGAATCATGGAGGTGATTGAATCATGGGGCGGTTTTCCCCGTGCTGTTCTCCTGATGGTGAGTTCTCGGGAGGTCTGATGGTTTTCTAAGTGAGTGTTTGGTAGTTCTTCCCACATCATTTTCCTTCCTGCTGCCTTGCTTTCCCTTCAGCTTCCACCACAATTGTAAGTTTCCTGAGGCCTCCCCAGCCATTCCTCTCGTGCAGCCTGCTGAACTGTGAGTCAATTAAACCTCTTTCCTTTATAAATTACTCAGTCTCGGGCAGTTCTTCATAGCAGTGTGAAAATGGACTCATACACTGTCTCAGGATGGCATCCAGGCAGCAGGGACATTGAGGCCTCAGTTGGCTCCAGGAGGACGCAGAAACTTCCTTGTTTTGCCATGGCTGAAGGCACCAGACCTACCTACAGGGCTCAGTGGGGGAGCTCACCCTAAACTTGGAAAATAACGTAATGTGGTTGGCACAATTGCCCAAGAGAAGAGACACTGGAATGATAGCGGCTTAAGAAGTGAGAATACAAATGTACACAGCATGATGTTTCTAAAAAACGACTGAAGTACTTTTCTTTTAGCCTTTTTTAAATGCATGAGTTTTTCCTTGGTGATCGTAAGGCGCCTCTGTCTTGAGTTGCACTGAGTGGTAGGAGAATTAGGGTTTTTTTACAGAAAGAATGTAAAGAAAGCACAGTGTTAATGCACAGCTTCAGATATTCAAAATAAAACTGTGCAATTAGACAAAATGCTTGAAAGCCATGAATTGCCAGAAACAGCAAGGATTTTCTAATGTTAGTTCTGAATTTATGGTGGTGGGGGGTGGGGCAGGGCCCAGGCTTGATTGGTGCAGGTCCCAGGAGTCCTCCCATGCCTGGTGTGGGCATTCTCTCTGCTCTTGGTTCCTGCCCTCCTCCGGGAGGAAGTCGAAGGAAACCTGCGTCTCTGGATGGGGTTGTGATGAAGAGAAGGAGCCTGTGGGGGTGGTGGAGGTCCCAAGGTGGGGCCTCACTAGAGGAGGGAGAGGTGCATCCTCTCAGCGGGGCCTCCTCTTGGGCCTCTGGGCAGCCCACAGCTGCAGAAGCTGGCAGCACAGGGAGCAGGGAGCTTGCCCATCTGTGCCTTCCTCAGCTCCTGGTCACTGAAAACTGCCTGGAGAGGTGGCCGGCCTTTTGTGGGACCTGCTGCTGGAGTGGGAGTGAGGAGGCCCCAAAGCAAAGGCAGTGGGGGGTCCCTTGGGCGGCTGGCTGTCAGCTTCCTCTCTGGCTGAGATAGTTGAGGGAGTCACATCATAAATGAAGGATCTCTGGGCATTGGGGAGCCCTCCCCCAGCAGTGCTGTGAGGTCAGGAAGGCCCTGAGCCCCAAACACCCAGGTGCCACTTTGAGAGGAGCAGGCTGATGGTGGGGCTGGGACCCAAAATACCTGCATCGCCTGGAGAGACACGTCCATCCTTGCCTTGGACGGCTTTACCCTGATTGAGCTAAACAAGGTCAATACTTACGCCCCATTTCTCCAGCAGGGGATTTTGAGGAAGGCCAGCCCAGCTGTGGACCTATCTTCCAGATTCTAGAAGAACTGAAGCCAAATGCCCTGTTTTAGGCCTTAGTCCTTCAAGCACTCAAGCACATCCAGTGATTTTTTATCTCTCCTGGGGAAAGGATAGAAATAACAAATTATAACTGTAAAGTATTAATCTTAAGAGGTTCCACCAAGATATGCCCTTTACTTTTTTTGTTGTTGCTGTCATTTATTTTTGAAATGGGGTCTTGCTCTGTCACCCAGGCTGGAGTACAGTGGCGTAATCATAGCTCACTGTAGCCATGACCTCCTGGGCTCAAGTGATTCTCCCACCTTAACCTCCTGAGTAGCTGGGGCCACAGGCATGCACCATCACACCTGGCCAATTAAAAAAAATTTGTAGAGATGGGGTCTCACTATGTTGTCCAGGCTGGTCTTAAACTGCTAGACTCAAGTGATCCTCCCATCTCAGCTTCCCAAAGTGCTGGGATTACAGGCATGAGCCACTGCAACAGGTCTTGCCCTTCACTTTCCTCTTTTTTTTTTTTTTTTTTTTTTTTGATGAAGTATTGCTCTGTTGTCCAGGCTGAAATGCAGTGGAGCTATCTCGGCTCACTGCAAATTCCGTTTCCTGTGTTCAAGCAATTCTTCTGCCTCAGCCTCCTGACTAGCTGGGATTACAGGTGCCCACCATGACATCTGGCTAATGTTTTGTTTTTTTAATAGATTTGGGGTTTCACCATGTTGGCCAGACTGGTCTTGAACTCCTGACCTCAGGTGATCTATCTGGCTCGGCCTCCAAAAGTGCTGGGATTACAGGCATGAGCCACCGTGCCTGGCCCACTTTTCTTATATAAATTTTACATTGATGTGATGGAGTGTGTGTGCACATGTGTGCATGTGAGCATGTGTGTGCCTGTGTGTGTGCACATGTGTGCATGTGAGCATGTGTGTGCCTGTGTGTGTGCACATGCACACCTTCTCCTGTTACAGCTGCATGGCTGGGTGGGGCTGGTTATCCACAGAACCACCTCTAATGAGACAAGGAAAGCGACTGGCTCTCATGGCTGCCAGTCATTTCTGACTTTGGGAAGCAACTTGAAGGCTGCAGGCTGATGCCTAGTTTTGGACGAAATTGCCTGTGTCCTGCAGGACACAGTCCCCAGGGGAGGACTGAGCTGCTCACACATTTGCTGAAGTAACTCCCACCAGCTAAAAGCTCAAATGCCAACGCCCGTGTCGGACCTGCCTGTTGGGAGTGTTGTTTTGGGTAGAGATTAATCAAGCCCGGTGTTCAGACTTCCCTCGGTGTTGCTGATTTTAGAAGAGTCTGATGATATCTTGCTTGATTTTATCATGACCTTAAAACAATCTCAAGGAAACTGCATTTTCTCTGCACATAGAAGAAGCAGGAGGTGAGCTTGCGGCCTCATTCTATGGCTTTTTTTAAAATCGGAGTCTCGCTCTGTCATCCAGGCGGCTGGAGTGCAATGGTGCAATCTTGGCTCACTACAACCTCCACCTCCTGGGTTCAAGCAATTCTCCTGCCTCAGCCTCCCAAGTAGGTGGGATTACAGGTGCCTGCCACCACACCCAGCTAATTTTTTATATTTTTAGTAGAGACGGGGTTTCACTATGTTGGACAGGCTGGTCTCAAATTCCTGACCTCATGATCCGCCCGCCTTGGCCTCCCAAAGTGCTGGGATTACAGGCATGAGCCACTGTGCCTGTCCCATTCTCTGGCGTTTTAAGATCATTTGAGATTCTTATGAAACAGATGTTTGTGTTTCAAATACCAGCAAAATTTCAAATAACATTTGAGAAACAGCAGGATGTATGGTGTTGCCAACTTTTATTTTCCTGAGGAGGAGCAAGCACTGAAGAAGTGGACAGCCGCACACTCCTACGACTCCCCCAAGACCGGCAGACCCCACAGAGCAGAAGTGACATGGGCTGGGAATAGGAAACAGCTCTCCAGATGAATTAAACCCACATGGAAACAACAACAGAAACAATTGAATCACCATATTGTCCTCATCTTTCTGTTCTGGAGACAAGAATCCTACCAGGGACCCCGGGCAGGAAGTTCCATAGCACTCCCTCCCCACAACCAGGCCAAGGGTGTGTTTGGTGTTCCAGGACGCCCCCAGCATCCCCCTGCCCTGACGACCACTCTCACTGAATGTGCTCTGCAGCCGGGGGCAGGCAGAAGCCTTGGTGGACACTGCGGGGAGGTGGCAGAGGGGCCCAAGAAGTGGGGCCCTGTGGGCACCCAAATCCTCCAGTGATCCCAGAGCAGAGAACATGACAAAGCCCAGCACCCAAAACCATGGGAAGCCCAGCAAACAGCCAAAGTCCAGGGAGCAAGACTGCCGCTGTGCCTGGCGTGGACTCGCCATGTCCTGCGGGGCACCCCTGGGATGGGAGCGGCCTGCCTCGTGGAAAGACCCCAAGAGCCCCTGAGTGTCCCGCACCCCCCGCAGGGACTCGCGGTGACCAGGCCTCGGTTATTCACAGGGAGCTTTACCTTTGGGTTAGAATAATCTTAATAATCTTGCGCTTTGTTTTGTCTTCTTCTTCTCTTTTTTTTTTTTGTTTGTTGTTTGTTTTGTTTTGTTTTGTTTTGAGATGGAGTCTCTCTGTCAGCAGGCTGGAGTGCAGTGGCGCAATCTCGGCTCACTGCAACCTCCGTCCCCCGGGTTCAAGCAATTCTCCTGCCTCAGCCTCCCAAGTAGCTGGGACTACAGGTGCGTGCCACGACACCCAGCTAATTTTTGGTAGAGACAGGGTTTCACCGTGTTGGCCAGGATGGTCTGGATCTCTTGACCTCATGATCTGCCTGCCTCGGCCTCCCAAATTCTGGGATTACAGGTGTGAGCCACCGTGTCCAGCCCCTTTTTCAGTTTTCTATCTGGACAGGCAAGGAAAAAAAAGGCTGAGAGCCTATTGGGACCCTCTGAGCAGGAGGTGCACGTCATAATCTCCATGGCCTCTTGGGCAAAGCGACACTGGGGCTGGCCCTCCCAAGGATCTGGCCTGTTTCTTGAAATCAGGGTTGGTGAATCCAGAAGGACAAGCACACATGTCAAATCGAATGTTTCTGCGGGACACCTTGTGTGTGTTTCTGCAACGCCGCATTGTGGGTTTGGAGGGTCACCCAACAGCAGCGTTGGTGTGAGCTGAATCCTCCGGTGTGTGTTATAGCCGTCTGTGTTTCCGCACGCGTCTGCAAGCTGTATTATGTCTGCGTTTTCACTTCCACTTTATTTTTAGGAAAGTATCATATTGCAGAGAATTTAGAAATGTAGACGTATGAGGAATGGAGTTTTCCCTATATCGTGTTTCATGTTAAAAAATAGAAATTTAAAAAATTAGCTGAATTCTTAATGTTGCATTTAGCTAACACATTTCTTTCAAGAACCTCAAAGCTCAATGCCAGTATTTAAATATAGGTTTTTTTTTTTTTAATCACTTAGTAAAGTGTGAATGCATGTTACAGAGGCTCGTGCCGTACTCTTCCTTTGTGTGGTGATAACACCATTCTGCTGTCACTATTTCTGTGGAACATTGCTTGTTGTTTGGGCTGTGAGAAAAGAAGCTGAATGGAATTTTTGAGAGGAAGCTGAAGTTCATGCACCAACTCAAGTCATCTGTGAGATTTCTCAGAAAGGAAGCACTTTGTGCTATTGACTGAAGGATTGACTGATTCCTTGATCTGGACATGAGGTTTACATATCTAAGCTTCGAGGCTTAGTCAACAGTAGAGGCCAAGTCCCTTTGGGATTAGTATGAGTCTTTTATATGATTTACTTTTATGAAGACACAGCCTAGCCCAGCAGATCCATAAGCAGCTTTTCCCTAGAACACAAAACTCACTAGCATATTATAGAAATTCAATATAAATGATAAATAATAACATACTTCTTTTAACAGTTATAATTATGTAACTTTATATTCTAAATTATGTATGCTGACAATGATAAATCGTATAAAATGCACAGTGGTTTATGTCTTAGGGTTGGAACTTTTTTCCTTTCCTCCCTGACTGACTGCAGTGTCCTCAATGCTAAAATAGGGCTTACTGAGGTAGCTGCTTAAAACTATCTGCAGAATGTTTTAAGCTCCCTTCTGTGGCAGCTTTCAGTCCACACTCGATGACTGATTAATAAGTCACCAGCTCTGGAAGGCAGATACCTCTTACTAATAACTTCTAGCATCATGGACAATGACTTCACTCTTGTGAACTTGGGGCCTGTTTGTCCAAGTCTTCCTACAAATTTGGTGATCACCAAACACATTGATTATATTTGAGTCTCTATCTGGAACTTTGTTAATTGTTTTTCCTTTTTCCTTTCTCTCTCTTTTTTTTTTTTCTTCTGAGGTGGAGTCTCACGCTCTCATCCAGGCTGGAATGCAGTGGAGCCATCTCGGCTCACTGCAGTCTCCGCCTCCTGGGTTCAAGCAATTCTCCTGCCTCAGCCTTCCCGATAGCTGGGACTACAGGCACTTGCCACCCTGCCTGGCTATTTTTTTTTTTGTATTTTTAGTAGAGATGGGGTTTTACCATGTTGGCCAGGCTGGTCTTGAACTCCTGACTTCAAATGATCCACCTGCCTCAGCCTCCCAAAATGTTGGGATTACAGGCGTGACCCACCGCTCCTGGCCAGTTAATTCTTTTTCTTATTAAATTGCAGTGTCATGAAGATGAAAGGGGTGGAGGCACGTCCTGCATATGGCATTCCAGAGTTTCCTTTAGAGTTTCTGCAAAACCCCAGGAAGATTCCAGGTGTCAGCCTGTCCAAATTTCCCATGAGTAACGTCAGGTTTGGGTTTACTGGAGAGAGAGAGGGCTAGAACCTGTGAAAGTTATGTGGTCACACAAGGCTGGGGGGATTCCAGCTCCAACAACGATCCACCGATCGTTGTTACCTCCCTGTAACGTGCCAGCACCACACACGCACGCACGTACACACTGAATTCTTAACGCCTTATCCAAAACTCCCTTCCATCTTTCTATTATGCTATCTATCTTGATAATTTTTTGATCTCACTTACACAGCCTGAATCCCCAAATGTGCCTTGCCAGCTGGCATGGCATTATTGAGCCATCCATCATGATGGTGACATTGCCACTAACTAACTAGCAGCAGTTGCAGATGGTGCCAATGCGTTCTCGGAGACCCAGGCCAAGCAAATTATATCACACTCGGTTTTTTTCATGGTCTTTCCTTATTTGGTTTTGAAAATGACAGGATATCAACCAATGTATTCTCTAATTCCAAAGACTCATAAGGTCGGGAGGGTTCATCTTCTCATTAAAGATGAATGGCATTGACATTTGAACAGATCACTTCCAATCAGTCCTGAGGACTCCACGCGGGTGAATATTAAAAATCTTTTCCGTACACTGCAGCCCAGCCACACCTGTATGGATGTGTGATTTAAGGAGGGAAACTGCCCTTGTGCATTGCTTCCCCCTTTGCTGGCTCTAACACAGAAAGTCCATTTTTCTGTCCTAGCCTCTTAAGGCAGCTGCCAAGAGCCAGAGTTGAAGTGGTCAAGGTTCTAGTGAAGGTTTTCATGGAGATGTGGAGAAGATCCCCCATGAGCTCAGCCCTCCCCGGGAAGCCCGCCGTCCTTCCCGTCTCCCCACCCCATGTTATCTGCTAGACCATCTTACCAACCAAAGCCTGTAGCTCCAGGGCACCCGCCCACCTGCACGGAACAGCCCCCACATCTCACTGGGCATTTGAGCCTAACCTGTGTTAACGAGTCTCAAAGGTTGAAGGACTGTGTTGAACGATGATGGCATTATTCATTCTCCTTAGAGACATTTATTGAACAATATAGTGTCAATTGGTTTCAGGAACAAAAACCGATTTTAATTGCCGCCCCAGAGGATGCTGAAAGAAGTCCCCATTTCATCCTGGGAGCGATACCCCTGGTTCCCTTCTCCAGTGCTCAGATTCCAGTTTCAAAAGCTCTGTCTGCTCCACTGTGTGTCTGTCTGTGCAGTGGTCCTGTGGCTGCCGTGACAGTGGAGAAATTAAAGAACATGAAAGAGGGAGCCCAGCCATTCCACTGTGGTTGGCTAGTCACACAGATGCCTCAAAGCCCAGGCCCTGTGCATTCTCCACACTCTGCAGCGGTGAGAAAACTGACACTCGGGTGGCTGTTTCCCCAGTTTCCTGCACTTACAGCCTGTCACCTTTCCCGGGAGCCTGACTCCTCCATGCAGCCTGCTGTCCTGGAACCTCCACCGTGCTGGTTCCATTGCAGCGGTGGAATCCCCTCTGTTTCAACCTAGTGAAGACTCCCCGAGCAGCAGTCAAATTTGGTGCTTTCGTGGGAAGGCTCTTGCATTCTGAGTTGTAAAAGTTCTCAAAGGAGAGATCTCAACCACAACCCCATTCCAGCTCTGCACATGCGCAGTCTCATATCCTGGCTTCCAGCCTGTGCTTTGCTGGCACCATATCCTGAGTTCCCGGGTCATCAGCCACTGTGCTTCCGTCCTTCAACCCAGGCTCCACAAACATGTGTCATTTGATTCTGTGCGCAGGTTTCCATCTCACCCCTGTGTGCTCACCTGAGTGCAGGTATCCACTAAACCCCTGTGAGCTCACCTCAGTGCAGGTTTCCATCTCACCCCTGTGTACTCACCTGAGTGCAGGTATCCACTAAACCCCTGTGTGCTCATCTCAGTGCAGGTCTCCCCCACACCCCTGTGTGCTCACCTCAGTGCAGGTATCCACTAAACCCCTGTGAGCTCACCTGAGTGCAGGTCTCCCCCAAACCCCTGTGTACTCACCTGAGTGCAGGTCTCCATCTCACCCCTGTGTGCTCACCTCAGTGCAGGTCTCCCCCACACCCCTGTGTGCTCACCTCAGTCTAGGTCTCCCCCACACCCCTGTGTACTCACCTGAGTGCAGGTATCCATCACACCCCTGTGTGATCTATTATAGCCTCTATGACAGCCCCTTGTGCTCACCTGTGTGCAGGTGGCTCTGTGCCAGTGAGGGTCAGTCCCCTGTGGGTGTTTGTTGAGTGAAGGACACAGCCCTTCTGTGGTTTTGCTGTTGCCCTCCACATTGATGCCCTGCTGGGGTAGGCAGGCATGGGCCCTGGGTCTTCCTTCTGCCACTGTCAGCCTCCTAGGTGGATGAGTGTACAGTGACTGTGCCTGACAGCAGCACCTGGAGCCCAGTGTGAGAATGACCCTGGATGGCAGGTGCACCTGAGTGCGGTTCAGCGTTGTGAGTTAAGGAATCCAGGAGAGGCCAACCTGGAGATTTTTTCCTTCCCTGTGAGGAACATCTGAGCCCCCAGCCTGTCCCTTGGGTTGCGGGTTGTACAGGGGATCGAGACCCTTTGTTTTGGGGTAAATGAAGGCTGCCGGGTGGAGGTTGTTTGGGGAGGGTGCTGAGTTGTCACGATTCTCCTGCCCAGCCTGCTGGACTCTCTCCCCTGTCTGTAGCCCCCAGTGAAACACCATGTCTCCTTTGCTGGCCCTGGGTCTCTTCTCCAGCCTCTTGAACCTGGTGCCATCCCTACTGGAGTTGATAGGGTCACAGGAGTCTCTTACTTCTCCATTCTAGAGAACTGTGGTGGACATTCAAAAGGTGTAGGGAGATGTGGCCCATGGCACCAGGAGTCCACGGCATGGTGTGAAAGTCAGGGCTTCTCCAAAGAAGGAGGAGGACATGGAGGAGGAGAGGGAGGGGGAGAGGGAGGAACGAGAGGAAGAGGAACTGTCCATGGCAGGACATGGTGTGGTCACAACCTTGCCTCCGGCACCTGCGCGGCTGCTGTGGGCTGAGCATTTGGCCATCTGGGCCCTGTGGGCTCCACCTTATAGCCCCATTCTTCCAGCCTCCAAGGAGAAATTCAGTAACAACATGGTGGGGACACAAGTTTTCAAAAGCGCTTGTGGAAGAGGTGGTCCCATCCCACCTGAAGAATGGGGAGAATCGGATCCTGGTCCCAGGCAGTGGGCGGTGGGCGGCGGGCAGTGGGCAGGTCCGCTGGACCTCGGAGTGTGGCTTCTACTGGAGACACCAGCTCAGCCTCTGCCCTGGGACTTCTGTTTAAAAATGCAAACCACACAGAATCCATTACCTAAAACCTTCCACTTTGCATTAAAAAGTATAATTAAGAGTTTTAATGAGTTCGTGTGGAGCTGCAGGTGAGTGTCATTAACACATCTCAGGGCTGCAGCTGGAACTTTTAAATGGCAATTTCTTTCTTCTGCACTGGGTCTGATCAACTATAGACATTAAATTTTTTCCAATTTAAAGTTGAACGTCAAATAATAAAATTAGCTATGTTTGTTTTTAATCTGAGGAATTAGAGCCCGAAGTTTCAGATCAGACTCAGGCTCTGATAATCAGTGATGGGAGTCACAGGCTCTGAAAGAAAGTGAAGAAATGCAGGTGGCAAGGCAGACCAAACAGGACTGAGAGGGCCGAGGCCGCTCCAGGAACATTATCTGACATAACATTGTATTTATACCTATAATTGGTAAAGAGTTCAAAAATCACTTCTGGGCCAGGGCGGTGGCTCACGCCTGTAATCCCAGCACTTTGGGAGGCTGAGGCGGGCAGATCACGAGGTCAGGAGATCGAGACCATCCTGGCTGACACGGTGAAAACCCGTCTCTACTAAAAATACACAAAAAATTAGCCGGGCTTGGTGGCCGGCACCTGTAGTCCCAGCTACTGGGGAGGCTGAGGCAGGAGAATGGCGTGAACCTGGGAGGCAGAGCTTGCAGTGAGCCGAGATGGTGCCACTGCACTCCAGCCTGGGTGACAGAGCCAGACTCTGCCTCAAAAAAAAAAAAAAAAAAAAAAAAATCACTTCTGGGGAAGGGAGACGGAAGGAGGCAGAGGGAAACACTGTATGATATGGGCCCTGACACTTCATGCCTTAGCATCTCATACCCCAGCAGGACCATCCTCAGCCGGCCATGCGGGCACCACAACACCAGCAGGGACAGGGCTCTCAGAAAGAGGAGCCCACCTTGAGAGGCTTCCCACGCCTGGGCCAGGCTTCCCGTGTGTACTGGAGGATGCATCCCAGATCAGTCAATCTCTCGCTCTTGCACTCACACACACACCGTCCACATAAAAGAAATCAAGAAATCAGGAAATCAAGTTAAAAATACAAAAGATAGCTAAATGTGCAAGAAGACATTACAGTTAAGAACTCGAGTTTAAGTGACTTTGTATTTCCTTCCTTGTTTCATTTTCAATCTCATAGCAGCAGGGAGCCATCCCTGCACAGCTGGGCAGCTCACCTGTTGGTGCTTAAACACTGAGATGCTTCTGCCCCTCCCAGGGGTTCTCACCTCCATCCTGGTTCTCACCTCCAAGGGGTTCTCACCTCCAAGGGAGCCTCATCTCCATCCTGTGCTTACTCCGGGCTCTTGACGTCTTTGTCTGGCCCTCCAGACCCTGATGTGTTTGGGGGCAGGTCCCGATGACCAACCTCTGCATCCTCGTCACTTTGCACCATGCCTGGTGCCCACTGAGCCCTCATTCAATGCTGCCTGAATAACGGCTAGGAAAACTCAAAGAATAAATTGAGCCCACACAAGTGCATTTTCCATGCAATTAAAGCTCTTTCCTTATTACTCAAGCTTATGTACTTAACTATCTTTTTTTTTTTTACAACTGCAAAAGAAAATCTTTCAGACTTTCCTGCCTTCCTAGGAGAGCTGCCCAGCTTGTTAGACACCTCCACCTGGATGCCAGCATGAACCTGATTTCCACATGCACAAAACTCACTCCCTCAGCCCCTCCCTCCCCTGCTTCCTCTCTCCATCACCTGGCTCCATCGCCCCTCTCCCTCTCTGCCTCCACCTCCCATCTGTCCCGTGGAGGGTCCGCACTACTTTCCACCAGCAGAGGTGGGGAGTGTGGCTGCAGCCACAGATTCCTGCCTCCAGCTGCGGGGGGTTTAGCCAAGGGCAGGCATCTGCGGGCAATGGAGTGAGAGGAGGAGAGAGCTGGCCTTCCTCCCTCTCTCCTTTTCCCCCTTCCTTTCTTCCTCCTTCCTTCCCTCCCTCTGTCCCTTTTTCTTTCCTTTTCCCTCCATCCTTTCCCTCCTCCTTACTCCTTCCCTCCCTCCTTTATTCCACCTTCCTTCCAGCTGGGTTAGTATGGGTGACTCAGCTCCCATCCCAAAGACTGTAGTGCCTTTAGGTGATCCTCTTCTGGCAGTGCCCAGGACAGGAGGGACCCGGAAAGATCCGACGGGCACATCCCGTTGTCGCTGACCAGGCGATGCTGGGTAGATGGCAACAGGGAGCAGGTGGCGCCTGCAGCACGGCAGAGTGCCTGGGTGAGGGCACACGGCAGGGCAATGAGGGTGGGAGGAGCTGGATGCATAATCTCGGGGTCCTGGTGCAAAATGACAACGTGGGGTCTCCCATTCAAACATGGCTGAGGCTTTCCTGATGATGCACAGAGCATTAGGTCAGTGGCGGGCATCCTGAGCTCGGGGCCCTGCCCCACTGTGAGGGTCACGTGTGCATGGGGCCGGCCCTGTGGGCAGAATGACAGCTACTCACCAGCAAGGTGTGGGCATCGGGGGTGAGCAGGAGCGCCTGGCCTGGGGTGGAGGGGGCGTCTGGGTCAGGCTCAGGCCCCTCCCTCTTCCCTCCCTGCTGACCGGTGACGACCACTTCGGAAGCGGCTGTGCCCCTGGGAACACCCTCACAGATTCCCAGACCTGCTCCTTCACGCAGTATCGCCTCTCAGCCAGGAGCCTGCGCTTCCCAGCTACCTTCCTCAGCAATGGGGTAGGTGCAGGCGGCTGGGCTGGAGCCGGCTCCTCCGTGACCTGACTCCCTGGCTCTCGGGTCATGTCCAGCTCCAGCCCCTGGCTGCCACCTGTGCCCTTCCTGCGGGGGCCTACAAGGTGCTGTTATTCAGGCTGAGCGGGAGGGCAAAACATGGTGCCCAGCTCACGCTCCCTAATTCCCACTCAGCTAAGGTCTACGGTGGACTCTGAAAGCAATTATACATGAACTATCACTTTTCCATTTTGAAATTTATTGCATTTTAAGCTGTCTTTTGATTAAAAATATCTCGATAGCATTTTCACTGGTGGCGAAGTCATAGATCAAGAGGGTTACAGCGTATTTCTAACTTCCTAGGAAAACCTACTGGATGACTCAAATAGCTCAGATGATAGAGACAAGAGTTTTGTCTTCTTATAGAGCAGCATAAAAAATGAGACCCCTTGCCTGCTGCTCCCACAAATAAGCCATGATTCTGAAGGCATCGAGGACTTTGGGCAAGGGTTCTGATCGTGGCCATTGGTTTAGGACTTACTTTCTGATGTTGCTGGGGTTGGGCTCTGTGTGACCAAGGTGAACACTCAGCTCTTTCTCTTAGATGATATGTTTCCCGTTTTTTGATTTTTTAAGAACTGTTTTAAGCTGTAATTTTGGGTTAGACATGTAAGAAAAGGAGGCATCTAAAGGAGACTGCAGCGCCCAGGTGAGGAGGCCCTGGTGAGTGTCCCAGGCATGACTCCACACCTGCGTGGCCCTCAGCTGCACCCAGCCGCTCTCCCGGTGGGAGGGAGCCCTTTCCCTTCTGGAAGGCTCTGTCCACCACACGGGCCTGAGAGGACCCTGGAGAAGCCTCCTCCCCAACCCAGACACAGCCACTGCCCTGGCCAGGGGAGCTGTGTCCACCACCAACAGGAAAAGAGCCTGGACTTCAGGGCCTTTTAACAAATACTTAGTAACATCTAAATTTAGAGGTATTATATTGTTGAAGGGCCCTTATTTTGACTCTAATTAAACACAAATTTAAGTACCAACCATGGGAAGAGCCTTTTTCCAGAGTCTGCTTCCATCCCCAGAAAAGCCCTATGGGGCTGACTTTGCTGCCCTGAGTGGGCAGTGGCGGCTGCCAGGATTCCCAGGTGGGAAGCCCGTGTTCTTTCACCAATGGAAGCCCAAGGATGCTGCTCCTAGGAGGAAGCTGGAAGCAGGTGGGGGCAGAGCAGGCTCTGCTGGGGGTGCTGGGGCCTGAGCTGGGGGCGCTGGGGCAGAGAGCACAGGTGGAGGCAGACCCTGGGGCCGGATGCTGGGCTCAGACAAGAAGCTCAGCCTGCAGAGGGGGTCACCAGCTGCTCTCACACCAAGGAAAGACCTGAGCCTGTTGCCCTTTCAAACGCCTAAAAGTTTGACAGCAAGGTGAGCCCCAGGGAGTTGCCCATAAACATAAATAAGTCAGGGAGGCTTGTGAAAGTGACACTGGGACCAGTGCTGCTGCCCAGCCCATGTCACCAGCAGGGAGTCCCTGCCAGGAAATGTACCAGGCCTGGGGCCTGGCAGGCACCCCTGGAATACAGGCTCAGTCTATGCATTAATGAATGAGTAAAAGGTTGGGCATTCTGATGAATGAATAAAAGGATAGACGAATGAGTGAAAAAATAATAAAAAGAAAGTACATAAAAGGCTGTTTATTAATAGAGCATAAATGAATGCAAAAAAGAAAGGAAGAAGGCAGGAAGGGAGGGAAAGAGGGAGGGAGGGTGGAGGGAGAAGGGAAGAGAGGAGGGAAGGAAGGGAGGAGGAAAGAAAGGAAGAGAGGGAGAGAGGATGAAGGAGGGAAGAGAAAGGAAGAAAGGGAGGGAGAGAGGAAGGAAGGAAGGAAGGAAAGAAGGAAGGAAAGGAAGAAGGAAAGAAAAGAGGGGAAAGGAAAGGAAAGAAGGAGGAGAGAGCAGGGCCGAGGAGCACTTCCCAGCCCCGCTCTGAGGACACTGTGGTGGCCCCGGGGGGACTGTCTCCAGCCTCCAGCCTCTGTCCAGGGGCACTGGTGCCTGCAGCAGCACCCCGCCTGTAATCCCGACGAGATCAACCTGCATTAGTGCTCTGCAGAACACTTTGTCCTTGGGCAAAGGCGGGAGCAGTCTCTTCTCTGAATCCTGCCTGAGAAGCCAGGCTGTCCTCATTTCCTTGTTTCTTTGTGGCAAGAGAGGTCCAGCTGTGGACAAGCACCAAGTGCCAGCCTCCTCCTTGCCCAGCAGCTGGGCCCAGGCATTCATTTCCACAGGCCCCTGGGAAAGATTCCGGCAGGGCGGAGTGGTGCAGGTGGGATGCCTCACCCAACAATGTCTGGCTTTGGCTCCACGCTCCCTATTGAGCAGAATTCAAGTATGTTCCTAGGAGCAGATTCACTGCAAACGTTGCTTATTAGCCTGGCACAGGCAGCTCTGCCAGCGGGCATCTGGCCATGTGCATCCCAGCAGAGTGCAGAGGGTGCGCCAACCAGGCTTCCATCAGGCCCCACAGGGCAGGGAACTCGGACCCCCAGCAGCAGCCTCTCCACCTTTGAGAGGCAGCCCTTGCTGGCAGGACCAGCTCCTCCTCTCTGAAGGACTAGGGAACCACAGATGTTTGTCAGCAGAACAATGACCACAGCTGTCTTTTTCTCTGAGCAAAAGCTGAGGCTTGGGAGGCAAGAGACTTGTACAAAGCCAGAGATCAAAAGGGCAGAGTCTCCAAGCCATTGCTGGGCTTAGGAATCAGGGTGCAGGTTCACTTGGCCAGGATGGTCTTCTGAGGCTACCGCACCTCTAAAGGGAACAGGAATGACTGCACCCCCCTGCGATCCAGGAGGCACAGTTGTAAGCAGAGGAGGCAACAGGCAGGGCAGAGGGTGGCTGCTCAGGTGCATCCCTACCTGGGGAGTGGCCCAGGGAGGGGCCCAGGCACAGTGAGTCAGAGGCAGAGGTCTCACCACCAGACACCGCGTTCCAACCATCATTCATCTTCCAGCTCCACCTCGCTTGCATGGGCCTCTTGTAATTGAAAACTATCGGCTTTGATCTATTTAATGGTTTTGCATTCTCATTTGTTACAAGCAAATATTTGCATTCCAAATGCAAAAAACAATACAGAGCTTCTCAGCTCATTGGAGATGAAATTTCGAGGTTTTTATCCCGAAATTTCTCTTGTGGTCCAGCATACTAGTCAGGCATGTCGACATTTCACGGGATTCCACCTTCCGTGGGTGGAGAGAGGCTCATGGGGTTCTGCCCCCACCGGACTTGCTGGTTTTCTTGCTGCTGGACAGGGAGGGGAGGGGTCTGGGGCCTGCTCAGTGGGTGATTGCAATAATTTTCTGTTTTCTGTGTGATTGACACCTGCCAATTGGGGGAAGGGGTGGGCTGGGGTGGGGCCAGGATGTGGGAGATGGGGCCCCAGCAGGCACACGGACTGGGCTGTGGGCAGTGGGTGGAGGGTGATGGGGGTGGGAGGAGACCCCTCCTCGCCTTGTCCTCTTCCTTCTCACTCACTGACTCTCCAAATCCTTGGTCATTCCTCCTCTGAGAAATTTCCAAATTTATGTAATTTTTAGCCTAGGGTTTGATGAAGATACCTATAATATCACAAAATTTATGGCGACTCCAGTGTTCTGCAAAATTTCTCTTTGCAATGGAAATAAATCAAATACTTAGCAGTAAGCCTTTGATGACAGGCATCTCTGGGGTCTCCCAAGTGACACTGATGTGTCCTCGGACAGGTAAGTGCTCCTTCCTCCACCCGTCAGAGCTTCCTCCTCTTCCTCACCCACATTTTCAAGATCAGCATACTTAGTCTGATGACAAGCCTTAAAAATGGAAAGTTTGGCAGCATTTCAGCCAAGATTCTTTTCACTGGGGTTGCCTCAAACATTAATCAGTCTTCTATTATAAATGGCTCAGATGTAGAGCAGAGTTGGATGGATTTCAAAGACTTCTCTCTCTAACAAGCATGCACCGATAGTTTCCTAACACTAAAAGGATCGTACATGGCAGAGGAGGAAAAAATCATTAGAGTCACTAATGACTGTGGCTTTGCTCTAAAGGCTGCTTAGATGCTGGAGCCCAGTTAGCATTCCTCTGGCATGCTCGGGAAGCAATTCCCTTCTTTTATTCATGAGCCCGTTTCTCATTAGCTACCTGGTATAGATCCCAGAGACTTGGGCAGGATCCTGGCCTCAGAGGACTGCTGGCCATCCAGAGCTGAGGCAGGGCCCTCTGCTTTGATTTTTGATTTTTAAAATAAAGGTGTTAGTCCATGCTTCTTTCCATTGCTAGGAGATGCATGGCCTTTTGAGGAACCAGCAGTTTCTGGAAGAAACCCAAAACTAATAACATTTTTGTTGTTCTTGATGAAGACACAATTACTCAGCAGCCCCGAAGGTGTCCTGCTGGGCTCCAGCCTCAAATCAGCTACCCCTGTCCTGAGCCCACAGTTCCAAGGCCGAGGAATCTTCTGCTGGGTTAGTGCCAGGCTGTCCTGGCCTGTATGTGGTGGCATTAGTGGAGGCCAGACCCTGAACAGATCTTCGCCTCCCTGGGAGGGCGGGCACCGATGATCGGCCCCAAACAGATGTTTGCCTCCCTGGGAGGGCCAGCACCGATGACCTGCACAGCTTCAGAACCGTTTCCCCAGCCTACACATGTTTTGCCAAAATGAGGAAAAGTGGGGAGCGGAAGCATGCTCAGTGGCTCCCTTTAGTCCCCGGCCAGAGTGCCAGGGGCTCCTCCAGAGCCTCGAAGGGGTGGTTCTCCCCCGACACCTGCCGTCATCGGGCTGTCCGCACTGCAGCAGAGCGCACGCAGGCTCCTCTGGTGAAAGGTGGGCTGTTCTGGACAAGTTGTTCCTGCTCTGCCCTCTGACTAAAGAGTCCAACAAAACGGACAACACAACCAAACAACAACACCAGCAACTTAAACTGTGGTGGTTAGTCCAGTTCCCAGTTTTAGGATATATTTGTGGTTTCCTTTGTCAAAGAGACAGACTAAAGACACTTAAGAAGCTTGTATTTACAGAGAAATCGTAGACTTGCAAAGGGAGTCCCTGATCACATCTTTATGGGAGTTGTGTTGTTGGAAAAAGACACGGTGGGCTGCCTTGCTTCTTCCACATTGTCTTCTGCTGGGCCTGGCTGTGGACATGTGTCTGTCCAGGCCCTCGGGGCTTCTGCTGGTTCTCGGGTTGTGGAGACTCAAGGACAATTCCAGGTGTGGGGGTGCCGTCCCCAGCCCGCACGCCGGCCCTCCCGGCATGGGCTCATCCGCCTTTGTGTATGGTGTATTTAAGGTCTTTTACTAAGGCCTGCCACTTTCTCTTTTCTTACTAGAAAAGCTGCTTTTTAACCATCTCCTTGAAATCCCTTGTAATACACATGGAATTACAAACTAATGTCAGACAGTTCAAAATGAAATAGTGCACAATGGTTGAGATTTACTTAAAGCTGGATGTTGGTAATTAAATTGACAGGATCACTGCGGCGTCTTCAAACAGGCAGTGCACACACACGTGCACATATGTATACATATGTTTCTTTTACTGAGGTATGCATGAGTTTTTTACTGTGACTAGTGTTAAATAAGCTGTTATTTCATATTGTTTCCACATTTATACAACTTACAACTGCCCTAACATAAACAGAAGGTTTATTGGTTCAAATTTGCCCACTGTCAATTCTGCATCTGAGTTTTCCCTTCCACGGCCAGCACCTTTCAGAATTCTTACAAGTTCACCAGGAAACACCCCCTCCCCAGCCCCCACTCTGCATGAGGGCTGCCATTTTCACAATGGGCTTTTCCATCCTTCGTTGGCCAACGACCCCCGGCTTCAGAGCCCTTCCTCTAAGATGGTGGCAGAGAGGGGACCTGGGACGCTATGCGCAGGCCACACACGGCCCTCATTCACCTAGCTCAGGGCCTTCCTGAAAATGTCCCCGCTCAAAGGAAGATCATACTGACTCCAACTCCCACTGCAGGAGCCAGACACCTGCTGTCCAGACTGTTGGGACAAGAGTGTTGCAGGCAGCCCGGGGGTCCTGGGGGGATGATCCCCATCCAGGGCCAAGGACACTTTGAGATTCAGCAAGAGGCCCACCTGGTAAGTCCAAAGCCTTTCGGAGCTTTGGGTTCTCAGACGTTGACAGGGACAGCCACACCATGTGATTGCTGTGGGGTCCAGGGAGGAGGTGATCGGCCTCAGCTGGGCAAGCTTATGGGCTCTGTTATCTGAAACTGGGGCATGGCTGAGCAGCTGAGCGGGCCGACCTGCAGAGCCCTGGCCATTCTTCATATCTTGCTTCTAGGCATTTGGGTTGGATCAAAATGGTGCACTCTCTGCTCCCTTATATTTTTGTCAGTTTCCATCTTTCTGCCTTGAAAATAGAGAAATAGAAATAGAGCTTATGCTTTTTCAAAATCTTGTGAAATTTAACAAAACTAAGTCGGTTCCCACAGAGGCTTCCCTCTGTGCTGCCACATACCAGGTTACCGCCAGTTACCAGGAAGACTTGACCTCTCTGGACCTCAGTTTTCCCAGATGAAAAATCAGGGCACTGGCAACTCTCCCTGGAAGCTGAGGACACAGCCTGGCTCACGCCTGATGCTTGCTCAGGACTCCAGAACTCCGAGTTTTGTGTTACCTAATTTTAAGAAACTTGGAGACTTCAAGGCTAAGGTTGTGCGTGACAGGATATTTCTCTTATGTTAGAGGAGGATATGATTTATTCCCTCAGTAGGTATCTATTCAGCACCTGCTCCAGTGCAGGGACTAGAAAGAGAGAATGTGTGAGACAAGCTCCAGCCCTGTTCACGCAGCTCCAGGCTGCAGCTCCTCAGCTGCCTGATTCCAACAAGCAGCCCGGACCAGCCGCGGCCTCTCGTCTCCCTCCTTGGCGGCTGCTGCAATTGTCCTCATTACGTCCCTACACCTGCCTGTGTGCCTGTCATCCCCCCTAGTTAATCCCCACCTGCTCAGTCTCCTCTCATTGCAATCTCTGTCAGTGCTGAGGTTTCTGGAGCTTCTTCAAAGGGTGGAGGCACCAGCGGGCATCCCACCCCCCTTCAGCAAGGGGCTCACAATTCCTGCAGCTGAGCAGGGGTCTTCAGGACCAGAAGTAAACTGAGTCACCCTGTTCTAAGCCCTGGACGTCTCACCCCTGGTGTGCAAGCTTTTCTGGAGTAATACGCTTTGACATTCTTGGCTTTATTTTTAACGTGATTGGATAATTTTTGATAATCAATATCCTGTGTATTCAAGTAGACAGAGCCACACACAAGTGCTTAGTTTGATAATGTCATCCAGTAACAGAAATGTTTTCCTTTTCACAACACTTTTACATCTTTATCTAATTTTAATATGTTTATTTAAACAATGGTAGCACTTTAGCAAATATCATTCCCTATTCTATTGTATTTTATTTATTTTTTGAGACAGAGTCTTGCTCTTTTGTCCAGGCTGGAGCGCAGTGGTGCAATTATAGCTCACTGCAGCCTCAGTCTCCTGTACTCAACTGATCTTCTCCCTCAGCCTCCTGAGTAGTGGGTATGACAGGCGTGCACCACCACACCCCGTTTTGCTTTTTTTTTTTTTTTAGTTTTTGGTAGAGACAAAATCTCCCCATGTTTCCCAGGCTGGTCTCAAGTTCCTGAGCTCAAGTGATCCTCCTGCCTCAGCCTCCCAAAGCTTTGGCATCAAAGGCATGAGCCATGGTGCCCAGCCTTTCTCTTGTTTTAGATGTGAGCTAACCAGGAGAATGAATCTCTCTAGCCCAGATTCCAGGTCCTGACAAGACTAATGCCCAGGCCAGATTTTCGGTTCTTATAGAGACAAGCAGGCACTGCCCCGTTTTGATCATTTCCTGGCTCTGCTGTGCTGGGAAACGGCTCGTATCCATATCAGGAAGTCTTCCCTGCAGCCAGGTGGGCTCTAGCCCCTCCTCAGCCTCTGTCTGGGTGACCCTCCTGCCTTTCTAGACACACGTTCCTCAGATCCAGGGGCATCCCCCAGGCATCCACCACACAGGATGTGGCCCTTCTCTTCTGCAGGGTCCCTGACCCCCAGAGACCACCCTGTGAGCACTCTGAGCTCCCAGCCTGGCAGCCCTCTCCCCTCTGTGCACTCTCAGGATGGGGTCTCCCTTGGCCACATGGCCTTGGCCCCTGCTGGACACTGGAGGTTTGCAGGCTTAGCTCTCCAGCCCAGTCCTCTCCGAGGCAACCCTGCCCATGTGTTCCAGAGCCTCCCGACACCCGCTGCCTCCCAGCAGGTTCCCACCCTGGTTGGCCTCATCTGAAGACCCAGACCTAGGAGCAGGTGTGATGCTTTCTTGTCATGCATTCCCCAGGTTCGGACAAAGGAGGTAACTCCCACTGACGTTTTCTATATCATATGCCACCCTATTTCACTGCTGCCTTCATGCTTCAAGCCAGCACGGCGCATCCCTCACCTGGGCCCTGGCAGCGCCTTCCCAGCACGGTCTGTGCTTTCATTCTTGCTCCTCTTCCGCCGCCCTTCTCAACATAGCCCAGGAGAGCTTTCCGTTCACAAATCCTGGCATCCCTGGCTGTAAATATTCATTTGGCTCTTCCGGTTCATAGCCACGGCCGTGACCAGGGCTGGGGTGCAGCCTGAACTTGCCCCCCTCCCAGCCCCAGCTCCTGTCCCCTGCCTTGCTGCTCCATGCTGTCCCAGCACACAGCCCTTCTCTAGCTCCCGGGAGGGTTCCGCACTCCTTCTTGCCTCTGGGCTTTTGTCCTTTCTGTTCCCCTTGCCTAGGATGCTTGTTACTTTTGTCTTTTCACAGAAGGTTGCATAATTCAGGGCTCAGCCTTCGTGTTCCCTCCCCAAGCAAGCCTTTCCAACCCACGCTAGGTGAGGTCTGTCTATGCAGCTGGCCCCGGCTCTCCGCTTTGTGCCCCTTGTCTGGCACCATGCCCAATGCAGAGTAAATGCCCAGCATGCCCAGAGGGAACAGCCAGTCCCTTAACTCGAGAGTGATTTTCATCTTTGCAGGAACTTTGAAGAAAGAGGGGCAGGTGTGCTCACTGCTGGGATCCTCTCATGGGTTTTACCACAGGACTACGCGCTCTTTCCTCTGTGTGATCTGGGTTCTGCCTCTGGTAAAGACCATTTTTAAAGTTAGATTTGCTGAGATAAAGGTTCCTTAACATATTTCATGCCACCATTTCCAAATCTGTTAGCAAACATTAAAAAAAATCAATTCTAGCCATTAAAATGAAGGGCATTTAATTATATGTAGGGTTAATGATTTTCTAGTTTCAAAATATACTTACACACAGGAAATTATGCAGGCTGCACGAGAAAGCAAGAGACACTTAAAGACCCACTCCTACAGCGCCCGACTTCTCCGTGCAATGGCCACAGGCAACCAGCCAAGTCACCAGTGGCAGCCGCGGAGATAAATTTCTTTTTACTTAGAGCTCATTAGCAAAGAAGCAGCTGTTGGTTCATCCAGCATGAGCGACGGCGGTTGTGGAGTGGGAGAGCTGGGTGCTGATTCCACCTTTTACCACCCTGCTGAGCATCGTGGGGTGGTCCAGACAACCAGACACTAAGCGGGTTGTCCTCGGTGAAATGGCAGAGGGATGGTTATGACATTCTACAGTTGTTCCTTCTCTAAGGGATACTATTGTGCCCTATAATATTTTGGAGACTAGATGAAAGCTCCGCATTTGAAGCTGGAGGCACAGGTGCAGACCCTCCACGAGGGAGGTGGGGTCTTGAGCAGGTGGGACGGCGTGCTGTCACCATAAGGCAGGCAGTGGCATGAGACCCAGCACACAGGAGGCTTCAGAAGAGGAATCACACCTGCCACCTGCAATTCCAGTAAAAGTGAACTTTTGCCAACATTTCTGAATATCAGCTTATTAAATATCTTCCCATCTAGTTTAAGGAGTTTTCACACTTTTTGATAGAAAAAATACATATATTCCTTAACTTAAAATGTTTTCTGTATGTGAAATCCAGGGAAAACAATGAGAAAAATCTGTGGAAGTATGACAAATTGCAATAGGGCCCGTGTCTTCCTTAGATAAGCTCAAGTTCTGGGGTGAATGGAGATGTTTTTTGGGAAAGAAGTAGAAATGGTGGCTTAGGAATAACAAATGAAAAAGAAAGGCCTGAAGCGTCCTCACAATCTGGGTCACTCTACTTGTTTTCTGCATTTTTGGTGTTGGTGTCCATTGGAGTGAAAAACGGGTTTGATCTTCATTATTTAATCTGAGTTTTCTCAACTAGTTTAACAGAAAGGGATTTAGTTGAGGTTACTTCTGGGGATCGGAGTTGAGAATCACATGGCTCCCTGAAGAAGCGTGTCAGGAATCCTCAGCTCAAGCTTCCTCCATGGAGGCGGAGAATGGTGCTGTTAGGATCCACCTTCCTTGTCACAGCCAGAGAACTAATGACCAGACGCAGTGGTGCTGGCCGTGGGGGAATCACATGCTTCTAACAACCGCACTTGCCAGGAGACCATCTGCAGCTCGAGTGTGGCCTGGGCTCTGCCCCTGCTTCCAAGTCTCGCCTGGTCGCTTGGATGGGTGGATGCCAGATCGCACTCATGGGACTATGTCCAGAGAACGTTCTGCTTTCGCAGTAATGAGAAGCACGTGTAGGGGAAGCTCCCTCCAGCAGGTCCGCTGCAGTGTCCACCAAAACCCCCATCCTCCATCGGCCCTCTTGTGCCTTTGCCCCCAGAATTGTCTCCGGACCTGGTGAGGGGGCTGGATTGTCACCTGGCTCTTTACATTCTCACAGCTCCATCTCAGCATCACAGATGACCTCTTCTCTCAACCAATGATAAGTATTTCCTCCAAAGTTAAATTTCAAAATCACAAATGTTCTGCTCTGGTGGGAATCTACTGGCCTGGAAATCCCAGACTTGTATGTTAGTGGCCAGTTCCACGGAGTTAAAAGGACTCATATTCGTCTAGAGAGAAGAGACCCACTCAGGAGGTGGAAGGAGACCTTTTCATGTGAGCTGCTCTGTGCCTCCCCCACCAGGATGAGCTCGCGTCCCTGGCTCTATCTCCACCCTGGGCCTTCATCGTCACCCCGGCCCTGCCACCCACCTCTCCTTTGCGTGACGTGGGGCTGCTCTCTAGGGGTGAACTGAAGACTGGATGCCCTGTGCTGGCTCTCCAGGTGCCAGAGGGACACGGCTGAGCAGACCAAGGCAGAGCTGAGAGTGAAAGCCCAGGGGTATGGCAGGAGCTGAGGCCAGGAAGGAGCCAAGAGGGAGCAAGGGGTGGCGTCCCGAGTCCTGGGAGGAGCTCTCTGTGCTCTACACTCCTGTCTGGAGAGTGAGAAGAGGGGATGAGATCAGTAGTTATGAAATCCAGGGCCCAGATAGCCGCCCCATGGGAATGGGACTACCATGTAAGATGCAAACTGAACCAAACTGGAAGTCCAGATTTTCCTGTGTGAATGTGCTCAGCTTATAAATGTGGACAACTCATTCACAGTGGAGAAATCCTGAGGTCTAATGAACTGAGCTGTGGGCCGTGTGCACCCTCTGGTCTCAGGTGTGTGACTCTGGGTTGAGTGAGTTCCTTGTTCAACCTTCCAGATCCTTCTTCCAAAGCAAAGGAAAAGCCGAGAGGCTTGAGGGAGGTTCTTGTCTTTAGTGACTGTGGTTAGTGCCTTTGCTCAGGCCACATTTCTCCTCCTTTCTGATCCCTTCCTGAATTTCTCTGGCTGAAGCCCCAATTTTTCAATGTGGATAATATGGAAAAAATAAAGTGGAATTGATATCTAAATAATTTTCCGTATTCTGATGACATTTTGTAAGGATCACATTTTTGGCAATGTTCTCTCTGTCTCTCTCTCTCTCTCTCTCTCTCTCTCTCCCTTGTATAAGGGAAAGTTGAAGTTGGGTGAAGCCGGAACTTGAAGTAGAAACAACCATTCCAGGCCGGGCGCGGTGGCTCACGCCTGTAATCCCACCACTTTGGGAGGCCGAGGCGGGTGGATCACGAGGTCAGGAGATCGAGACTATCCTGGCTAACATGGTGAAACCCCGTCTCTACTAAAAATACAAAAAATTAGCCAGGCGTGGTGGTGGGCGTCTGTAGTCCCAGCTACTTGGGAGGCTGAGGCAGGAGAATGGCGTGAACCCAGGAGGCGGAGCTTGCAGTGAGCCAAGATCGCACCACTGCACTCCAGCCTGGGCGACAGAGTGAGAATCGGTCTCACAAAAAAAAAAAAAAAAAGAAAAAAGAAAAAGAAAAAAAAGAAACAACCATTCCAGGCTGGCTCGTGTAATCACCTGAATCAGGGCCATCCGTAGAGCAGAGGGCTCTAGGCGCCACTCAGGAGGCTAATGGGGCTGGGAGTGGCTTCTTTCCCCAGAAGAGGAAGGCCCTCTCACTACAGACCCTTTGTTCCTCTGGGTTTCCCAGTCCTTCCATCCCTGCCACACTCAGACAGTTAGGTCTCCCACATATGCATTGCTTCTTCAGCTTCGGACAGCAGCCACGCACAAAGTCTCCTGCTCCAGGGAGTTGGCTGTGGGTGGTGTGGCCAAAGCCAACATTGGGGTGGCGGTATAGGCCGTGCCATCTGAATGGATGGACCAGGTCCGGGGAGGTGTGCGGAGCTGGGGCCGTCTGTCAATGAGAACCTGCGCAGGTTGAGAACTGTTGTCATCTGCTGCAGCCTCTCCACAGCATCTCCATTTACCATTGTAGACACTTGCTGTAATCAAATTCTACAGAAAGAAAACAAATACAAGAATAGCTAGCATGTGAAGAGGCAGTAATGGAATTCTGGTGAGAAAATTGCTTGGTAACAGCCAACATTATACCCATGGTGAGCAAACTTAAATATGCCCAAATTAATGTTTATTCATTCCAAATTTATGTTAATTAAGCAAGCTATAGTTTAATTTTCAGGTTCTGAAAATGATTAAGACTACCAAGCTGAGACAGCCTTGATGTCTAGAAGTGACATATAGAACTTCCTTCGTGTTATTTACCTCATGTGTTCAGAGAAAATGCCCCCCTTCTGGCTTGCATATTTAACTGTTGAAAGAAACATCTGTCTAGATAAAAAGAATTTTCTCACAGATATTGGTCATTCATTTGTAACTCCAATAAAAGTCAGGAAATCAGGCCATAGTTTGGGTAGATTTATTACGTGACCTTTGCAAAAGTCCCCGCTTACGAGATGGGATGGGAATGTTCTTTTGAAGTTTTACGATGTGCCTATAGTCAAGGCTTTGCTGCCGGGTGGATGACAGCCTAGGAGCAGGGCGCCACTGCTTCCAGTTTCTAAACAGAGAGAGGACCCACTGACGCTTTCCTGAGCCAAAGGCAGCGGTGCTGGGAATACTTAAATGCAGGTCCATAGGTCTTCTCAATACCTAGACTTTTCTCAGATGAAAACGTCTTATATTCAAAAGAAGAAAAGACAGATGTTGTGCTGCAGGAATGAAAAATGTGTCTTCCTTCCTCCCCGCCCCGATATTTGACTGCATGTCTGATTCCCTTTTTCCTTGGCTTGCCAGGAGAGCCAGACAGAAGCTCTGCCTCACACTGCAGCTCCGGAGAACGTGGGCAATGGCCAGGTAACCCCGGCAGTGAAGGTGTATCCTGAAGGGGTGGAGGAGGGGCTACGTCCTCAGAGTTGGGGTTTTTCCAGCTTCATAATGAGGAAGAGTTCAGGGAGCCCAGGGGAACATGGCTGGAGGAGGAGGTGCCCACTCTGGGCTCACACCCCTCCACCCTGCTGTCTGCACACTGACCGTGCTCCGTCCTGCACTGCCGGGCAGTTCAGCTGCCCTCTCCAAGCCTCTGCTCCTTGGTCTATGAGTGGGGAGGCTGACTGTGTCTGTTGTTGCAGGGTGAGGTAGGAAGAGCACGCACCCCTCCCCAGTAGCAACCACCAAGCTGATTATCCCAGGAGAGGCCACGCCCGCCGTGTGCATCCCCTTTGAGCTTCATTGGGCCCTGCCTGATGTGCCGGCATTCACAGCCCAGGTGCTTCGAATGCCTTAGCTCTTGTTTTAAGCACGGAAGTGTCCATTGGGTTGTGTGTGTGTGCTCAGGAATTTAAGACCACTCACTTCCTGGGTGTTCAGCCCAGGGGCCACTTTTCCTCTCAACCACAACAGGGATGCCTTCCCTGTCCTTGATTAGGGTGTTCTGGCCCTTCAAGTCACTGGTTCCAGCTGTAATCTGAGAAAACAAGGTCGCCTAAACATGAGTGATGGGCTCAGTAAATAGCAAAGGCAGAGGGATCAGGGAGCGGCCTTGACCCGATGTTCTGGCCAAAACTTGGGCAGCTGCCCAGACTCAGCTGCTCCAGCCCCTGCAAAGCAAGTCTAGGCTTCCCATGTCTGCAAATGGGAAGGGAAAAACCTTCACTCCCCACCTGCCCTGGCCCCTCCTTCCAGGGCTCTATTTTGAAAGTCCACGCTTCCCAGGCTGCAGTGCTGGTTGCTGCTGACAGCCCACACTGAGATGGGAGCAGACTGCCCAAGGGAGCCCGGCCAGGCCCCAGGTCTCCAGTGCTCATCCCTCAGAACTGCTTGTGCTTCTCTCTTCTGTCTGTTCTGTTAGGGCCAATGAAGAATTGGAGATGGGCCTGGGGTCATTTGCCTCCTGTGATGTTGGCTTCATCTCAGCCATGCAATGTGACCTCAGGACAAGGCAGGGTCCCACTGCGCCTCCCCAGCCCTGCTCAGCTCCTGCCCCTGTCCATGGTTCCATTTTCGGTGCCATTCCTCAGAAAAGGCCTAGAATCTTTCATCTTAGCCACGTGCATTCAGGCAAAGACTGTAGTTGCTGTTAGAAAGCTGGCCCCGGAAGCAGGGTCCAGGGCCACAGTGTCACTGAGCCCAAGGGCTCCCCAGCAGCCCAGATCTGGGGTTCGGAGGCAAGGCTCCTGGACGTGAGGAGCCGGGCAAAGGACGGGGCCCTACTCTTTCATAAGAAGGGCACAGAATGGGGATGCTGTGGGCCCTGAGGTCAGTTGGAGACCAGCCCTGCTACTGTCCCACTGCAGAGAGCTTTGGACGCTCCTCCCCCTTGTGCCCCTCACCCACTCTCCCATGGAATAAGCCCTGTGCAGGAGACTCTCCAACTCAGTCTATTTCAGAGAACCCAGTGTAAGATGCTGCTAACTTCACCCTGGGAGTTGTCCTAGAAAGAAGACTGTAGGAGGGGATTTGAGAGGTGGACCTTCCTCCAAATGGTGCTGACTGGGACTTTATACTGATGGGTACAGGGTACGGACCCCTCCTGACATGCTGTAATGCACACTTGTTACAGCGTTTACTGTCAGTGATGAGAATAGTATGAGAGTTGAAGGGGAGTCACGTGCTACGGTGAGGAAAATGACAACCGTCAAGGCTGTGCAGACTTTGAAATGGCAGCTGCAGCTGGGAGCCTTTGATTCACTCAAAAAGAGGGAATCTCTGGGGGACTAAGCACCACCTTAAGGCTGAATGCAGAGGCCCCGGGGCAGCATGGAAGTAAACGCAATCACCTGCAGCTGGATGGACGGAGCTGAGCAAAGGATGAGCTCAGGACTTAGGAGAAGATCTCCAGGGATTCAGAGGAGGGGCGTCTGCAGCTGGGGCTGCTCTCCTGAGCCAGGGCCAGGCCCTGCTGGGGAGGGGCAGAACCTGAGACGTGGAGTGGGACCGTACATGTAGATGTAACTGACAGCCACGAATCCACCATGTCCCCCTCCCTGCCCCACACTGACCCCTGCTGTGTCTGAAAGAATGACTCCATGTCTCATTGTTTTGGAAGATAAAGATAATTCAAAGACCACAAGTGAAATAGGTGCCTTATAACAGGGGTCTTCAACCCTCGGGCCATGGACTGGTCCTGGTCCGTGGCCTACTAGGAACCCAGGCCACACAGCAGGAGGTGAGCATGAGCCAGTGGTACTGCCTGAGCTCCGCCTCCTGTCCCATCAGCGATCAGCAGCGGCCTTAGAGTCTCATAGGCGCCTGAGCACTATTGTGAACTGTGTATGGGAGGGATCTAGGTTGCATGCTCCTTATGAGAATCTAGTGCCTGATGATCTGAGGTGGAACAGTTTCATCCTGAAACCATCCCACCCTCACTCTGCCAGTTCTGTGGAAAAATTGTCTTCCACGAAACCTATCGCTGGGACCAAAATGGTTGGGGACCGCTGCCTCACAAGATGACGCGATGCTCTTCAGTGTCTCTCCCCTTCCTGGAAGAGGGACAATATCGAGGGAACAGCTCCAGCCTGGGACTTCTGTTTCTGCCCATTATGAAGTCACTCATACAGAACTTGCTCTCCTGCAGTAAACAACTAGCAAATCAGACAAAATGCATGAGCATCTGTTTCCAGACACTGGACAACAGGCAGGGCAAGGCTGTGACCCCAGATAAGGGGGCAAGGCTGTGACCCCAGTCAGGGGAGCCCCACGCCCTGGGAATGCCCTGGCTTTCCGCCTGGAGGGATTTTCTAGAAGACTGCACCGGAAGGGAGAATTGGCCCAGTACAAAGCATTCGGATGGAGCTGAAGACACGGAAGTGGGGATGCAGGGAGGCTGAGGTGGCTAAACTTCCCAGGGGAGATTCTTGAAGAGGGGGGAGTTGTAATAGGGCAGAGCTCCAAAAACCTGCATCGCAGCAAATGTGAAGTTTTCTGTGTGTGTAGGATGAGACCACAGGAGGCCAGGCAAAGGCCAGCTATCAGGGAAAGAGCAAGTGTCCACAAGTCTCCACGAAAAGGAGCAACTTCCAGAGCTCTCACCAGGGAGTCGCATTGCAGTTCTGTTCATCTGAAATGAAGATGCTTTGCTGAGCCTCAGCATTCAGTCGGAAAGCAAGAAGGGTGACGCTCAGAGAGGAAGAGGGTTGCTCGAGGAGAGGAACACACTAGTCTATACCCCGCCCGGCACATTCCAAAGAGAGCCTCTGTGGATCGCGTTGACCTGGAGGTAACTTAACTGCCTGCCAGAGCAGAAGCCAACACCTCCGGAAAAGAAAACAAAATCCAGACAGGCAGTAATGTCACTTTCAAAATACCCAGTGTTTAATATTTTTAAAATTATGAGATATGCAAAGATGCAGGAAAATGTAACTTATAATGAAGAGAAAAAACCATTAAAAAACAGACTCAGAAATGAAAGAGTTGATGGAATCGGCAAATGAAAACTTTACTGAGACTATTAGAAATATGTTCAAAGATCCCGAGAAAAACAGGAACATATGAGATGAGAAAGGGATAAAGTGAAGTGATGTGTCCAGAGCTGGAAAATACAATGTCTACAATTAAAAATTCACTCGACAGGCTTCATAGCAGATTAGACACCACAGAAGAAAATAGCAGTGAATCTGGGGGCAATAGACACTGCCCGAAGTAAAGGGAGAGAAAAACCAGTGAGAAAAAGGTGCCATGGTGGTCACCCCTCTAAAGTCACAGAGTCTGTTTTCCAGTGTCGGTCTCAGAACTAGTTCGGAGATCCAAAACCCACTGGATGAAGTTTAGGCTGCAGGTTCCTATGAACGTTTCCTAAAATACGGTGTCAGATATGCTTGGTAATCGTTTTCTCATTAGTTTCCTAGAAAAGCCCACGACCTCTTACCTACACAAACACGCACCCAGGAAGGAGCCCCTGATAGCCCTTTGGAGATGCTGGACACAGGGTCTGCGTTGACCCTGATCCCCACCATGGCCCCTGCTGTAGGGAGCCTGTCAGGCAGAGTGGGGCCAGAGTCCTGTCCTAGGCATCGCTGATCCAGATGCCCAAAGGCCCACCATGGCCCCTGCTGTAGGGAGCCTGTCGGGGAGGGCGGTGCTGGAGTCCCGTCCCAGGCGTAGCTGATGCTGCACTCACTGGCATCCACTTTACCCATCCCAGAATCTATCATTGAAATTGATTGGAATCGGTAGGTGGAGAACTCTCATATTTGTTCCATGACCTGTGGAATAGGAACTATCATAATTTGGGGGGCCAAGTGGAAACGTCTTGACCGTGGGCAGTCCCCCAACTCCCAAGTATCCTTCTTTCTGTCCAATGGAATAAAAAAAATAAACAAACCAAACCAAATCACAACAGCAAAAAACAAGACTGCATCTCTGGAGGGAATGTTGGAGATTATTGCCACTATCAAAGGCTTAAAGAATGCAGGGATAGTGGTCACCACTATGTACCTACTTAATCTACGAAACTGAGCCCCACAACACTTGGCTAACTCATGATAGAAGACCCTGAACTACCAGATACTCAGCCACGTAGCAGCTCCATTTGTAGCACTGGGCTGAACGGTCTCCCACTGGGTAGAACTCTGGGAATTAACCTGCTCATACACTTTGAGCAGAGAGAGGAGTAGCCTAAGTCAAGAATATATGCACAATTACAAGCACTGGCAAATGGCCTGACTGGTTGCCTGGGATCCTGGAAAGACAAAGTGTAGAAGGCTGAGGACGAGAGGAGTGGGACAGCAGCATATAGATGGGTAGATGGGGCTCCAGGAGTGGACATAGAGTGTGAGCCTCTTGTCTTGCAAGCTGGCATCCATCAGGGAGCATCCACTCAACAGACAAATGGGCAGAATAGCTTGGCTAGTAATTGGCAGAATGGCCACACCTGTGCTGGCAAGCGGACATATGAGCAGATAGGCAAGGCAACAGTGACGGAGCTTATTCCTGGGCCCAACAGCTTGGGCCTTTGTTTATTACAGCTAATCCAGCTATGGATGCTGCCTGATGTCTAAACTGCCAGCAATAAAAACCAATACTGAGCTCCTTGTACAGCATCATCCCCTGAAAAAACCAACCAGGAACTTGGTATCAGATTGATACACTGAGCCTCTTCCATCTTAAAGGACAGTGATTCACCCTGGCTAGAATCAACACATATCCTGGATGTGGGTTTACCTGGTCTGCCTATGCCTATAGGGCTTTGCGTAGTGCTGGTATGCGAGGATGCATAGAGAGCTTTATCCTCCAAGTTAGGGTCCCACTTATGACCTCACTCCACCAAGAGACTGACTTTATAACAAAGGAGGTGTGGCAGTGGGCCCGTGACCCAGGCACCCACGGGTCCTGTCTCATCCTACAATGAAGAAGGTGTGGCAGTGGGCCCATGACCCAGGCACCCACGGGTCCTGTCACATCCTGCACTCTGCCCTGCATCACTAGAAGACCTAGAAGGCCTCAGCCTTGGAGAGCCTGAGAATGGCCTCTGGAAGGTGCAGGTGAGGCATCAGCTCAGATTCTTCCTATGAGAAGGGAGCATCATCCACCAAGATGCAATCCTCATCCTAAATCAATGCCCTCTCAAGAGACGCAGACACAACAGATGAGCGTAGCGGTGGCTCCACTCAACACCACTTCTAATGACCAAACCAGGACATTCGTGCTTCTCGTCTCACCACTGGAGGCTCTGAAGGTGTAAAAGTGTTGGTGCCCAGAGGTGAAATGCCTCCACCAGGGGATATAGTTGTGGTTACAGCAGTGCCTGTAGGGGACAGGTTCTGGAGCCAGGCTGCCTACACCAGCATGCAGGGGCAGTGCCCCACATGGGGCAGGGCCAACAGGAGGGTAGGGCCTGGGAGGGGCCAATAGGAGGGCAGGGCCTGGGCTGGGCCAACAGGAGGGCAGGGCCTGAGGACCCCAGCGGAGGAATGGATGGAACCAGCTGAAGCAGCTTGCATGGTGGGGCATGCAGGCCTTAGGGCAAGCATGAAGAATTTGTATTTATTTTTATTCTGAGAGCATTGAGAAACTACTGAAAACTTTCAGTTAGAGAAGTGACATAATCTGATTTATAATTTGAAGATGACCCTGCCCCTAGAGTGAACTCCATGGAGAATGGAAGCCACAGAACTGAGTTTGGAGGGGCGGCAGTGAAGACTGGGATCTCCAAGCCCTGTATTCTTCTTAGCCATAATCCTGGCACCACGGACCTGCTGCAGAAATCCATGCCCACCGGCTGGTGAATGCAGCTGCTCTGAGTGGGCACTGTTCCTGGCACTGAGGGCACTTGAAGGTCACCGCCATCTTCAGAATCAGCGTCAAGTGGAAAGGAAAGCTGGGCATTGTTCTTAGTTATTTTAGTCACATTGTCCTTTAGCCGTTGATGACAGAGTGACGTCTGCTGCACCCCAGAGCCCTTCACTGCCCTGCACCCCAGACATTCAGCCCCCAGAGAGAGCAGCGCTGGGAGCCTAGCCTTTCGTTCCGGGTGGGTTGAGCCGGTGGGAGCCTCAGCAGGAGGAAGAGGAGGGCGGGGGAGATGTCTACTCCCCTTCCCCCGCCAGCCAGCTTCTTCCTCCCTTGACCCCACCCTTCCATCAAGACCAGGCTCACCCTCCACTGCACTCCAGCCTGGGCGACAGTGAGACTCCGTCTCAAAAAAAAAAAAAAAAAAAAAAAAAAGACCAGGCTCACCCTTCGCCCCTGAAGGCCTGAGGTTGGGGCGGCCCCTCTTTCTATTAGTAGATCCTGAGTGCATCTGCATCTTGAACGTCTTCACCCTGACCGCACCGCCAAATGGTCCTGCATCAAACGCTCTTCCGTTCGTTCCTGTGGGAGGCATCCTCTCACTTCTGCTGCAAGCCTGAGCACATGAACTTCCGTCTTCCTTTGGACTCGGTGCGATCATTCTGCCCTTTGTGTTCTCTCCCAAGTACGGCATACGGTGAGTCGTCACGAGAAGGGTTCAAATCAGAGCAGCCGCCCGTGCAAGGTGACGATCAACTTGGCTCAGTTGTTACACGGCTAAGACGCTTGACGATTGAGCCTCTATCCCATGAACGTAGAGAAGATTCTAAACAGATATTCTAAATCAACCCCACCTGCTTCTTCATTGCGTTCTAAATTAGCCATGTACGTTTGTCACCTGAGCTGCTAAACAGGAACTTTAATGGCTTTGCATGGGTAGCTGAAAGCCCTTAAATCGTTCTAAAAGTTTACCTGAGGTCTAGAGTAAAACTCACTAATGTTAATGTCAACTGCATTGTTATTTATCTGGTCTCTTAATGGAAAAATAATGCATAATAACCCCTAAAAGTTAATACGAGGAAGGAGAGAATAACTGCTAAGTTTTTTGTTTTTTTGTTTTGTTTTGTTTTGAGACAGAGTCTCGCACTGTTGCCTGGGCTGGAGTGCAATGGCGCGATCTTGGCTCACTGCAACCTCCGCCTCCCAGGTTCAAGAGATTCTCCTCAGCCTCAGCCTCCTGAGTAGCTGGGATTACAGACGCCCACCATCTTTTTTTTTTTTTTTTTTTTTTTTAAGTTTCAACAAATCACTCTGTGCCCAGGGCTCAGGGACTCCCTGCCGGAGTCACTGTCTGTGCATTTGGGGTGTGGAGCACCTGGAACACCACGGTGTTTTCCATTTCCCACGGGGCTGCGTCTTCAGCGTGATGTTCGCCCTCCAAGTTGATACCGAGGCTTGGCTGAATGGGCATCCAGCACCCAGGAAGATGCCCACAGCACTTTCTCTTTAAAAATTTCTGCATTCTTTCTATATTATGTTTTCCAGTTATAAACAATTACAAAACCATCATAAAATAATTTAAAGTTAAATATCACAAACATAGTTAACTTGGAAATAAAAGTCAGATATAATCACTATGAAAATACTGTGTCTATTCTTTAAGATCTCTTCCTATACGTGTATTATAATTATTATTTTATGGGTGCATTTTACTTATAATAGATGACATTGATTCATCATTTTCTGCATGCCTGGCTGCATCTAAGTACTTTAAGCAGATTAGTCATGAGACACAGAAAAGTTGTGAAATATGCCTAGAGTGGCACAAAGCCAGGAGCTGAACTCCATCAAAACCAGCACTGTTGCAAAGGGAGACCATCCAACCACACGCTCACACTGCTGAAATTCGCTCTTCGCTTCACATGACTTCAGCATCTTTATAAATAAGATTTTTAGATTATGTCTTAACGGCTGCAAAGCATTTCACTTGTACCAAGAATTCATGCACTTAGTCTTCTATTAATAAACATGTAAGTTGTTTGAGTTCATTTTTCAATTACACTTAATGCCACGATGGTGATCACGTTTCGTACTTGGTGAATTTGTGATGGGGCTTTTGTCTGATGCACGCCAAGAAGAGAACCTGCCACATCAAAGCACCTACACAATCTTCATCCTGATAGCTATTGACAGATTGATTTCTAGCTCCCAACAGGAGTCAATGAGAGTGACTCTGTCATTCATAATCAAATCATTAATTTGATTATTAATGAGATTTGGTGTTTCTCACACACATACTGCCCCTTTGCATGGCTTTCTGTGGGAATGTTATGTCTTTATTTGTTATCCCTTTATTGTCTTTTTAATTTTTATTACTTTACAAGGTTTCCTTATATATTAAGGACGCTGCTGGATTACTAAGTAACAATTAGAAGCAATAAAGTAGATATTCATAAATTAACAGGAACTATAGAGCTGGATGAATAAGTAAAACAGAATGCCTATAGCATTATATTCTTCATGTAAATTAAAATAACACATGCATGGGTTCTTTTGGAAATAATGGGCAAGTTAATTTAGACCAAAACTACCACAGAGAACAATTAGAAAAGCTGGGAAAACAATGCTGAGAAAAATCAAAGAAGACCTAATTAAATGGAAGGATATGTGAGATGAATGCATCAGAAAATTCAATACTGTAAAGCTGTTAATCTCCCCAAATTTACCTATAGAGGCAAAGCTATATCGATCAAAATGCCAACAGGTTTGTGTGTGTGTGCGCGTGCACAGGCATGGGCATATCTGTGTAGGGGGAGAGGGTTATTTATTTAACTTTTGTAAATGTACAAGCAAATTCTAAAATTGATATGAAAATGCAAACTCTCCAAATAGTCAAGGTCTTACTTAAGAGGAAGAAAAAGTGTGAGAACATTTTTCCTTCATATCAGTATTTATTTTCTGTGCTATCTAAAAACATGGGTTATGGGAACGAAGGGAGACATAGAGACCAATATGGCAGAATGGAGTCCAGATACAATCCCTCCTGTGTGTGGACTCTGGATCTATGGCAAAGCCGGCACCACAGAGCACAGGGCAATGAACAGCGATGGGTCTGTGGGTTCTCCTTTCCGTATTTACCACAACACATAAATAGTAATTCCAGATGAGCTGTTGTTCTCAACCTGAAGGGGAATGCTACAGTTTTAGGATCATTTCCATTTCTGGGTAGGATGGAGCAGCTGAGGCAGACCGATCCCCCTCTGAGGACAATGAGAAAAACACAATAGTCGTTTTGATAGGATCAGAGCTGCCAGAGCTGTGAGAACTGGAGGGTCAGCACAGACACACCAGACACGCTTGTTTTCTGGGGCTGCTTGTCAGTTCTGGACACAAGGGAAAAGCTGTGAATGGGGGCTTTGCTTCGGTGAAACATCAACAAAGCCATTGGCCGTCTCCAAGTCCAGAGACATAAGATTGCACACTGGAGGCTCCAGTGCACAGCTGGTAAACCAACTTTGCCTCTGGAAAGCAGGAGGGGTGTTCAGTGGTTCCACCGCATTGAGAAGACACAAACGGAGCTCGTGATCCACAGGGGGAAGGGAACAGGTGCAGGGGCGCACCATGTTCTCAGCCCGCTGTGCTGAAGGTCACGCTGAGAAGGCATATGAGAGGCTGGTCCAGCATAGTATTCTGCTGCATAAATGCACCAACGTGTATTCATCCGTCATTATGCTGATACTTATCCAAGTTGCTTCCAACTTGGAGCTACTGTGGAAAGGGCTGCCACAGGCATTCCCATGCAGATGTTTTGTTGTGTATACATGCACATTTATGTTGGAAAAGGTAAATTTGTGAGTCCATTTAAAAGTACATTGATTGTAAAAACAAAACTAATATTGTCTTGTGTAATTTACAACATGTTAAATCAAAATCTGAATTGCTAAAAAGTAAAAGGCCTGCTAACGATCCCTCAAAAGCAGCAGTGAAATGAACCAGTGAAACTGCCCATAACAGCATGGGTGAGTCTCGCAGATGCAATGTTGTGTGAAAGACGTCAGTCACCATGGAGTGTGTGTCACAGTTGTATTTAGATTGAGTTTGTGCTTTTGGAGCACAGGACGGTGCTTAGCTTCAAGGAGCAGGGTGCAGTTACCCAAAGGTGGCATGGGGTGTCTGGATGCTGGTGATATCCTATTTTCTTGACCTGGAAGACGTTTATGCCTATTTTTATTGTGTGTAATTTACTGAGTGTTGTATTTGTGTTCTCTACATTGTTTTTAATAAAATAGTTACAAATATATACACATGGAAAACAGTACTCGTATGTTTCATTAGGATAAGAATCAAAGATACACAGCAGGCAGGTGAGGGCTGTTCCCCCAGGCTGGTGATGGAATGCAAGTGGGGGATAAGTAGAAAAGGGAAAAAAAAATAAATCTGGGCACCATGGCTCATGCCTGTAATCCCAGCACTTTGGGAGGCCAAAGCAGGAGGATCACTTGAGCTCAGAGTGTTGTACCGGCTTGGACAACATAGTGAGACCCCATCTCTAAAATTTAATTTTTTTTTTGAATTTAAATTAGCCAGGCACGATGGCACCTGCCTGTGGTCCTAGTTACTCAGGAGGCTGAGGTGGGAAGATCACTTGAGCCTGGGAGGTAGAGGCTGCACTGAGCTGTGATCATGGCACTGCACTCCAGCCTGGTATACAGAGCAAAACACCTATGAAGGAGAAGGGGAGGAAGAATAAGAAGAAGAAGGAGAAGGAGAAGGAGAAGGAGAAGGGGAGGAGGAGGAGGAGGAGAAGGAGAGAAGAAATGAAAGGAGGGTGGGAGAAAAAGAATGAGGGACAGGAAAAGGACAGACCTCACAGAGACAGGCTCTGACTGTGTGCCATTGTCTGGGAATGGGAAGTGAGACGTATTCCTCCTGTTCCCCCCGGGTTCTGGGGAAGGGCAGCCTTTTGTTGTCTAGAGCCCAATGAGCTTGTTCATGTGGCCCTTGAGAAATTGAAAATACAGGTTTGCCTCGCCTTGTTCCTTATCAACATCTCAACACATTGGTTCAATGGTCACAAAGCACTGGCTGTGACTCCCTGAGAATGAACCTGGAAGTTCATGCATACGAGGTGCTCGACAAATACATACAAAGCATTTTTACTCCTATTTTATTGAAAAAGAAACTGAGACTCCAAGAAAATAAGTTACTGGCTCCCCCTCAGTTATCCATGTGTAAGAGCAGGGATTAGAACTCACACAGCAAAAATATGGTGAGTCTGCATATTTGCATTAATACTTTCCAAACAATTTATTGCTCTCAGCAGCAAAACAAAACAATTTTTTAAAGGTTTCAAAAAAAAAAAACAGAATCAGACAGGATCCTCAGGAATATAAAATATGATCGTGCTCTTGAAAAGTGTACACTGTTAGGAAGATTCTTCTCTTGATGCTTATATGCACAAATGGCTTCATGGTTCAAACGGGTTCTGGAAAATTAATAAAATAAAAATGTATAATATTTGCCCAAATGCCTTGGTTTCAAGAACTAACGCTTATAGGGCATTTACGACGTCCCAGTCTCTGGTCTAAGTGCTATACAAATATTAACTCAATTTTTTAAAGCCACAGTTTTCTTCTGTGCTCCCCACCCCCAACCATCTTAGTCTTTTTAGCCAGTGATGGCTGGAGTTTGAATGCCACAAGCTGCATGACCCTACACCAGTCTCAAACTCTGCAGCTTGGGCCTTATCTTTCAAAGGGGACAGTGAGCAGCTTCTGCATAAAGGGGAATTTCACAGATTAAATGAGATCTTGAATGTGGAAGCATCAGCTCAGGCATGAGGCTGACGCTTTGTGAAAATCCAGGTGCCAGTCGCCTCCTCCTTGGACCCAAGTCGGGAACGCCAGGAAAGCATGGAAACAGAACAGTCTAGCTCTGCTTCTCTGGCTTTGCCTGCCTCGGAGGACGTGCGCCAACTGAGATGCCCTTGAGGCTCCCTGGGGAATGATGGGCAGATGCCAACCACCCTTGTTTCTCAGAGGAGGAAAGACAGACCCTCCTCCAAGATGACCCATGCTCTCTGCAGACAATCAGAGAAGAAAAATCCAGGCTTCTAATTTGCAGGGTAAGTGCCCTCCTCCCAAAACACTATTGTGAGAAGTCATTTTAGCGGCAGTGGCAATGTGATGTTTAGAAAATAGATCTTAGTAGAACCATACCTCATGTTTATAGTTTTTAAAAAGCATTCTGAGGACATTTACCCAAACTAGGTTATTAAGACAACTTTTTCTGGCTGTCAGACTCCTTCGTTGGGTCTGCTTTCTTTCCTTCATTTTCTTAGCCAATGAGACTATTACAAGGTTTGCTTAGTAAACCAATTTTTTAAGCTCAAAGAGAAACACCCGCTAAGAGGTTGCATTGCCTCTTCCCTAATCTTTTTAGCTTAGTGGGAAAATTTACTGTGGTCCTCTCCATTTTTCCCTTCACACACCACTGGTGACACATCATAGGGGATAATAAGTGAGAAAATGAAATTCTGTCTCCTTTCTAGAAATATACACCAGCATCGCTCAAGCCTCTGGCACTTTTATTCTCCCTTTCTCTCAAGCTTGCCTTGAGAATTGTGCAAGTCCACCTGTGCCTTCAAAAGAGAAATACTGAGGTTGTGTGGAACCCTTTTGCCCATCTCTTCTGAAGTGTATTTAGAAAGTAATCTCATGATTACTAGTTACCCTCTGATAGGTAATCGCTTTTTTAAATGGTTACAGTGCAGGCACTCAGAACTACTTTTTATAGCTGGGTGCCATGTATTTTTCTGGAAAGATGAACCGAGGAAATGATTTTCCAACTGTCATTGATATCTAAGGAAGACAGTGTGTCCACTGGGGAAGGAAAACATGCACAGCACAAGGTCTCAGGTTGACCTCCGTAGTCCTATGGCTCTGGGATTCTCCAGGGTCTTTCAGGGTCCTCCAGGGTCCTCTGGGATTCTCCACAGTCCTTCAGACTTTCCCACAGTCCTCCGGGTCTCCAGGGTTCCCCAGGGTCCTCCAGGGTTCTCTAGGGTCCTCCAGATTCCTCTGAGGTTCTCCAGGGTTCCCCAGGGTTCTCCAGGGATTCTAGGATTCTCTAGGGCTCTGTAGGCCCCTCTGGGTCTGTGTGATGAGGCCCTGCTGCCTCCCGCTGTCTGGGAACCCCTCAGCTCCTGGCTGCTCCCTCCTGCTTGCCCCTGACTTCTGTGCCTGCACTCGGGCCAGTGCAAGACAGAACCCCCATTCATACCATTTGCTCCTTGCTGATGGCCATGGTAAGCCACGTGGGGTGGTGGAAGGGCAACTGCTCTGGGACAGCCTAGGTCTGGATTGCTCACGAATTTCAGTCCCTTCAGTTCCCGTGGACACAGAGAGTGCTGCTTCCCTTTTCCCAGGGGACTCTGTGACCATGAACCCAAGACGCTGTCCCTGTTCAGCCCTGCTCCAGCCTCCACCAGCTGACTCTGCAGGTCATTCTCCCTCCTAGCCCCGGCCTGTTTTCCTCCTAAATTATACCAAATAGGATCGAAATTTCCACATGAACCTTCTAGACATTCTCCTTTCACCCACCTTATCCTCCTGCAATCACTTTTCCTCACTGAAGGGAGTCAGGGATCTTTCCACCTGTAAATCGGACATGGCTGCTCTGCATAAAGCCCCTGATGGCTCCCCCTCATCCTCAGACACCTGGGGATTCCTAGTGGCCTATCTCCCGCCTTTCCCCCGGCCCCACACACAAGGTGCTGCTGCTGCATGGAGTTGCCTGAATTTTTCCATTGTTCTCAACTCTGTCTCGCTCCCACGCACCCAGGGTTCCATCTCACACCTGCTGTAACCAAACACCACAGGCCAGAGGGTTGGAAACCACAGAAAGTCATCCTCTCAGGGTTCTGGGGGCTGGAAATCTGCAACCCAGGTGGCATCAGGGCTGGTTCCTTCTGAAGCTTTGAGGGTGAATCTGTTCCAGGCCCTCTCCTGGCTTCTGGCAGTTCCAGATATCCCTGGTGTCCCTTGGGTGGTTGATGCATTGCTCCCGTCTCTGCCTTCACTGTGACATGGCCACCTCCTCTGTGGGTCTTCTATCCTTCTCTCCTTAGGACACTTGTCATTGAATTTAGGGCTGAGCATAACCCAAGGCGATTTCATCTCAGGCTGCTTAACTTATTTATATCTGCAAATACCCTTTTTTTTTTTTCAAATAAAGTCACAGTCACAGGTTCTGGGTGGATGTAGCATTTTGAGGAGCCAACACTTGCCCACAATAGCACAGTGTCCTCACCCAGCCCTGCCCCTGCCTCTGTCCCAGCTGAGCCCTACTCATCTGTTAACCCTCTCCCTGGATGCCGTTTCTCTTCGGAAGTGCTCTGAGCCTCAGTGTCAGGTCTGCACACCGCCCGTGCTCCTGTGAAACAGGGATCAGTGCACCTGATCTCCCAACTGACAGCCCCCAGCCCTCTAACCACCCCCTCAGCACCTAACACAGCCCTGGCCCTGCACCCTGATCTCCCAACGGACGGCCCCCCAGCCCTCTAACCACCCCCCTCAGCACCTAACACAGCCCTGGCCCTGGGCACTTTTCCTTGCAGGTATCTGTTGACTGGCTGAGGACTCTGCACATACTGGGAAAGGAGCGGGGGCTCAGGAGTGAGGCCTGGTGAGTTCAGCATCCCTCCTAAGTGTGTGAGGGTCCTGAGGGTTTCTGCTGAGCCACACGTGCTTCTGGAGTGAGCTGAGGACAGTCTTGACAGCTTGGGTTGGGGGTCCCAAAGGGAGATTCTAGGGGCCTTGGCAGGTGGTGGTGTGGGTGGGGACAGGCGGCTGGAGGTGGAGCAGACCGGGCCTCCGGGCTCCCTTCTCATGTCTGCAGATGCTTCTGATGCTATACAGAACTTAGGGTCAAACCAAGGCTTCACCAGGCCCAGGATCCCCAGGCCTGAGGTCCTCTCCCGGTAGAACCCCTGGAACCCAGCTATGGTCAGGCTTTTCTGAAGATGCCTCTCCATGCAGTGGGCTGCTCAGACCCTCCCACCAGACCCCGGGAAGTGTGAAGAACATCTGCCCACAGCGGGCATGGTAGCTCCTCTCGTGCCTGGCTGGTGTGTGCTCTGCGGTGTCTCTGGGTGGTGCGTCTGTGTGCCCGTCTACCCCTGAAAATGAGTTTTAAAGATGACTGAAGCCAGTGACAGTCAACAGAAGTCAGGCTCCCCTGAGAGGGATGCACTGTTGTTTGACAGCCGTAATCAGGGGTCTGAAATGAGGGCTCAGGTGCCCAGTGTGGCTGGCCTTGTGTTTTGTATGGCTCACCAACTAAGAGGGGACTTCACGCTTTTAAATGTTGGAAGTTTCCAAAGAAGAATGATATTTCACGACGTGAAAGTTCCATGCCATTCAGACCACAGCGTCTGTGAACAAAGCAACGCTGGGCTGCAGCCCACCACGCAGGCACTGGCTGTCTGTAGCTGCCTCTGTACCACAGCAGAGCCCTCCAGCTCACAAAACCAAACACATTCACTCTCTGGTCCTTGACAGAAAAGGCTGGCTGATCTCCCTTTAGGAGGCAGAGCCACTGCACTGGGGCATCTGAGACGGGATCCGGGCATGTGTGTGTGAACTGGCTTCCTGGGAGATTCTCAAGCACAGTGAAGTTTGGGAATGTGGATCTAGACAGCTACACAACCCACAGCCCTGCTCAAAGACAGAGGTAGCTTTGGCCTCACTGGAGCTCACAGGGGTTCACCAAATTCTCAGGTTAATCTAAAGACCTGTAGGTGATGAGTCTGGGGTAGTTGTCATGACTACCCTGGAGGAAGTCTCGCTGGTGCCATGATGATACGGAATCAGGCCGTGGAACCAGGTAACACAAAGGCCCCGGCAGGCAGACTTCTGAAAGAGACTTCATTTGAAGAGCCACGAAGCTTCTGGCTTCCTGGGGTGGGTCGGTCACCATCTGGACCGCTGCTGGCTCCGGATCTGAGGGCGGTGCCGTCGCCTGGCGCCGCAGTCTTTGCTGGCATCAGCATGTGTTATAGTCGGTGCTCATGTCCCTTTAATTTCCATCACGTCTTTCTCCTCAACACTGGAAACATCGCCCTCCTGGTGAACACGTGTTTGAGGTTTTCTTGTAATGAAATTAATTGTACAACATCCAGTGATGGTTGCCCCCTTCCCTGCCCTGCGTGGAAGGTTCACGTCTTCTCCTACATCAGATCCTCCAAAAACTAGCAGAGCCTCACTCGGGCATTTCACGGAAGTTGTCTTTCTCTGGACAGTGAACACTAAGGCAATGTGGCTGTCGTAGGGATGTTAAAGGGAACCCTTGGTCTCTTTCTTCCCATGCTGGGTACAGCTCCAGGACCTCTGTCCCTGGGCCCTGAGACAAGGCCCTTCAGCTGGAGAGAAGGCGCCAGCAGCGACGCTTTTAGAAGCCTCTTATGGAGGAGCTGAACGTGAGCGTGTTTTTGCATTTACATGGACGCCGTTACCAGATGAGCCGCTTTCCTGACGACCGTGCAGAACAGAGCAGGGAGCTTCGCCTTGTAACGCGCTGTGTGGGTGCTGCTGCTTCATCATCAGACCAGACTCAGGGCTGAGTTAGGCCTGGGTTCAGATGCGGTGTTAACCTCTGAGGTGGCTGTGTCGGGGCAGCCCCCGCTGCAGTGGGGGCAGTTTCAGCCCATGACTCTGCCCCTAGGGAGTGCCACATCAGCTCTGCTCTGCAGAGACAGCTGCACCCATAAGACCACATGATTTGGGGTAGACATGTTGGTTCCCACAGTTTCAGAGGCTAGAAGTATGAATTCAAGGAGTTAGCAGGGTTGGTTCTTCCAGGAGGCTTGGCGGGAGGATCTGTCCTGGCCTCTCTCCCGGCTTCCGGTGGTCACTGGCCATCCCTGAGTCCTGTGGCTGCAGCCACGTCACTCCAGGCTCTTCCTCCACCTGCAAACGCCTCCTCCTCATATGTCTCTGTGTCTCCCATCCCCTTCCTGTAACGACACCAGTCATCAGGTTTAGGGTCCACAGGAATCAAGTAAGACCTCACTGGAATCTGGTTCTATCTCTAAGACTGTCCTTCCAAATAAGGTCACATTCAAAGGCAGCTGGGTTAGGATCTCAACATATCATCTTGGGACACACAATTCGACTCGCAGCAAAGCAGTTACCAGATTTTTATCTTCTTTTTAAAGGGCCTTGTTCCTCTTGGTTTAGACCAACGGGCTGAGCTTGTGTGAGTAAAACCTCTATCGCATGCACATCTTCCTCCTTGCAGGGTGCTGAGGGGGAGGACAGGCTTTCCTGGGAATGGTGAGACCGTCACTGACAGTCCTGGGACCTCTCATTTGACCCTTGTTGCAGCTGAGAGACGGGCACGTGGTGGGGATCACAACCCCACACACAGGATCACATGCGCTGAGCCTCGAGATGCCACACAACACCAGTGGCCTTGAGTCCTGTGTGGGTAGGACTGGGGCTGGAGCCCGTAGGCACTGTCCACGCCGTCCCACAGATGCACTTGATGCCAGGTACTGCTCCTCAGGCACAGTTCCCTTGAGCTGAGTTCCCTTTTCTGCTCATTGCTCCTCTTGAATTTTCCCCACAGATAAAATATTATATGTCGAGCTCTCACTTGGGAATCATGGCTGCATCTTTATTTTGTAATTGCCCTGAAGTGTTGGACCTGACTAAAATATCTGGCTGGGCACGGTGGTTCGTGCTTGTAATTCTAGCACTTTGGGAGGTCAAGGAGGGGGCATTGCTTGAGCCCAGGAGTTTGAGACCAGCCTGGGAAACACAGCAAAACCCTCATCTCCACAATCTTTTTTTTAAATGAGCTGGGTGTGGTGGCACACACCTGTTGTCCCAGATACTCAGGAGGCTGAGGCAGGAGAATCAGTTGAGCCTGGGGGTTCGAGGCTGCAGTGAGCCATGATGTGCTATTGCACTGCAGCTTGGGTGACAGAGCAAGAACCTGTCTCAGAACAAAACAAAACAAAACAAAACAAAAAACAAAAACAAAAAACTAACGTATGGCCACAATCTTAGCAAGTAACAGAGAAACATCCTCTTTAAAGCAACTCCATTGAACAAGAATCAACTTTGCTACAGAGAGATGCAGACAGCCAAGGATGGCGTCTCCAGAAGGAGAAGCCCTGGAGTCTTGGAGCCAGTTCTAGGATTCCCAGGGCCATGTGAATGTCTGCTCCTTCCCAGACTGGGGCTAGCCGTGGACCACCCTGATGCCCCTGGGAGCATCTCAGCCTCCGTGGGGCCTCTTGCTGCTCAGGTGCCTGGCCCCCTCCCACAGGTCCTAGCGGAGGCTTCCGCAGTCATGTAGATTACAAGGGGTACTGAGCTAAACGTGTTTAGAGTGTTCCATTATTACAGATTACTTTTAAATGAGACTGTGTAGCACTTATCGTAAATTTATCTCCTATCGACATACTTGTCACCTGTATTTTTATAATTAGTCCACTTTGATTTAATATTAACCATTCAAATGAAGCATAAACAAGAACAGTTTCTGAACAGCCATGATCCCCATCCTGGGAGAGAATCGTAATAGGTTTAGAGAGATGCTCAGCCCTCCCGAATCCCCACCTAAGGGCAGGACTTAGATCAGATTATCTGGGCAGAGCAATTCCTAAAGGGCTGTCTGTTTCCTGTGGCTGAAATGCTGGCTTGAGTCTGAATGCTCACAGAGCTTAGGATGAACTCAGGAATCACAACTCCCTTTCAAGAAAATGCAGAGGGAGAAAAGGAGGATGCAGGTAAGAGGCGTGATGCAGGAAGCTTTGCGTCTGTGCAGCGCCCGCAGCCCTTTAGGCTTTGTTGTGTCTGTTAACTTTCTTTCTTTCTTTTTTTTTTTTTTTTGAGATATGGTCTCACTCTGTCACCCAGGCTGGAATGCAGTAGTGAGATTATGGCTCACTGGGGCCTCAACTTCCTGGGCCCCAGAGTAGCTGGGACCACAGGTGCGCACCACCGTGCCTGGCTAAGTTTTATATTTTTGGTAGAGACAGCATTACTTCACATTGCCCAGGCTGGTCTTGAACTCCTGAGCTCAAGTGATTCACCTGCCTTGGCCTCCCAAAATGCTGGGACTACAGGTGTGGGCCACTGCACTCAGTGTGTTTCTGTCACCTCATTTTGATTCTCACGACTTCCCCACAAGCGCACTCCTGTCAACCTTTCTTGGTAGAGAAGTCGAGGCACAGAGAGGCTCTGTCATTGGCCCTAGAGGTCCCAGGACAGCTCAGGCTCATGGTGGGGCTGGGGCTGTGCCGTTGCCTGGGATGTCTGAGGCTTGTGGCTCAGGCAACTGCAGCTCCTGGCTCCTCGTCTCTTCCTGGGCTCCCCCTTTGCTCATGAGAGGTGACGCCCACCTTCCGTGGCTCAATGTCCATCGTCTCCCTGCCCCCATGGAGCCATGGAATGCCCTGGGCTGCTTGGGCAGCCCCTCCTTGCACTTGGAGACAAGACCTCACTGCTGAGTGCTGGTCCCCTCGCCAGGTACTCATTTGCTGGAATGTCCCCCACACAGGTGCAAAGAGCACAGTGACCAGGAGGGTGTGCTCCCTCCTTGGTGCCACTCACAAAGCCTGTCTGGCCTTAAAATACCAGCGAGGCTGTCCCCAGGCAGAGGTGGCTCGCCTCCGAGGACACCTGTCCACACATGTAACCTGCAGGAAGGTGCCCATCCAGGCTCTCTCCAGGTGGGTGCACCCTCAACCTTCTACCCAAACCCTAAGTGGTGCTCTGCTCCCAAGGACGGCTCACGGTGCTCTGCGGTCATGACGTCCACATGTCCCGTCCTTCTCCCGACACATGCAGAGATGCCGCTGAGTGGGGGAACTTCCGGGACCCTGTGGGAGTGCAGGCAGGAGTCACTGAACACTGGGGCCTGGGCATGGGAGGCCTCGGGCTGCCTGGGTTTCCACCCTTGGTGGCCATTTGTTAGTCCTGCAGCCTTGGCCACAGTCACCTCATTTCTGGTTTCAGTCCCCTCCTGTGTAAATGAGAAATGACACAGCTTTTTGGGTTGTTCTGATGGTTAAGAGAAGATACAGAGAAAGAGCTTGGCCCAGCCCTGGCACAGAGCAGGCCTTCAAGAATTGAACTGGCAGAGGCTGTGGCCATGGCAGGTCTCAGACCAGGGTGCTCTCTCCTGACCTGCTAGGAATGGACTTCCCCTTGGGAGAAAGCTCTTTTTCCAGCTACAGGGGATTCTCATTATTCACCACAGCTATGTCCTGTAAAGTCACTGTGAACATTGAATTCGTGAGTACTGAGGCCTTGCTCCTAGGGGAAATAGAGGAGTAGGCTCCTACAAGCTTCTGACCACTTTCTGCCAACCAATCAGTGCATGACCTTGTGTTATATGTAGAAGTTTAAGGCATCTTATTAAGTACACATTGCTGATTCTTTAACCCTGGACTCGTGGCCAGCAGCACAGTGGCTCATCCTTGGCAGGACTTCTCTAACACACGCAGTTCCTCCTGATGGCACGTCACAGGCATCCTGCCTTTAGGAACACTGCACAGGACTCCGGCTCTGTGCTCCATGAAGCAGTGAATACACCAACAAAATCCATAAAAATGCAAAACGTGACCTGCTAAACAGACTGCGCAAAGGATGCGCGTTTACGGTGCGGGGCTGAGAGGAGAAGACGGAGCCAAGACAGCCAGCCTGCCAACCTCAGCGGGAACGTGCCTGTGGCCGCATGGATGCTGTCACCTCTCTGCACACGTTCGTTAGTGACTGCGAAAGTACCACGAGTATCGACTTTAGCAAGCAGTTAAATTCGCAGACGTGGAATCCACGAATAACAGGCATCAACTGTATCTGCTCTTTGTATTCCCAAATATCCATGACTTCCACCAAGCAGGGACCTCAGCTGACCATTCAAGGTGACTCTTCCACCAAGCAGGGTCCTCAGCTGACCATTCAAGGTGACTCTTCCATCAAGCAGGGTCCTCAGCTGACCATTCAAGGTGACTCTTCCATCAAGCAGGGTCCTCAGCTGACCATTTAAGCTACCGCACAACCAACTCAACTTCTTTCAGCCTTAACCCAAGTCCTTTTTGGCACACGTTGGCTGATTCACAGGCCCTTCCGCAGACCACTCCCCACATGCCCAGGAGGATTCCTCCCGAGGTCTTGCTAAGAAAGAGGGTGTGATTCCAGAGGGAGAGTGAGGTCCAGGCTGGAGGGACCCTGTCTACACACCTGTTCTCCCCACTTCCTTCTTACAGGTGCATAGAACTAGGCTGTTCGTCACCTGGGCCTTACCTGTCCTGGTTCTCCGTGTCCTCCCCTGTACAAACAGACAGCGCTGCCTCCCCACAGGGAGCAGAGGGTGCATGAGACGATGCAGGTGGACTTTGGGAACTGCTCCCGGCAGAGGGTGCTCAGTGCACACAATTGGGGGGGTCCCTATTTGTCTTGCCAGAAAAGGCACATCCTTCCATCTCTGCTGAGCTTACGTGCAGCTCTGGGGAACCCATGTTCTCGCACATCCTCTGGTCAGCCACTCTAGGCCCGGAGTGCCCCCGGCCTACCAGGCCTCAGAGGATGGAGACTCGCTGCCCACCTGTGTCTCCCGACCCATAATCCGGGGGTCTCCTCAGGGACCACACCTTGACCCCCGTCCTCTGCATCCTCACAGAACCTGACCCAGAGCCACACACATGGGGAGACTAAACTCCTCCACTCCTCGAAGGAGTGACATTTATATCTATTCAGATGCTCCTCACAAATCAGACTTCCAATGTATGAAATATTTTCATGTGATTTATTGCTGCTTCCAGGAAGAAAATCTGAATTTAGACCAAGTCATCAATATTATTTAGTATTTACAACCCCTCACATTAATGTGAAATTCTGAAGCCACCATCTCCATTTGTCTGCTCTGTTTCTGCATCCCAGTAAATGGAGCCGGTGTTCCCTGGTGAATTACCAGCTGGCATGGCCGTGATTGAGTTTAACTTCCCTGTGGCATCTGATCACTGGCACAGGTTGGCTCACAGGGGACATTACAGACCCCTTCATGCACACACCCCAGGCCATTACCCCGGATTGGAGGGAGGCCCTGTGGGGACTGAGAAGAGCATGGAGAGCTTTGGTGCCAGATGCAGGCAGTGGCTGAGAGCGAAGGCATGTCCTGGCTGATGGCATGGCTCCCAGCTCTTCTCTGCTGGTGCCAGAATAAGAGCTAAAGCAGATGCCTCCCTGCCTGGGGGAGCCCCTCAAGAGGGGTGTCTAGGTGGGTGGGAGGGTCACTCCCACCGTGCTCTGTGCCTATGGGAGCCCCTGAGCCTGGGCAAGACCCCATTAGTGCAATATTGGGTGAGTGGGCAGAATGGTTATTTTCTAAACTCTCAGGCTTCCCCCAGGATCAGCCATGCTCTCCTGGTGATGAGGTCCTGCTGTTCCGCCCCATCGCTGGAGTTTGGAGTCAGCCCGGGAGTCCCCGGGGGGCTACAAGTCACCCTTGCGGTGGGCCAGGCTCAGTGAGGCCAGGGCTGTGGAGGGGAGGCCTCGCCCCAGGATGGCTGGTGGGGGAGATGCTCAGGACCAGGCTCTGGCAGCCCTACTGGGGGGCTTCCTCCAGCCATGCTGCTGTGGGCAGCTTGTCCCCATGGCCTGTGCTACCCCATGCCAGCCTCCCCCACCACCCGCCCCTGCTGATTGGATCTGTCCTTTGCTTTCTTTCCCTAGTGATGAATTTTGGAGGTGAAGTGCACAGCACGGTGTGACTGCCCCCTCCCGTGCCGCCAGCACAGAGATGCGAGAGACCCACAGAGGGACATTGCTCCTCTTTCCTCGCTGAGAAATTGTTCACAAATTGTTCAGGTAGAGTTCAAAGTTCTGAGTCACTAAGCCAGGCCCTGCTCTATGGGGCCCAGAAGGGTCTGGAATGAGCTATTCTCTACCCAAAGCAGCGGTGGCGCGGTCATGGCCCGAGAGCTGAGCTGAAAACGGTGAAATTAGGAAGCGCTCGGTTTTAAATGAGCGCTTTTCATGCTCAGGTCTCAGAAGCTGCTCTCCAGATGGTTTGTGTCTTTCTGTTTGAAACGTGAGCCACCTTTGCTGCCCTTGGTAGGTTGGAACCCGCAGCCCTTTTGATCTAGAAACTGAAAATGCCGGAGGATTTTTGGAGGTCACTTTCCTGGTCAATCCAAGGTCAGGGATCACAGACACTGGAGCAGACCCATCTGTTTTGATGCGGTGACTTGAGGACGATGGGAGGCTTCCTAGAAGCCGGATTCTGGGCAGCAAGACTCCCATCCAGAGGCCACTCCGAAGGGGGCGCGGACGGAGCCTGGTGCGAGACGCTTTCAAACCAGTCTTTCAAAGGGCAGGCGGGACGTGGCTGCGGCTCCCTTCCCCTCCCACATTCTCCTTTCCTTTGTATGTTTCGACAAACTCTGTGTGTAAGCTGCGGGTGGGGGAGTCCCACGGCCCGGCAGGAGGGACGACGGGCCGTCCTCATCTCTGTGGCCCCGGCTGCAGTGAATCCACACGTGGACCCTGAGGGGAAGGTGTGCCCTGTTCCGGGGAGGGGGGGCTTTCCACACCATGTTCTCCACCCATGGCCCGCCCAGCACCACCCACAGAGGGGAAGGAGGGCAAGGTCTCCAAGCCCAGGCTGGGCTGCCCTGGGGCACTCTCTGCCGCCCCAGGCCTCAGCACACCGGTCCCCATGGCTCCCCTGCAGCTGGTCCTCCGCTGGTGGGTGGCTGTGTCTGCAGTGTCTGCAGTGTCGCGGACACCCCACCCCATCCCCATGTTAAGATGCTACATCCAGAGCCCAGAAGATCCTGAAACACGCGCAGAGTTGGGGGCCGTCTGGTCAACCGCCCCATCCCCTGCCTCCTATCCCAGTGCCTTCTCAGCCCCCGACCTGGGGTAACAGCTGCTCGACATCCACACAGTTCAACCTCTGGGAAGCTGTTTAAGGCTGATTTTCTCCACGTAATTTCACATTGTTCAGTTTTTAAGTACCTTCCATTTTGATGCAATTAATGCTGAAGCTTTTCCTCTGGCAGTCAATGACGTATTTCTAGGACTCACTCCACTACAATGTCATTATTTCATCCTCATAACAAGGGAGCCAGTTCTCCTGTTGATGACAGAATATGCAGCAAGTCTCCTCACACCTGCCCCGTGTTAACTAGAGTAACAACGGCCACCCCGCCCTGTGAGCGACATTTAGAGCTAGGAGGGAGCCCCTCATTTCACACCTCTGCCCGCTTTTCGGCTGAAGAGTTGAATATGGATTTAGAGAATCATTAACAGGCTGGCATCAATATTAAGAGTGACTCGATATACAGGAATTACCTGTGGCTGAACTGTCTGTCTCCAGATTTCTAAGCGATCGCAAACACTACACATGGCCTGGGAGCTTTGAGGAATTTTCACAGAGAGGTGGGAGAGTGCCAAAGAAACCAATCAGGAAAGGGTTTGAATCCACATTACTCCACAGGGTGCGTGAATGAGTGGACGCATGGATAGGATATGACAGGAAATGATCTCACAGGACGTGGCTCGGTGCAAGAGATCCACAAGGAACCTGCTGGGGCGTGAATCCCCATCACACTGAGGTCACAGCTCGCTGGCTTCCATGTGCCACCCTTTCTGCAGAATCATGACCCCTGCACCACCCTCCATGGCCCCCACAATCCCTGGTCCTTTCCAAGGGCCTGCAGGCTCCTGGTGCACTTCCCTATCTGTCCCATTCCCAGACTTATCTGACATCTGGACGTGAGTTCTGCAGTGAGAAGATCGCTTCTTTAGTTTTCTAGGTTCTATTTTCAGATAAGATATAACATTTATGATTGGTTCCTAAGCATACAGGTAAAGCATTTAAACCATCACTGGGCCCTCTTTCAAGTCAGGACCGCATGCATATGTTGTTCATGAAGAACCTGAATGAAAATGCCCTCTGAGGTGGTTACGCAGCCGCTGGGGTTCATGCGTGGATATGCAGCTGGCCCTCCATATCCATGGGTTCTGCATCCATGAATTCACCGCCCTCTCATCAGAAACCACTGGAAAAAAAATGGCATCTGTTCTGAACATGCAGAGGCTTGTTTTGCTTGTTCTTCCCTAAACAATAAATTATAACAACTATTTACATAGCATGCGCATTGTATTAGGTATTCTACGTAATCCAGAGATGATGTGAAGTACCCTGAGGATGTCTTATGTTGCATGCAAACACTACAAAATCTTAGACCAGGGACTTGGGCATCTGTGGATTTCGATATCTGTGAGAGGTCTTGGAGCAAACCCCCCAGGGATCCTGAGGGGCGACTATAGGATGTACATATTTGCTGTAAGGGATGGGCTCACAAGACCACGGACACTGACCAGTCTGAGGGGCGACTATAGGATGTACATATTTGCTGTAAGGGAGGGACTTACAAGGGGATGGACACTGACAAGTCCCACAATATCCAAGGTGAGTCGGCAGGCTGGAGACCCGGGAGAGCTGCTGGTGTAGCTTCCAGTTTGAAGCCCGGCAGGCTCAAGACCAAGGAAGAGCCGGTGTTTTCGTCTGAGTCTGAAGGCAGGAAAAAAGCTGATGTCTCCCTTCAAAGGCTGGCAGGAAGAAAGAATTCTCTCTTATCTGGGAGACAGTCAGCGTTCGTTTTATTCAGGCCTTCAGCTGATGAATGAGGCCCGCCTGCCTCATTCACCAATGGGAGGGGGCAATCTACTTAATTCACCCCACCCATTCAAAATGTTAGTTTCATCCCAAATACCCTCACCCACACACTCAGAATAATGTTTGACCAAATGCCTGGGAATCCAGGGGCCCAATCAAGCTGACACAGGGAGGGAAGGCTCCTTGAGGTTGACACCAAGTGTCACTTCCATGAGGGATTGCTGTGGCATCACCTGCAGGGCTCTGACCTCAGCCGCCTCCGCGGTGGCCCAGGCAAGCCCTTTACTGTTGGTGGAGTGGTGCTGCGCTCCCCAGCCTCTCCCTCCACCCTCCCCTTTGCACTGCCACAGGCACCCTCCCCACTCAGGTTGGGGCTGGCTAGGAGGGCCCTGCTTAAGCTGTCTCCCTGCATGAACCATTGTCCTGCTTTCTGCTGGGCCTGGAGGACTGAGGTCCTGAGGGCGGAGGCCATGTCTTGTTCATCTCAGCACTCAGGACCGTGTCTGGAAGGAGAGGAAGCCCAGCCAACAGCTGTGAATCCCACCCTCACACGCACTGCCCCCTCCCTTCTGTGCCAACCAGAATCACTGAGAATTTCCTCTTGGTTCTAGAAAACAGGGTATCCTCTGCTTTTAAACGCCCACTGGTGCCGGGGAACCCACATGCCAGAACTGCATGTACACCAAGGGGCATGCTGAATGGTGTGTTTCTTTGGAATCACCATTTGTTCTCGCTTATCCCCTCTGGCCATCCTCACTGCTTCTGCATCTCATCAGCTTTCCGAATCCCATTGGAAGCTGCTGGGCTGGAAGCTGTGCTCTCTGGCCTTCTCCTGGCAGATGGTTCACTCACAGACAGACATGTGCTCCTCCTCGGGAGGCCTGACTACTCTTAAAGCCTCTTTCCCCCTAAAATCCTGATCTTTCTGGGGAGAGTCTTCAGATCCTGATCAACGCTGGGTGGACTCTCCGTCCATAGAACACATGGCCTTTTAGAAAGATAATCTTTCAGTACAACATGAGAAATGGAAGCTGAGTTCACTCTAGGTCAGAGTTAAAGTTTGCATTTGGGAATGAGAGCTTTTCTTTCATGTAGACTTCATCAATTTATTATACCATCAGTGTCGGCTATTAAACTGGAGGAATAGGATTTGGAGGCTGGGTTGAGATGGCTCTGCAAAGAGTGTGTTGAAAGAAGTGTAGAAAGTAAAGAAGAGCTTCCTCTTCAAAGACTTTCCTCCCCATCCAATTAGGGATAAATAGTAACTTATCTTAGAAGCAAAATTTATTCAAAGACATGTGCTAACATTCTTAAATATCTATTGGCTGCAATAAAAAAATCAATGTACTTTATGATTTTAGCTCCCACAATGTAGCTTAAATATTCACCCTGGCATGCTTATACTGGTCCAAGCAAGCATTAGGTCATAGCCGGTTCCTCTTCCTTATTTAAAAGCATTTTTACCTTTCTCAGCATTCCACAAGTTATTTCCTCCTTCCTTTGTTCTCCTGTACCTTCACCTCTTTTAAAAGTTCTAAGTTGCTAGCCAGTCGGGACAAATACCGAATGTGAAGTCCCGTTCCAGCCAATGGAAACCGGACACAGCAGTAGGATGGACGCATGAGGTTATAAATGACCCTGCCTCCTTTGTTCGGTGTACTCTCATGGCAAAACTGCTGGCAAGTGTACCCTTTCTGCAGAAAGTAAAAATGGCCTTGCTGAGGAAATTAAATTTATGTTCAAGTGCTGTTTCTTTATAGCACCGGAGAACAAGCATTTCTAACAGAAGGTTAGTGTTGGCTTATGGCGTGCTTCCTCTACCTGCAGCCACATTTCACCTGCATGCCTGTTGTACGTCAATATTAATAATTAAGCAAATTTTTCTTTTCTTTCTTTTTTTTTTTTTTTTTGACAGGATCTTGCTCTGTTGCCCAGGCTGACGTGCAGTGATGCAATCTCAGCTCACTGCACCTTTGATCTCCTAGGCTCAAGTGATTCTCCCACTCCAGCCTCCTAAGTAGCTGGGACTACAGGTATGCACCATCATGCCTGGCTAATTTTTAAAAAATATTTTTGTAGAGACAGGGTCTCACCATGTTGCCTAGTCTGGCCTCAAACTCCTGGGCTCAAGTAACCCTCCTGCTTCAGCCTCCCAAGATGCTGGGAAATACTTGTAAGGCATAAGCCACCATGCCCAGCCTTGCAAATGTTTTCTATGATAACATTTGCATAGTTTGTTTGCATTTTTTCTTGCAAATGCAAGAGGCGGTGTGAGGGTAGGTGTATCTGACTTGCGCTGAGGAGCAGGACTGTCCACTTACTACAGAGAAGCATCTACTGCCACGACAGGCTTGCCTTACAAAAGACGTGAGAATCCTGCAGAGGTTTTGAAGTTTACATTTACTCTTTGGAGTGAAGAAGGGGGTTACTTCTTTCTTTGCTTTAAGTTACAGGCAAAATAAGCAATCAAAGCAGTAATGTGCAGGCCATTGCTTGAAGGGACAGTTGGGGGTGGAGACATCAGAGGAAGGGATGACATGCAGGGGTCACAGCAGCAGAGCAGGGAGCCTGGGACACAGGGCCGGACTCTCGAGGGGCACATTCTGCTCCTTCCAGGGAGGCTCCAAGAACGGGTTGGACCCTGGCTCCCCACCGAGCCAGCTGCTTTGGTCAGGCTCAGCAGTCCCCACGCCCTCACCTGGAGAAGACCCACCATCCACCAGCAGCCACACCCACCCAGGAGGGAGATTTCTGCCTGGGGACCAGGACACTGTAACAAAACTAGTAACTGGGTTGAAGCAGGAGAAAAGGGAAAATGAGGCAGGAAAATTCAAAGTTGGATAAAGGGCAGAGTGAGTTAAAGCAGAAAACAGAGGCAAAGTGGAGGGACAGGTGAGCAAGAAGAAAGACAGAAAGCAGAGGTTCGGCAGCTAAAACAAAGGTGAGATTCAAAAGTGAGCAAGGACCCCGTGGCCGGCAGGATCCCGGCCAAATCAGTCAGCGGCAGCTCTTCAGAGATGGGCATGCGCCTTACAGAGAAAAAGTATCCTTCGCATCACCCCATATGAAAATCGGCTACCTAAGGTTCATGCACAGGGGCTGCGAACCGTGCAGGTACTTAGAATTATGGGATGGAGGTGACTCACAAGCACAAAGGGGCCAAAGTAACTAAGCAGAACACCCACCCCATCAAGAAAGGGCAGACACGGCTAGAGATTAGGCAGCTTTGGAAAGAGAAGGAAAAATAAAAACGCTTAAAAGGACCCAAACTACACCAAACGGATGCGGTTCTCATCTTGGAGAGGTCAGTCCACTCCCCGCTCCGAGAGGGGGACACTGTGCTTCATACACTGGCCCTGCCTTGCTGTGCTATCTATGTGTGTCTCGCCCAGTTCTTTGTACCAAGAGCCTGGGCCTGTGTGGCACCATCTGGTCACGGGGTGACACTGGTTTTTTAGGGCAACACCATAGCGTGGTGGTCGAGCGTGTGCACAGGGACCCCCGGCCTTCCCCATGCTCCTTGCGTTCCCCCGGGCAAGTCACTTCTGCTGTCCATGCCTCTACCTCACTTGCCTGCAAAGTGGGGATAATAACCGTATCCAGCTCATAGACTGTTGCAGGGATTAAATGAGCGGGGACATGAGAAACGCTAGTGGGTCAGCTCCTAGAATTACCTGACATTCTTTGCTTTCTTACACAGCCCCAGCAAGATGCCTTTTCCTTCACATGACGGGGGTGTGGAATTCCACCTGCCGCAGCTGTGAGTGGGGAGGGGGGTTAGGACTGCAGTAGGCTGTTTAGCTCTGTCCCTGTTACTCTTGCTAACTTACAGGCTGTCTGGAAATTTAGGGTTAAAATTTTCCTAGGAAAATAAGAGTCAATAAACAATCAAGAAAGAGGCAGAACGTGCGAAGAGAGTGGGTTTTTGGGAAGGTGAATTGGCATTGCTGCACCCCTGGCCATGAGCGTAGCAGACGCAATTTAATCCACCTCAGAGATCACGCTGCACACATCATCGGATGTTTGATATGTGGCCATTGCAGCTGCATGTGTATGTTCATAGTTTCAGCTCCACCTCTTGGTTAACTTTCAGAGATTTCAAACATGTTTATTCAAAATGTAAGTGGAAAGTGTGAGTCAGCTTTCTACTCACCGTGCAGCTCGCCGTCCAGCTCTGAGAGTTCCGCTCAGCTTCTGACTCTGACCTTAGCACGCCCTGTCAGAACCCTGACTCCAGGGCATGGAATAAAATTGTGAAAATGATGGGAAAAAGGAGAATCCATGGTTAGCCTTTTCTAGTTATGCAACGCACTTGCGAAATTATGAAACTCAAAACATAATGATTTTCATGGCAAAGTTGCAAAAGAAAAGATTTGCAAATACCTAGCAAATGTCCGTGCAGGAACAAATGGGCAGGGATTCCATGAGCGTGCCGCCTACGAAATCACAGCTTCACGTCAAGCAACTGTCAGAGCACTGCAGGGACATTCAAGGCCCCAAATCACAGGGTCCATTAGCCGGGCAATTTCTTGACAATTACACTTCTGCTTCCACAGTTGCCTTCTCTTCCCCTTGTAGAGGCCAAGATAATATCACTTGCCAGATTGCACTTACCTTGGATATGAGCAGATTTTATTTAAATACAGGCTCCTACCAAGCTTGCTGGCACCATCTCCCTCCTGATGGCTCCAGTCCCCTGCAGGTGGTTCCCTAGTTCTGCAATTGGTGGGAGTCCCAGGCAAGTCTCCTCCCAAGCTGTTGTCCAGGAATAATTAACAACAGCATTTAGATAACAAGGTTTCTCCTGAATGTGGACATTAATTGAAGAAGAGCTCACTGTGGCAGTGACGTCCATTGTGACAAATTGACCCTCGCTCCTGCTCCCCGGGCGTGCAGATAATCTCCTCTGTGCTGTCAGTTTGCTATATTATTTTGGAAGGCAAGATAAGCAGCGTCTTATAAATTAGACCACATGTACTTTGGAAGAGTTTCTCTTTAGGCTCTCTGTAGCCTCCTCAGTATTATTAAAATTTTGCTTGCATTTTACTAAGGTCATTGTGGTGGTGGGATAGAGACAGTGTGAGCAGAAACACAGGGTTCACACCCAAATGTTGACTGCAGAGTCATATTCATTTACAAGAGAAAATCTCCCCTGAAATAATGTGGCCGGGTGACAGAATCTATCCAAATGGAGTGGAAACTTGAAGATAAAAAGAGACACAGAACTCAAGTCAGTTGATGGACATATTTTATTTTTGGAAAAACATTTTGTCAATTATCTTATAGGTCACAAACAATTGCTAAGTAACCAAAAGTTGCAAACTTTTGGTTTAAGAAATCTCAGCCTGGAATTTGTAAGTTCAGTTTACATGTGACTTGCAACAAGTAGGGGGTGCAGTCCTGAAGGTGCTGACTCCTGCCCCATTGAGCACAGGGATTGAACCTCCCTGGACCTCAGCTGCAGGCTGGAGGCATAAGGCAAGCCTGGATCTCACCCAACCTCACTGCTTCACTTGCAAAGACTTCCAGGTGGGTGCTTCTTGATAGGCAGGGAGCCGGCATTGGCAACGTGGCTATTTGATGAGTGTGCACTGTGACTGTCTCCCTGAAAAGGTCTTTGCCCATGGAACCCTTGAGTTTGGTGTACACACAGACGGGGCTTGTGGGTGACATTTCCTGGAAGACACTTTGAGAGCCAGACTAGCCTCTGTGTACTGAGCTTCTCTGAATGAGTAGCACAATACCAGGATCTGAACTCCTTCTCCTATTCTTTATAACACGACCTCTTTTCACGTTAAAAATATTAGATAATAATAACGGGACTAGATGAGCCTAGTTGGAGATTGAAACTTGCATCAAACACAAGCTCTCGAGTTTTTTGAGGTCAAAGGGCTATCACATGGCCTAGAGATGGAGCTGGGAAGTGTCCACAGTGGTCATATGACTTATGTCTACTCAGTGGGGGGCTTTGTGTCATTTACCATCATAAGGGTTCTCAGTGTGGATCCTGCTCAGCCCAGCTTTCAAACAAATGATAAAAGCATCCACTGTGAAGTCTACTGGGGCATGGAGGATGGGTGCTTCTCTTGGGGCAAGGCTGAGAGTGGAAATGTACCCACACTTCAGGCCCACTTAGTTATGGCCTGGCCCTAGACCATGAGGTGTCTGGATCAAGTCAGCTCTTAAACAAATAGGCCCTGTTGAGCTGTTTTGTGTCATGGCTGATTTTGAGGCTTCAAAGTGAACTTGGGATATCATAGAAGTCCATCCATCCATCCATCCATCCATCCATCCATCCATCCCTCCATCCATCCACTCATCCATCCACTCATCCATCCATCCATCCATCCACTCATCCATCCACTCATCCATCCACTCATCCATCCATCCATCCATCCATCCATCCACTCATCCATCCACTCATCCATTCATTTACTTAATTCAACATGGATTTGTAGGAAGCTCCATGGGCCAGGCTCTGTGCCACATGACAAGTCTACAATAGTGAACACGAGAGACACAGTCCTCAGACTCCAGAGTTGACTGCAACATGGTGAGACGCACTGCAATTGGCTGACAAGTGCCCTCTCTCCAGGTGCCACGTCCTAATCCACAGGACCTGTGCGTGTGTCTCCTTATGTGGCAGAAGGGCCTTTGGAGGTGTGATGTGGTGAAGGACCTGGAGTTGGGGAGATTCTCCTGGACTCTCTGGGAGGGCCCACTGAAATCACAAGTGCCCTCATAAGAGGGAGGCAGAAGGGTGCGAGTCAGGCCATGGGATGGGACAAGAGATCAGAGAGCCAGAGAGAGGCGTGAAGAGGCTACATGGCTGGCTCTGAAAATGGGGGAAAGGCCAGCGGCCCAGGAACACAAGTTCCTCTAGAACTTGGAAAAGAAAGAAGCCATTCTTCTCTAGGGGATCCAGGAGGAATGCAGCCCTACTGATGCCTTGACGTTAGCCCATAAAGGGACTTTGGGCTCTGACCTTCAGAACTGTGGATGATAAATGTGTGTTGCTTCCAGCTCCTTAGCATGGAGGCATTTGCTGCAGGAGCCACAAGAAATGGAGGGGAAATAAAAAAAAAATGAAAGAGGACAAGTCTCAGCTACCTGAGAGACTGAGGCAGGAAGATCACTTGAGCCCACAAGTTCGAGGTTACAGTGAGCTATGATGGTGCCACTGCACTCCAGCTTGGGTGACAGAGCAAGACCGAAAAAAAAAAAAAAAGAAATGGAAACAGGGACAGTGCCGAAGACCCTTAGAGCAGGGAGCAACTGGGGCTGTGACAGGGCCTCCGGTCTCCTTTGAGACTTCCTGGAGGAATTCCTTCCCCATGCTGGAGTGGATGTGGGGTCAGGGAAGATGCTCAGAAGGAAGTAACGGGTTGAGGTTTGGAAGATGGGAGATGAGGTGAGATGAGAGAGTCTCAGCCAGAGAGCAGCGAATGTTAAGGCTGGAGGTCAGTTCAAGTGGAGCCCACCTGGGGAACAGGAAGACCCTCAAGAGGACTGGGATGTGGAGGGAAAGGGGGCCCAGGTCTGAGGTGGCAGAGACCTGCGGGGATGGACCTGCAGGGCCTTGGGGACAATCTGTGACCCAACATTTGCATACTGAGCCAGGAGCTACTCCAGGTTTGTGTTTGTATCTCAGAAAAGGATCACTTTGGCTTCGGAAATGGGGAGAATTGCATTAGGGGTGCCCAAAGGATCTCCATGAACACACAGAAGTGCCCCCTGATTAAGGAATCCCCAGGCCTCCACACCATCACCAAAGACCTTCCACAGTCATTTGCGGCAGGAAGGAACACAGCCATGGGGACAGTCTGGGGATCAAGGGATTGCACATGCTTTACTTCTGCCATTCAGGCACAAACTCACCTTCTACATGCAACATTCAGCTATTAATTCTCAATTTCAAAGCAGTGAAGGCTTGTTGTGCAAAATAAACAAACCAAAAACACACAACTCGGACGTTTCCCAGCCGCCCCCATTTCTCTAACTCTTTCCCCTCAGGCTGGTGCCAAATCCCCTGCCATGCTCCCCACACTCCCAGCCCTGTTCATCAGAAAGCTGCAGCTTCGACGGGGCTTTTGGTGACACACACAGGGTCATAGAAGGTGGGGGCCACGTCCCCATCTGGGAAGCGGATCCTGACCATTCCCCTGAGAGCAATGTCTTCTGTTGGTGAAAAGAGCATACAACTTAGAATCGGGCACCGTGGTGGCCCTAAAAAGGCTGAATCACGAGGATGTTCAGATAAAGAGAAGAGAAGAGCAGCCCCTCCCCAGCCATTGCCCTTGGAGGTAACAAAGTGGCTTTGATCCCTTTCATTCTAAAGACGGAGACAGGTAGATGCTGGCGGTGCTGGAGACTCGTGGGCTGCGCCGTTGCTGACTTCCTGCAGCGTTGGGGATTTGACACTGTCATGACGGTCTCAGACTCAGCCCTTGTTTTGCAGACTCCCAAATGGAAAAGGCCGAGTGACAAAGTTTATCAACCCGTATGCAAACGGCAGAACACACTGACGGAGACTGGAGGGCACGCCCATAGGAAGACTCCGTAAGTGTGAGAGGGAGGCCCAAGACTCCACTCCAGAAAACCCACTTTAAAACATCAAAATGTCAGAGATCACAAGCCAAAGTCAAATTTCCAGATTGCATTGATGAGTTCATGAACACGTGTGGCTGCGTCTGAAATGGATTACAATGGAATCCAGAGAGATATTGCAATGATGGGACTTGGTTCCTTTACAGACCTGGACTCCAGATGCCTGGGCCTGGGCAGGCAGTGAGGCAGCAGGCCTTCTTGAGGGGCAAGGGCCATTCTCCTGGGAGCCACGTGGGTCTCCCAGTGCCATTGTCCAGAGACAATCAATACCCTGGCAACTTCTAGAGTGCTGCACTCAGCAGGCTGCCTGGTTCACAGTGGCTGAGCTAGCAATTAGCATCAGTCGCTTCCATCCACTTCATGTTTTATCACTCAGTGTGCTTATGAACAATACTGATTCAATCAGACTTATTGTCTATAATTTGCTGGTGTATTGCTTTACTGCAGAGAAAAATCCCATCGGGGCTCAGATCTCAGCCTCCTAAAAATGAACTCTGAGGAACAATGGGCAATTTGCTGTGAAGTTATTATTGGTGAGGCTGCAGAGCTCATTTTTTTAGTGAGTATACTGAGCTTTAAAGGGCCTTATGCATCTTTAGACTATAGTAAAAGGTATGCATGTCTATAAATGCCATTGTCCCTAATCTTTGGATGGCAATATTCATGTTTCTGCCACTTCCAGAAAATGATCTGCACAATGTGAGTCGTGACTGTGGTCCTAGGGGTGGGGGTGTCACGGTCTCAGTGCACCTCATGAAAACAGCCAAGTCGATGGACACGCTACAGAACCAGGGGTAAACGCAAGAGTGCAGTGACGGAATTGACAGTCGTCTGATAGTTTAAAAATGTGGCTTGAACTACAAATCAATGGATCCTATCACCTACTTCATGGAATTTATTATAATGCAAGAAGATCAACAAAGCTGGTGCCTATTATTTATGAAGGTTTCTTTCACATAAAGCCAAATCAGCAAACACCATTTAAACAATCGTCCCTGAGTGCCGAGCTCACAGCGAAGCCTCCTATTTGAAAGAAGAAAACCCAAATAATAATACATGATTCTGACATAGTTTCTGACACACTTTCCTTATCTAGGAAGCTCTCCTTAATTAGAATTTGGAAATACCTCTTGAAGACGGTCTCCAAGTACCTCTGCTCTGGACACCTAGCCAGCACTTCAATTTGCCGGCAGCTGTCTTTGTAGCTCTCAGAGGAACTGATTGCCTGGATCCCTGAGTCAGGGCACTTGGGCATTAGAAGCAGCGGAGAGTTTTCATGACCGAGCAACCTGTTGTGCTGCGATAGGAGCAAAATTCACTTTGCAATCTGCTGGTACAACATCCCTGATGGAACCTTTGGGGATGGCAGGGCATTTAGTATAGAGCGCAGCATACTGATGCCTAAGTTTGCTCTATAGAGCGCAACATACTCTCTCCTAAGTTTGCACAGATGCTAGAATCAGTCGTGGAGTGCGTCCACATGCACCACCTGAATCGATTCTCAGACCAAGGATGCCAGCCACGGAGAACGTGGTTCCTCAGGAAACGGAGGACTCATCCCAGACTCAAGTGAAGTGAAGCAGGAGTGGAGGTATCTTTGAGGTATATTTGTTTCTTTCCTCTGGGTAGATACCCATAGTGGGCTAGCTGGATGAAATGGTGTTGTTCTATTTTTAGTTCTCTAAGAAATCTCTGTACTATTTTCCATTGAGGTTGTGCCAATTTACATTCCCACCAAGAGTGCGGAATGATGGACGTCGGAGACTCAGAAGGTCGGGAGAGTGGGTCAGGGTGGGGAGGGGAAATTACTTAATGGGTACAGTGTATCTTATTTGGATGATGAATGCCCTGAAATCCCTGTCTTCACTACTATGAAACTATATAGCCATTTAACAAAACTGCATTCGTACCCCTGAAAATTACAGTTTTCAAAAAGATTATGGAACACCGGAAGCTGAAGCCAGGGTGGGAGCCCACCCATGAGGATGGAGACAGTGCCTGCTACAAATCATCACCACTAGCTCACAGATACTGGGGCTCCAGGCCAGAGGACTATGGTGCTCAGGAGTCCAGGTGGGTGGAAATGGATTAGGAAGACAAGATGAAAGCAGCCCATGATGAAGTCAAGGCCCAAAAGATGACCCCTAGAGAGATCTCAGGGCTCAGGAGGCAAGAATGGGATGGGGAAGCAAGTGCCCCAGCTGGGAGAGGGCAACCAAGGGCATCGTTCTGTGTATCTGAGAGGTTGCACACGCTGCCGGTCTGAGCTCTGCCCCAGAAAATTTATGGGCCTGGGTCAGCAAGTGTTTTCTGGGTTTTGAGGACACTCTGAGGAATAAGGAGCCACTGCCATAATAAATGTCCTGCTTTCCAGAGATCCCCAAGGTGTGCCAGAAATTAATTACATGGGAATTACCATCATCCAGTCGAATGACTATTCTTCAAAGCAGCCTATGGGTGTAGGTGTAGGATACAAGAATCACTGCGTGGAGTTGGGATTAAGTTTATCTCAATGAAATGCAAAGGCATAGCCTAAAGCAACTTATACCTCCCAGCCACAGATGAAATGGGGAATGTGTCCACAGCTTCTGTTGGCCTTACCAAGGACAATGTGATCATACTGTCCCCACAGGATTCCCCACACTGATCAGGGGCTGCAGGATGAAGCACCCACACTTGCTCAGCAGTGGCTAAGTGAGACCTCCGTACACATGGGACCCTCGTGGTTGTGAGTGTGAGGGGGACGCGTGCATTTGGTGAGCAGTGCGGGACGGGATGCCGGTGAGAGTCTGGCGTGGAGGCTGCATTCCTCCCTGGATGAGTTTTGTTGGGGATTCTTCCAAATGCCCTGGATTTATGATGTAATTTTAGTATAATTAAAACCTGAATCACTCAAATTATATAATTAATCACATTCAGCTTCAATCACCATTTCTAATTGATCCCAGGCTGCTGGCTCCGCACCTGGAAATCTTGGTGACACCAGGAACCGTGAGCAGGTGGCCCAGCCTCCTGCCTCCTTGCTCAAGTGCAGGGGCCAATTAGAAAAATGTTGTTTTGCTGCTGACCCCAGGAGAGGCAGGCCAGGCAAGGGCACAGGCCACACCCGACGGCCGTAACACACAGCGTGAAGGGGCTGCTGAGGGCAGGTCAAAGATGCAGCTGTGAAAGGACAAACTGGAAGACCCAGAAGATCCCAGAGCTCTGCGAGTCTCATAAGAGCCATGCGGTGTCAAATGAGCTGACCAAGCCTGGCAGGTATAGGGAATTGGACCCAAACTCAGTTCAGTAAGCACAGTGCCTGCTAGATCTGCCTTCTCCAAAACGAGCCCTGTGTTTTATGAGAGAACCCAGTAGAATGAGCATAAAAGACAGAAACAGTGCTGAGGAAGTGAGGGGCTTCAAAAAGGTTATGGAACACCGGAAGCTGAAGCCAGGGTGGCAGCCCACCCATGAGGTTGGAGATGGCGCCTGCTACAAATCGTCACCACTAGCTCACAGATCCTGGCACTCTAGACCAGAGGACCATGGCGCTTAGGAGTCCAGGTGGGTGGAAATGGATTAGGAGGACAGGATGAAAGCAGCCCATGATGAAGTCAAGGCCCTATGGGTCCAAGATGGTCCCTAGAGAGATCTCAGGGCTTGGGAGGCAAGAATGGGGTGGGGAAGCGAGTGCCCCATCTGGGAGACGGCAACCAAGGGCATCATTCTGTGCATCTGAGAGGGGCTTGCCATGGCCAACATCACAGAAAACTGCGATGGCATGTGGCCCCACAGCTTCTAGAAAAACCTCCAAGCCCCTGATGAGACTCGTCAGAAAACCTACAAAGCTAATACTGGAAATCACGGCAGTTCATTGGATGTAAGGTGTTGAGGATGTTTCAGAACGTGATCCGAACCTCCTCTCTCGCAGGTGCGGATGGCTTTCATTCATCTCTGGGCTATTATCTCACCCCAGATTTTGCAGATAAGCCTGCTCAGGGGCATTGTTTTAAAGTATAAGGCCCAGGTGGATCCTGGGGGTATATGCACTTGTCACGGTCCATGCCAGAGTGTGCACCAGTCAGGTCACTGTGCAGATCTGTGTGGGGGTTCAGGCACTCTTCAGATATGTGAAGCTGAAGGGTGTTGAGAAAGGAACCTCTTTCTCCTCCACACAAAGGCTCTGTGTCCATTCTTGGTGGCCTCAGTTTCTGGCTGTTATAAATGTCAGAGTTGGTTAGAAACTTATGTCCACACAAAAGCCTGCACACGGCTGGTTATAGCAGTTTTTTTGTAATTGCCAGGGCTTGGAAGCAACCAAGGTGCCCTTGGGTTGGTGAATGGGTGAATAAGCTGTGGTGCATATCGATGGTGGAATGTTATTAGTGTTCACAGATACAAGCTATGAATTCATGAGAAGCCACCGAGGAAGCTTACATGCATATTGCTAAGAGAAAGATGCCAACCAGAAACATTGTTTGAATCCAGCTCTAGGACATTCTGGAAAGAAGCCAACCAAAAACACATTGTATGACTCCAACTCTAGGACATTCTGGAAAAGGCAAAACTGTGGAAGCAGGGAAAAAATCAGTGGTTTCAGGGGTTGGGGGAGGGAGGGAGGCATGGGTGGAGCACAGGAGACTTTTAGGGCAATGCAGCTGCTCCGTGTGATACCATAAGGATGGGTCCATATCATGATGCATCTGTTCCAACCTACAGAATGTCCAACAACAGTGAGCCGTCAGTAAACCATGAACTTTAGGTGATAATAATACATCATTACCGACTCGTTAATTGTAACACCCAGCACAGTGGTGCCTGTTAATGGTGGGGGAGGCTGGGAGGAAGGAGAGGGGTACATGGGAAATCTCTGCACCTTCCGTTCAATTTTGCTGTAAACCTAAAACTTCTCTAAAAAAGTAAGTCTTTTAGAAATATCAGTGCTCAGAGCACCAGTGGTTTGTCAATGATGAGGATAGCTGCACTGCAGCTGGCACACAGCCAGTGTCCCCTGAAGTGGGAGTGGGCACAGGGATGGCCGAGGGGAGCCGGGCAGAGCTGGAGCCCTGGGGACAGCTGGGAGGGTGCACAGGGATCTCGGGGTCTCCAAGGGAAGCCGCTGCAGAGGAGCAAGAGAGACAGCGGGAGGCCCAGGCCACGGGCCATGGTTATGCTGCAGCCGAGGAGCTATTTCCATCACAAGAGGGAAAAACACAGCACACCGTGGGAGCCAACCCAGGTGCAGCAAAACACAGCTAGGTTTCGCTTAGAAACAAAAACACAAAAAAGAGGCCCCCTGCAAGTCCTCATACTTGTTCTAAGGGCAGGAGCTGGAGACTTGAAAAGGTGAGGGCAAAGAGAGACGACTGAGGAAGCCCAGGGAGCTGCAGGTGGGCTAACGCTGGGTGGGTGCTGGGCCAGCTTTGCCTTGAAGCTCCTTCACCAGCACTCCTCCCTCTGCTCCTCCCTCTGCGCCTCCCTCTGCTCCTGCCTCTGGTCCTCCCTCAGCTTTTCTTTCCACTCCTCCCTCCGCTCCTCCCTCTGCCCCTCTCTCCACTCCTCCCTTCACTCATGCCTCTGCTCCTCTCCTTTCTCTGCTCCTCCCTCTGCTCCTCCCTCTGGTCCTCTCTCGGATCCTCTCTCCACTCCTCCCTCTTGTCTTCCCTCTGCCCCTCTCTCCGCTCCTCCCTCCGCTCATTCCTCCATTCATCTCTCTTCTTCTCCCTCTGCTCCTCCCTGAATCCCTCTCCCTGCTCCTCCCTCCGCTTCTCCCTCTGCTCCTCCCTCTGTTCCTCCCTCTGGTCCTACCTCAGCTCCTCCCTCTTATCCTCCCTCTGCCCCTCTCTCTGCTCCTCCCTCTGCTCATTCCTCCATTCATCTCTCTTCTCCTCCCTCTGCTCCACCCTCAGTCCCTCTCCCTGCTCCTCCCTCTGCTCCTCCCTCTGCTCCTCCCTCTGATCCTCCCTCTGCCCCCTCTCTGCTCCTCCCTCCACTCCTCCCTCTGCTTCTTCCTCTGCTCCTCCCTCTGTCCTTCCCTCTGCTTCTTCGTCCGCTGCTCCCTCCACTTCTCCCTCCATTCCTCCCTCCGCTCCTCCCTCTGTTCCTTCCTTCTCTCCTACCTCTGCTCCTCCCTACCTCCTACCTTGCTCCTCCCTCTGGTCCTCCCTCAACTCTTCTCTCCACTCCTCCCTCTGGTTCTCCCTCTGCCTCTCCCTCTGCCTCTCTCTCTGCTCCTCCTTCAGCTCCTCCCTCTGGTTATTCCTCTGCTCCTCCCTCTGTTCCCCCATCTATCCCTCTCTCTGCTTCTCCCTCCGCTCCTTCCTCTGGTCCTTTCTCAGCTCCTCTTCACTCCTCCCTTTGCTCCTCCCTCTGCTTCTCCCTTTGCTCCTCCCTTTGCTCCTCCCTCTGCTTCTCCCTTTGCTCCTTCCTCTAGTCCTTCCTTAGCTCCTTTCTCCACTCCTCCCTCTGCTCCTCCCTCTGCCTTACTCTCCACTCTTCCCTCCACTCCTCTCTCTGCTCCTCCCTCCACTCATCCCTCTGCTCCTCCCTCTGTTCCTCCCTCTATCCCTGTCTCTGCTCCTCCCTCCGATCCACCCTCGGCTTCTCCCTCTTTTTCTCTCTCTGCTCCTCCCTCCACTTTTTCCTCTGCTCCTCCCTTCGCTCCTCCCTCTGCTCCTCCCTTTGCTCCTCCCTCTAGTCCTCCCTTAGCTCCTTTCTCCACTCCTCCCTCTGCTCCTCCCTCTGCCTTACTCTCCACTCTTCCCTCCACTCCTCTCTCTGCTCCTCCCTCCGCTCATCCCTCTGCTCCTCCCTCTACTCCTCCCTCTATCCCTCTCTCTGCTCCTCCCTCCGATCCACCCTCCGCTTCTCCCTCTTTTTCTCTCTCTGCTCCTCCCTCCACTTTTTCCTCTGCTCCTCCCTTCGCTCCTCCCTCTGCTCCTCCCTTTGCTCCTCCCTCTGCTTCTCCCTCCACTCCTCCCTCTGTTCCTCCCTCTGCTTTTCTCTCTGCTCCTCCTTTGGCCTCTCCCTTTGCCCCTCCCTCTGTGCTTTGCTGGTGTAAAAACAAATTCTGGTGACTTTTCCAGGCCATGAGTTCTGTCTGCTCCACAGACATGCAGAGTGGAAGGAAAACCACACAATACAACCAACGATGAAAGAACGGGTGAAGTTGATTACATCAACCATCTGTGACTCTTCTGGAATCCCTCAGCAGCAAGCTTTTCAGAATTCCTTAAGTCAAGCCAAATAGGATATTAAAAAAAAGGGGAGTTTAAAGTAATCATTGGGAGAATAAAAAAGACAAGAATAAGATAAGGATTTATTTTTATTTATGGGTCAAAAATCATATTTGACATGAAGTAATTTGTTTTACTGGGACTTATACACTTGAGAACAGATTGTGTGTGTGTGTGTGCATACGTGTACATGTGCATATGTTTCAGTGTGTGTTCGTATATGTGTATGTTTACTGGGACTTATACACTTGAAAACAGATTGTGTGTGTGTGCATATGTGTATGTGTGCATATGTTTAAGTGTGTGTTTGTATGTGTGTATGTTTTCATGCATGGATGGGTCTGTGTCTGTTTAGACACCTGGGCTTTTAACATTGTCAGGAAAATGAAAGTGTCAGAGCCCCTGGAGGCTCCTGGAATTCCCTGACTTATCCCCTGTGCGTGTTGGAGCGAAGGCTGGAGAGAAGGTGAGTGCTTGGCTGGTTCTCCAGGGCCCTGGGCTTTCCCAGTGGGAGTGTCAGCGTCCCCCACAGAGCCCCTGGCTCCGAACATGCTGCTGAAACACCGTTGTTATGCAGCGTTTTTCACTTAGAAACATTTCACATTGGTTAGCTCTAGCGAGAGTTTTAACTTTTTCCGGATAGTCATAGAGGCAGGATTGAGCAGTGATGAAGACCTCAGTCAAGTTCCCAGCTTAATACGCATTGATTAAAAACCTCTTCTTGACTCTTCTGTGTGGCCTGTGAGGTGGGACAAGAATCACCCTGCTTCCCAAGTTTGCATGGAAGAAGACTTTAGCAGAATATGAAAATATGGGGCTGGATGGCAGCTGATAACGATTGGCTATGAATAACATTAGCCAGTAATTCCAACTGGAGACTGCTATCCTCCGCTTTTACCTCAGAGATTATTAAATAGATAAAATGAGTTTTTCAGAATCTTTTAATAGTTATACATTATTCTAAGCTTTCAATTTCTATGCCTTTCTTTTCCCTTTGTGTTTATTTATATCTGACCATTTCCCCTCAACTCCAATACACCTTGTACTCAAATTGCTTATTTTTCCGCAGGATACCATTTCAGCCTCAGACATACAGTATCTGTAGCAAAGGCCTCAGACATTCTGGGAAAACCCAAATAGAATGTGCACAAGAGCTCAAGCTCAGGTGGCTCAGCTCCATGTCTGCAAAGCTGTGTAATTGCAGACTCCAGCTCCGAGTCTGGAAACAAAAACACAAGATGCAAACAATTTCTGGAAGGAGGCACACTGCATTTGGTTTTGGTGGCTACAGCTTAAGATTAGAGAGTGTTCACTATGAAAAATTTTTATAAAATTTCTAAATAACACTGAGGAGAGAAGAGAAATGCTACTCAAAGTAAATACTCCTTCCGACACTGGCACACACACACACGCACATATGAGCACCACCCTGAGTCACTTCAGTCCCTGGCCACCGCAGTGCAGGTTGAACAAACAGCAGATCCATAGCTGGCAACTGCTGAAAGAGCCATTGAGTGGGGAGGTGAAGAGTGTGGGCTTTGGGACCAGACAGGCCTGGGCTGAGCTCTAAGTTTTGCTATATGCCAGATATGTGGCTCTGGGCCTCTGTCTCCCCATTCATGAAATGAGCTGCTATGGCCTCATGGGTTATTGGGAAGCTTCTAGGAGATGGGACAATTTGCGTAGGAAGGATTTGGTAGGTGTGATCACATTTTGAGGGAGAATCAAACAGTTCTCTATTTCGTCCTAATTCTCAAAGCCGTGTGGGGACTCTCACGCCTGGATGAGGTGAGTGATGGTCCCAGTGTGCCTGGGACTTTCCTGGTTTTAAAATGGAAAGCCTGGCGTGCGGGAATCGGTCAGCCCCAGGCACGTGGGGATGGTTGGTCACCCTGTTTCCTTGGCACTCTCTACCTGCTCACATTTTCCCTCCCTCCTGGATCTGGGGATGGCCTGCTATTGTAAGACAAGTAAGAAGACGATGTGGAATAAGGGCTTTGGGACACAGTCTGGTTTGTTTCATTGATTGGTTTATAGTCAGGAATTATAATGGGCCATACCTTATTAAATGTTTATAATTGCTGTGAAACTCTTTATAATCGAAACAAGGAACAATTTATTGACACCAAAAGATTTGGACAGATGACTTTAACCTGCCTTTGATGGATTTTATTTTATTATTTTTGGCTCATCACCTTTATTTCTAGCATGTGGCATAAACCCTAAAAATACAATTGTCAAAATAAATATTTTCATTTAGATTATTTTCTTTTGTTCCAAAAGTTCGCAAAAGAAACACTGAACATTTCCCATTGTACCATCCAGTTTACATTCATCTGTTATGTTTTAATAGTTAATAGTTGTGGTGGGCAGGATAATGTCCCCCACCTAAGGTCGTCCTGTTCCAAAGTCCCAGAACCTGTGAATAAGTTGGGTTCCACGGAAGTGGGGAATTTGAGGCGGCAGATGGAATTACTATGGTTAATTAACTGCCCTTAAAGTCAGAAGATGAGCCTGGATCATCCAGGTGGGCCCAGTGTAATCACCAGGGTCCTTAAAAGGGGAAGGAGAGGCAGAAAAGAGTCAGAGAGGGGTGACCACCAGGCAGGTCAGAGGGAGGGAAGTGACCACCCGGCAGGTCAGAGGGAGGGAGGGGACCACCAGGCAGGTCAGAGAGAGGGAGGTGACCACCAGGATGGTGAGAGGGAGGGAGGTGACCCAGGAGGTGAGAGGGATAAGCGTCACTGCTCTGAAGGTGGAGGATGGGGCCATGAATCAAGGAATCCCGGAAACCCCTTGAAGGAGGAAAAGGTATGGAGTGGACTCCGCCCTGGAGCCTCAACTCTGCCCAGGAAGACCCACACTGGACTCTGCCCTACAAGACTCGAAGGGAGTCACTTGTGTTTCTGAAGACACTGAGTTTGTGGCAATGTGTTACAGTGACAGGGACCTAATGCAACACTGTGCGAGGTTTCATTTAAATTTTTTTTTAAATTTTTACCAGTGAGTCATTAACATTAGAAATAGTGAAAAAGGAGGTGGTATTGGTGCTTGCGTTACCTGTTTCAGACAGTCCACCAAGAGACTGGCCCAATACTCCCTGGGGTGTTGACATCCCCCAAAGGTGGCAGCTGCACCAGCACTTTCTCTGAGTTCATGGTAAGAAGGTGGCCCTGAAGTACAGAGGGAGAGCTTCCCTAGGGGCTCAGGCACCCGCTGCTCCCGAGCATCCCTGCAGCACTGACCTTTACCCACGGCGCTGACCTTCACCTGGGCTGCATAAAGACGAAGTCTTATGGGCCTGGGTTTGCTCCAGGGAGAGGGAAGTGTGACTCTGGGGTGGGCCCTGGGGAGGCCTGGGGTGGAGGCGAGGCTGGGGTCACCAGTGTGCAGACGGGGGAGCGTCACGGCCATGGGCACACCGATGGGCACTGGAACACTGGGGCCTCACAGAAGGAAAAGTCAGACAGAGGGAGGCGCACCAGGACCAGGTGGAGGGGGGGCCCTGATGACCCTGTCTTGACCACACATGCCAGCGGACAGTTCTCACCCCTGATGACCCCGCCTTGACCACACATCCCAGCAGACAGTTCTCACCTCTGTGCTTGCCCAGGGTGTGTGACGGATGGGATCCAGGGACGCTGAGTTGAGCTGCGGGCTAACACACCTTATTTCTGAGCTGTGTAGCAACCCCTCCAGGAAGGTTTCATCATTTCCACTCTGCAGAGGGGACACAGGCGCCAGAGGCCACACAGCTAGGCAAAGGCGGAACCCAGGTCCCAGGTTCAAGTTCAGGGGTCTGGATCCCAGACTCTTCTCCTCCGCCACTCCAACAGCCCCCCAGCGGGCCTGGACCCTGAACCAAAGACGATCAACATGGCTCGCATGTCCGTGGACAGTGTCCACTCCTCAGCCTGCCCTTCGCGGCCACAGGGATGGGCTCCTTCTTGCAGCTCCCGCCTGACTTCCAGCTGTGGCTGTTCTGGAGATTCTTGCAGCAGCTGCAGGGACCTGCCTGTTCCAGACACCTTCCCTCCCTCCAGCCTCCATCTCACTGGCCTCATGTTCTCCCTGCCTGGACTCTGTGCACAGACCCCCATGGTCAGGGTCTTCCTGCCTGAGAGGGAACACCTGCACCCTGCTCAGGGCCCACCTCCTTCCAAATGCCAGGTAACACCACTGGTGCCTTCCTGCTGCCCCAGGCAGCTGCTGTCCTGGGGTGGGGTCCCCCCAGCATTGCAGATCCCACAGGGGGTGCTTTCTGTTTGATAAGTACCTGCTGGTAGTAGGTTGGTAAATTGGAACAAGTCAGTTAAAAAGGAAAATCATACCAAGTGCATAGCTTAAGTCTTTTAAGTCTTGGTGTTGCCATTTGGCGGGGAGCCGAGTCCTTTCCCAGGTGAGGGTCCGTGGCTTGAACCTGCATCTCCTGCCACTCATTCCTGCCATTTCCCTTTTCTCTGTCACCTGTGGTTACTTGTCAAGGCCAGAGTCTCTGTATCATGACCTGGAGGTTGATGGGTCATTCTCTGCTACGTGACAAGTTGGACGGCTCCTGCAGAAACTGCAAGTGCTGTGTGAAGCTGCCAGGCTTTGGGGGGTTCTGTGAGCCCCTTGCCCTCGCTCCCTTCACCTTTCCTGCCCACTGGCTGTCCTCAGACGAGAGCCACAGACAGAGCAACACTGCAGACATTGGCATCGGTCTCACACACACATGCTTTAAACAGTTGAGACATTCACAAAACTATTATTTCAGTTCATTGAGGCACCCCTGGGAGTATTTTACCGAACTCGAGAGTCAAAGCCTTATCCCACAATGGCCGATTACCTCCAATTGACTGCTCTAAACTCACTTGACAAAACCAGCTTCTCATGGAAAATTTACAAACATTCCTGCCTGAATTACTGTGCACGAAATAGGTCCCGTGCAAGCTTGGCAATATTTCTGCTTAGGGCAAGAATAATTCTCCCATCGGGACCCACAATTTTCAGGAGGGAACACAGGTCAAAAGAGAGAACAGAACTAAGAATTATTTCCTGGGTAGAACCCCTGAAAAGATGCAGTGAACGTCTTCAGCTGATGTTCCATCTGAGCCCACTCCTTGGAACATAGAGTTTACAATGGCTTTGAAATTTACAATTGCAGAATAGAATTCATGACTGCATAAAACAAGAAACTGTCGCAATGGGAATGCCGCTGATGATCTGTGAGAAAAATGAACAAACAGCTTGAGCCTGTCCTGATCGCGCCCGTGTCTCATTGCGGAGGTACGGTGGTCTTGGGACCCTGGAATCCTGCTCCAGAGATCAGAGCAACCAAGACTTGACCCAAAGGGAAGGACAGGGGAACCCCTGTCCCAGGCTGCATTGCATCCTGGGCTTCGGAGGAGTGGCCTGCCGCACCTTTAGAGGAGGCAGTCTTCCAGTGGTGCCTGCTGGCTGGAGGGACCCTTGGCTGTGGGAGTGATGAGGTCACACTGAGCAGTGTTGTCTCCACATTCATAAGCTGTGCCTCAGACTCTCTGTGAAAACAACCAAGGCACCAAGTAAATTAGAATAAGTGTTGGAAGTGGGGGCATCTCTGCTTGAAGGAGATAAGATGGGGCCTGGTGAACACAGTTCTGGGGGCCTTGATCTTCCGATTAGGAGCACAATCCCGCCGTAGCTGTGGAGCCCCGCATGTTCTCAATGCCTGGAAAATTACCCTAAAATAATCATATGGCAGCTCTCGGTGATCACCTTACTTTGACTTTTGAACATCTGATAATTCAGTGTGAGCCTTCTGAAAGGTGCTTCAGTGCTGTGGGAAGTGCATACTCGTGGTAACTTTTCCCTCAGTCTGACCAGATGAATCAGGACATAAATTAGGTGTCAGATATGGATATTACCTTTAGAAGGAGCCATCTGATTAGACTGAGAATTGAGGATGGAAGAACCAATTTCATTCTCTTTGAAAAAAAATATGATATCTGATGAAATTGTTTTTCTCGGTATTAAGTTCACGTGTTTGCAAAAATAAAACTGGAATTTCAAGGTTTAAAATATTTATTTTGAAACTCTACATGGAAGATGAGAACATAAAGTAGAATGTTTTATTCTTAAATTATAAACATTTAAAAGTAGCATTTAAATCCTGCACATTAATGGCATTGTTAGTGTTGTTGACAAGTGGCTGACTGTTGAAATTAGCTTGTGAACAGGCTGTCTATTCATCCATCTACCTATCTATTAATTCATCTACCTATCCAGCTACCTATCTTTTAATTCATCTACCTATCATCTATCTATCTATCTTTTAATTCTATCTATCCATCTACCATATCTATCCATCTACCTATCTTTTAATTCATCTACCTATCATCTATCTATCCATCTATCTATCTATCCATCTACCTATCTATCCATCTGTCTATCTATCTATCTATCCGTCTGTCTATCTATCTATCTATCTATCTATCTATCTATCTATCTGTCCGTCCATCCGTCCGTCCGTCCATCCATCCATCCATCCATCCATGTACGTACGTACGTACGTACGTATGTATGTATGTATGTATGTATGTATCTAGCTCGCTAGCTAACTAGCTGTGGAGGGGTATTTACTATAGGAAATTAACTCATGCAGTTTGGGAGCATGAGAAGTCCATGACCTGCAGTTGGGAAGCTAGTGGCCCAGGCAAGCTGGTAATGTGAGCTCCAGCCTGAGTCCATGGGCTTAAGAACCAAGAGAGCCGATGTTGTGGTTCTAGTTTGAGTCCATGTTTGAAGGCAGGAGAAAACCAACATCCCAGGTCCAAGATGGTCAGGCAGAGAGAATTCTTCCCACTCAGCCCTTGTGTTCCTTTCAGGCTCAGTAGGCTGGAGAGGGCTGACCCACACTGGGGAAAGTGATCTGCTTGACACATGAAATCGACTGTCACACACCTGTGTCCTAGGTTGGGGAACTGCCCTCCTGTGAGATGGAGTGGGAGTCAGGAACCTGCCTGCCCCGTGTAACAGCTGCCAATGCAGACATGCACCTCCTGCCTTCTGGGGATGAGTGTGGCTCCTGTCCTGGGCTTGGTCAGTATGAAGGACCTGCCCTGGACTTTGCATTAGGAGCTGGGGACTCAAAGACACCAGAGCCTGAAGAGCCTCCAAGGTGGCAAGACCGAAATCCCAGAGAAGAGCAGAAAGGGCAGCTGTGGCCATGCAGGTGGTCAGAACACTGCTGTGGCGAGACAGGTGGGTTCAGTACCTGGCAGTCGGAGAGGTGGCAGCACAGCCCTACCCGGCACTAGGGCCAGTGAGAAGAGGGCTGCCGTTCCTGTCTGTGCAGCCAGTGAGCTGGGTCCCCAGACCTCAAGGAGGTTCTGTGAGGTACCCAGTATTCAGTACCCCAGACCCCATGGAGGTTCTGTGAGGTACCCAGTATTCAGTACCCCAGACCCCATGGAGGTTCTGTGAGTTACCCAGTACTCAGTGCCCCAAACCCCAAAGAGGTTCTCTGAGGTACCCAGTACACTCCCAGGAAAACCCTTAGTGATGAGATCAGCAAGAGCAAGAGTACTGTATGCTTCTCTCACCTAGGAGCCCTGAAGTGCTGAGCCTTCAAGGGAGAGGCCTGGGCAGGACAACAGGCTTGGCCTTGTTCCAGGATCCCTGAAGAACCTGGAAGTTATCAAGAAAAACACATTTTCCCACCCAATTAATGTGGCTAATTTGAAGTGAGTCTCTAAAAATAGACATTTCTGGGTGAACAGATTGTACCAAAGTGCAGCTGCATTTATTGCATCCTGAGGATTGTAAAGGGCTGGGATTGGTGACAGACACATCATTACAGAAGGTGCAGATGATAGACATTAGAGAGGAGGATGTCGCAAGGCCCCACCCACTTGAAGAAGCTCCTCACACGCAGGCTAGGTGCTCCCTCATCCATGGTGCTCCTCCACGGTTCAGGATCCTCCTCCCCTGTGGGCCTGGTGCTCCCTCATCCGTGGTGCTCCTCCACGGTTCAGGATCCTCCTCCCCTGTGGGCCTGGTGCTCCCTCATCCGTGGTGCTCCTCCACGGTTCAGGATCCTCCTCCCCTGTGGGCCTGGTGCTCCCTCATCCGTGGTGCTCCTCCACGGTTCAGGATCCTCCTCCCCTGTGGGCCTGGTGCTCCCTCATCCGTGGTGCTCCTCCACGGTTCAGGATCCTCCTCCCCTGTGGGCCTGGTGCTCCCTCATCCGTGGTGCTCCTCCACGGTTCAGGATCCTCCTCCCCTGTGGGCCTGGTGCTCCCTCATCCGTGGTGCTCCTCCACGGATCAGGATCCTCCTCCCCTGTGGGCCTGGTGCTCCCTCATCCGTGGTGCTCCTCCACGGTTCAGGATCCTCCTCCCCTGTGGGCCTGGTGCTCCCTCATCCGTGGTGCTGCTCTTCTTCATCCCTCATCTGGCAAGGACACTGCTGGCTGGCAGCTGCCAGGTAGCCCCTTCCATCTAGAGCAGCAGGCCAGAAGAGACAAAATCAGGTACCCTTCTGGGTGACCCTGGTGAGAACTTACCTTCCTCAAGAACTGCAGGCCAAACAGATTCCAAAGCATAGATCAGGCCAGTTTGAGACCCATGTGGCGGGACTATGGGACACATCACAAAGTGAACCTCACTCGCAGGGAGAAAAGGTGAAGGGCTCCGAATCCATGAAGAGAACATACATAAGCATCAGAGTTTTCAGTAATGGAAACACAGACTATTGTACTTGACTTTATTTCAAGCCGTCCTCGGCATGAATAATCCTTCAGCCTCCTGAGACCAGATCCCATAAAGCAACCAACAGGACGTTTGCAAGGTAAGTTTCTATTTAGTACCTCGAAGAGACAAGCAGAACCACAGATGGAGAAATCGATGCCTTGTCAATCAAAGTCTGCAAAAGCTCCCTGGCCCGATAAGGACGCCTCTGCTAATCACTGATGGAGACCAACCGACACGCTTCGCCGGCAGGTTTTCTCCGCACCTGCTGTCTGCTCCCATCTCTGTTGGGCCACTTGAGTCTCACGTGGATTTTACTGCAGCTGGCCTCCCGCTCCTGCCCCCTCATCACTGTCTGCAGCTCTGACCACACTGACCCGATTTAAACAGAAGAAAGGAGAGGCAGCCTGAGGAGAAGAAGGTGGGCTGCTGGTGCGGTGGTGAGTGTGTGTGAACTCAGCGTGGGCCCCCCCAGGGGACAGCAAGGGAGGATCCTCCCACACATTCATGCAGGGAGTGGGAATGGGTCCATTACAGGCGGGGTGAAGGCGCGGCATTTTAAGCACCATTCAGTGAAAATCATTTTGAAAGCACAGAGAATCTTTCCAATGGGTAAAAGTATGGGAAGTCCTGCCACCAGAAGGTTTTTAAATTAAATTATCACATAACTATTTTCCAAGCCTAAAGTAACAAGGACCCATCCTGTGGGCTGCCGCAATGGAGGCATTAAATATTGCAGTTTACATCCTCAAGGGCCACAAGGTGCCTTTAGATAAAATGTCACCATTCCAGAGACGATTTCATGAAAATAAATTCCCATTTAGCCTTTCCGAGTGCGCTGAAAGCATGATTATCACAGGCAGCAAAGCATGGCTCCCTCAACAAACTAGACCTTCCCACCCCAGGTCAGGACGATGCTCACCGTCCAGCTGTCCTCCCCGGCATGTCTGCCTCGACCACCCTCTCCAGCCCAGGCACTCGGTTGGACACACCATGGCAATAATCCCCAGTGGAGATATAGCCCTGGCCTCAGGAAGTTGTAGTCCAGAGATGGAGGTAGACACTCCAATAAGCACACAGCTAAATGTTGGGTCAATGTCACGCCTGCTAGAAGGGATAAATCACAGCTGCGGGGGCTGGTCTAGGCTCCAGGATCAGGGAAGGCTTCACGGTAGGAGTGGTGCCTAGGATGAGGTCCCTAGGAGCAGGGGATGGTGAAAAGGACACTGTTTGCAGTCACAGAGATGCGGACAGAATAGTGCTTGCCAAGGGCCTGGGGCTGCAGGACAGAGCATCCATGGTGGGCAGGTGGGTTGGAGCAGAGAGAAAAAGCTGGAGTGGGTGTGAGATTCGGCTGGGGAGGGTCTGCACTGACAACTGTGGAAGGGGAGGGACAGCTCCCTATTCGCCTTCACCCTATTCAGGCCCACAGGGGAGGAGGATCCTGAACCGTGGAGGAGCACCACAGATGAGGGAGCACCTAGCCTGTGTGTGAGGAGCTTCTTCAAGTGGGTGGGGCCTTGCCGCATCCTCCTCTCTAATGTCTATCATCTGCACCTTCTGTAATGATGCGTCTGTCACCAATCCCAGCCCTTTACGATCCTCAGGATGCAATAAATGCAGCTGCACTTTGGTACAGCTCCCACCTTACCTTCAAGTTTTTAAATAAACAGACTATTTAAAATCAGGTCATTGGTGGAAAATTTGAAGTCAACTATGGTTTTAAAAGTAATTGCATTTTATCATTCATACACAGTGATCTTGGTTAAGGGTTTAATCAAAATGTAGAGGAATTCAATTATTTAAAAAAAGCCCTGCTCAAGGGGATAGAAAATCTCATTTAAAATATCAAACTTTAATAATACAAAATAAGAATATCCCAGTAATTACAAAAATCATATTTAGCAACTGGCTTGGTATATTTTTAAATTTTATTGTGATGAAACATATTTTCTCCATTTATTGTGCTTTGGGTAAGTGCTTATTGGAGGATGTGAAAAAGACATTTCTTTTCACCACAAGACTATATAAGCTGCCCTGATTTTGCAGACCAAGGCCAACTTGAAGAAAACAGTCTATTAATCAGAAGGTCGCCTTTTCAGGCACTGTGGGCTGTTTGTGACTTGAGTGAGGAGGGCACTTTTTAAGATGGTGAAATGAGCAAAGTTTGCTCATGAAAAAAAGAAAACACCTTAAAATCCTTTGTAATATGTGGCTAGATATTAAAAATGGTAGAGGAAGAAAAAAATCTATAAATTAACTTTTTTTTTCAACTTAAAAGCCTTAAGGGACTGAGATTCCGAATGTTACCTAACAGAGAAGACACCAGCCCGGGTCCTGGAAGCTGTGACTTCTTTGCTCTTCCTCCTGTCCTCCTCGCCACCCCAACCCCACTGCAGACATTGATTGGAGCCTTTCAGTGGGGCCTGGGCAGGGAGGGTGGGGGCTGATCTCCAGAAGGGTGCGTTTGGTCTTGAAGGCTGATTGGTCAATGCCTTGGTTGGTGTGCACAGATTGCAGAGTTCCGACCCCTTACTGGGGTCAGAGGATGGAGCAAGGAGGATATCCTGCATACAGAGGTTTTTGACCTTGGCCACACAATGGAATCATCTGGGAGCGTTTGAAAACCAAGCCTGGGTTGAACCTGGAGAAACAATTCAGAATCTCAGGAAAGCCACCAGGCTTCTGTATCTTTAGGGGTCCCTGGGTGATTCCAGTGTGCACACATGATAGAACCTGGTCATGGAGGTGATGCTGGGGCTGAGTACTGAAGGAGGAGGTGGAGTCAGTGAGGCCAAGGGTGTGGGGCAGGGAGAGTGCTCCTGGCATAGGCGGACACACATCGAGACAGGCAGAGGCTGCTGGAGCTGGTTCTGCCCCACTTTCCTAAGAGCTTGGCTGCAGCCACTTACCCCTTCTAGGAGTGTGTGCCTTGAAGCACCATAGCTCTCACTGAGGACCCAAGGGACTGCAGCCTGCAGAAGTTCCACAGGGACGGGGGCCCTTTCCAAGCGAGGAATGATCCCGTGCCCATTCCAACTCACCTTCAAGCAGTGACCTGCAGTGGACACAAACCTCTTTTTCCCTTGAAATCATGCATGCGTCCCTGGGAATCGTGCCTGCCTCCTAGATCCCTGGCATCCTTCTGGGGCACAGGCAGCAGCTCCCTGGAGTCCTCCCAGCCACGGAGCACCCTGCTGCAAGTGGACTCTGTGGCTTTGCGGTTTCTCGTGAATCGCAGTGTGCGTTTACTGAGAAGAAAGTGGGACTTTCAAGTGGAGATCCAGAGAAGCTTGGTAGCAATGAGAACAGATGATGTGCCTGAATTATGCAGGTGGCAAATTGACTCAGGAAATCTCCTATCTCTGCTGCTAACACTGTGAGAGCAGAATGTTAGCACTGAGGGAAATTGAGAATCCGGTTCAGTGCTGTCCAAAGGCAAGGCCCTTGCAAAAGGGAGGATGCCAGAGTGAGGAGGGGGAATGCTGCCACCCATTGTCCACTTGGCCATCCATTTGTTCATTGGCTCCCAGTGGTGAGGCTGCCCAGGATTGCCCGGGGTGCACGTGGGAGGGTGTGGAGAGTGCTGATGGGCATAAAGGCACCCTCAAATGATCCTGAGGTGGGGGAAAGTTTTGTTGCTCCTGTTTTGTTACTGTCATCCCTTCAGATCCCCAGGGTCAGATAGAATGACTGAAGTTGCCACAGTGAAGTCTCAGTGACGCTGCACTTCTGTGAGATTTGCACACTGTATGTTTCAGTCTTTTACCTCCGGAAGGCTGCAATGTGGTTACATAAAAATGACTTTCAGCAGCTTTTCTGGAGTGACCACCAAACAACAAGCCAGGGGTCATCACCAGTAAATGTCTCATGTTAAATTACATTTTGAAAACACTGTGTTGAAATAAACAAACGGTATTCTTTGTGGCAAACTCTTCGGAGCCTGTAATAGCTAGCCTGCATTTTGGATTCCTAAGAGGGAGATCCTATAAAGCACTTGCCAGGTTTAGGTGACCACAGAACATTTCTTGGTCTTCAAGGCATCTCTTGGGACTATTGTTGCAGAAAACACACTTGGGAAATAGTTTTATAGCAATTTCAGCTGTGATGTAAATGAAAAGCATTGCAGTGTGTTATTACTATACACAGATAATGGCTGGGCGGCAAGACTCCCTCTCATGTCTGACTCCAGGGGAAGCAGCTCCTACAGGCGGCTGGCATGGAGGGAGGTTTTAAAGTGACAAAGGGAGCCCTGGGCAGCTGGATGGCGCTGGGATCTGGCTGGTGGACAACCCCCTGAGTGCAGCAAGTCCCACACATGCCTGGCACATCACACCACTGTTGCCTCCTCTTCCACCAGAGTCTCACCGCAGCTCTTCAGTGACAAATGCCAGCAGTGCCATCCTGACTGGGTGCTGGGGACTGTCAGAGCCTCACCCGCCACTGGAGATGAAGTTCCACCTGCCTTCCACTCTGGGCCATCCAGCCTCCAAATCCCATTTCAGGGTCAGCTTCCTTCCCGAGTAGGGTTTCCTGGGAAACCAGAAGCAGAGAGCTGCTTTCAGGAAGTTGACTGGGGACTTCTCCAGGCAACACCACCTGGGGAAAGGGAGCAAGTAGGGCTGGCAGGGAGGAAGGTGAGCCGGAGTCCCCAGGGTCACTCCAAGCTGTGGCAAGGTGACTGAGCCTCTGAGCCTGCACGAGGGGACAGAGCCTCTGCATCTGCACAAGGGGATCGAACCTCTGTACCCGCACGGGAACCAGCTACTCCCAGGGAAAAGGAAGGTCACTCTAGCCCGTGCACTTCCTGGGGAGGGACGAAGCTGTGAACCCTGACAACACCCCCAGAAGCTGGGGAAAGGGTCTTTTTCTCCTAAGAGGACAAAGGACAGGATGTGGTTGGCACATTACAGCATCTGCCAACGCAACTTAACACAACGCCTGCCTGCTTCTAACAGAGTGAAATGCAGAGTGAGGAATTAAGTTCTCTACATGGTGCACATGTATAGAACATTTTAAATTACTAAATAAAATTTTAAATACTGTATTTCTGCTAAACATCAAAGCTATTAAAATGCTAAATTTCAATAACTGTATTTTAAAATGTGGTGGTATATTCTCAGTTTATTACTTGGCAACTTGGAATGCAGATTTGTATTCTTAACAATGTTTATTTAAAATTTCATATTATAAAGATGTCATTTCTCCAATAATTATCCTGTAATTTAATGCAACTTTTACCAAAATCTTAATAGTGCTTTTTAAGAAACACAATAGCCGACTCTAAAACTTACCTGGAAAGATAGGGGGAGAGAACTCATTTTTCAAAACATCAAAAAATATGTTATAGCTATAGTGATTTAAAAAGTATTTAACTAGTGCAGGATAAACAAATAAAGCAATGAAAGATACAGAACAGAGGATGAGAAGCATGTGTGTGGTTTAGGTCATTGCAGTCTGTTTTCTACTACTATCACAGAATACCTGAGACTGGGTAGTTTATACAGAACAGAGATTTATTTCTTATAGTTCTGGAGGATGGAAAGCCTAAGATCAAGGAGCCCTCATCTGGTGAGGACCCTCCTGCTGTGTTGTCCCATTTTGAAAGGTGAAAGGGCAAAAGTAGGGGAGGGGGAGACAGAGATATCTCACACTTTTATAGTGAGTCCACTCCCAAGATAATGGCATTAATTCATGCATGAGGGCAGAGTTTTCATGGACTGAGCCCTCTCATTAGGCCCCACATCCTAACACTGGGGCATTGGAGGTGAAGTTTATTGGGGACTTATTTAAACCACAGTGGGGGTAAAGGCAGAATTCTAAGTCATAGAAGAAAAGGACAGCTTATTCAGCATAGATTTCACTGGGGAGGGACATTTGTTGGACTCTGTGTTACACGGATTTGACATATTCTACATGGATAAAACACTAAAATGCTAAAAGTAAAACAAGGCATGTATTAGAAAGTATCATAGATAGAAGGATGCATTTAAGCCGGGCATGGTGGCTCAGGCCTGTAATCCCAGCACTTTGGGAGGCCCAGGCAGGCAGATCACCTGAGGTCAGGAGTTTGAGACCAGCCTGGTCAACATGGTGAAACCCTGTTTCTACTAAAAATACAAAAATTAGCCAGGCATGGTGGCGCACATCTGTAATCCCAGCTGCTCAGGAAGCTGAGGCAGGAGAATTGCTTGAACCTGGAAGGCAGAGGTTAAAGTGAGCCGAGATTGTGCCACTGCACTCCAGCCTGGGTGACAGAGCAAGACTCCATCTTAATAAATAAATAAATGATGCGTTTAATCTTGAATGTGGAAGAAGCCCTGCTGGAGGGTGAGCACAAGCCCAAAGCAAAGGGAGCATGAGCATGAGCATGAGTTTATTACTTGGAAACTTGGAATGCAGGTTTGTATTCTTAACAACGATTATTTAAAATTTCATATTGTAAAGATGTCATTTCTCCAATAATTATCCGTAATTTAATGCAACTTTTACCAAAATCTTAATAGTGCTTTTTGAGAAACACAATAATTGATTCTAAAACTTACCCGGAAAGATAGGGGGAGAGAACTTATTCTTCAAAACATCAAAAAATATGTTATAGCTATAGTGATTTAAAAAGTATTTAACTAGTGGGCTCGGTGTGGTGGCTCATGCCTGTAATCCCAGCACTTTGGGAGGCCAAGGCAGGCAGATCATGAGGTCAGGAGTTTGAGACCAGCCTGGCCAATATGGTGAAACCCCGTCTTTACTAAAAATACAAAAATTAGCCAGGCGTGGTGGCTTGCGCCTGTAGTTCTAGCTACTATGGAGGCTGAGGCAGAAGAATTGCTTGAACCTGGGAGGTGGAGATTGCAGTAAGCCGAGATCACTCCACTGCACTCCAGCCTGGGTGACAGAGCAAGACTCTGTCTCAAGAAAAAAACAAAAAACAATAAACAAAAAACAAAAAAGTATTTAACTAGTGCAGGATAAACAAATAAAGCAATAAAACCTACAGAACAGAGGATCGGAAGCTTGTAGCTGCACCATAGTTTCTCAGTGACATGGAAGAGCTGATGGAAGACCACTGCCTCTAGAGAACAAGCAGACAAGCAAGATAAAATAAAGAAGCCATCTTCTTGAAGGCAGCAGGGTGACGGGAGAACCTTAGAGAAATTAGCTGACTCCTGCAGCAGTCTTACTCAAGGGATGTTAGCCAGCTCTGGGCCCGGGCAAGAGATAGAAAGTCCAGCTTTGCACCTGTTGTGAGGTATAGACACACTGGAAGAGCCTGCAGTGGAGATGAAATAGGCATTGAGAGCATGGCTAGGTTTTCCTCATGCAAGTTGGAAAATCCCAGGGCTGCCCTGAGCTAGAAGCTAAAAGCCTATACAAAAATCTCTGAAAAAGATGGGAGTTTCTGTCACTTTCACGAGCCACAGGTTAGAATTTATGACCCACCAGGAGGGGAATGCTGTGAATACACCAGACTCTCAGGTAAAAATCTTGGAGGGCCACAGTCAGATCAGCTTGAGATCTGGCTTTAGTTAAACACAGTTCCTAGTTGGATTAAGGTGATCAATCACCATCTATGGGCTTAGTAAAGATGAACCCTCTTAAGAAGAGGATAACATCATTAAACACTACAATATTTTATCCACAGTTTCTAGTACTTAATAAAATTGTATCTTTAGAAAGCAGTATCACAATACTGAAATTAAAGAGAAAAAATAGACTATAGAAACAGATCAATAGATGATGCAAATATCTGAGCTATTTGACAAGGACTTTAGTATAACTATGATAAGTATGTTAAAGAAAATAGATACAGAATTGTGGAAGACACATGAAACGATGGAAAATAGGAAAATATTACCAAAGAATGAGAATGTATTAAGACGAATCAAATAAACATTCTGGAATGGAAAAATAATAACTGAAATTAAATTAAGAATCACTGGATGGGTATAACTGGGTATAACTGCAGATTTTTTTTTTGCAGGGAGCAAGGTCTCTCTTTCACTCAGGCTGGAGTGTGATCTCAGTTCACTGCAGCCTCAAACTTCTGGGCTCAAACAATCCTCCAGCCTCAGCCTCTCAAGTTGCTGGGATTATAGGAGTAAGTCATCATGACTGATACATAACAGCAGAAGAAACTATTAGGAAATGGAAGGTCAGGCTAGTAGAACATATCCCAACAGAAGAATGATGATATAATTGAGTAAAAAGACAGAGTATGAGTTAAATTGGATGTGGTATACGGTTCTAAAATATCTGTAATGGAGCCCCAGAATGAGAAGACAAAGTAAATGGAAAGAAGGAAAATTTAATGAGTAATGGTCATCAGTTTTCTAAAACAGGGAAAAGAATTCTAGCAGACTCAGGTGGCTGAGATTTGGAGGGCAGCGTATGTGCAAGAAGGAAGTTTCTCAGACAAAGCTCCAGAAGCATGCTCCAGGGTCCCACTGAGTCTTGGGCTGAGTTCTCAGCTAAGGACATATTAGAGTGAGATTCCTTGAGTTGGGACAAAGACGAGGGTCAGGGGGTGGTCAATGGAGCAGGTCAGACCTCACAGGAGACATAGACGAGCTCCAACCAGTGAGACAGAAAGGACTGCACTGGGCATACACTGGTATCAGTGGAGATGCAGAAGAATTTCACCTCAGAAATAGCTACTCTAGGCCTGCTCAAAAATAGCATGAAGTCAAGGAAATAGTGAAATGGACAAACGTATCACTGACCCTTAGCTCACTCCACACACAACACAACTTCAAACAAAATAGACTAAAGTGTAGAAGCTTAAAAATATAAACTTTCTAGAAAAAAAAAAAAACAAGAGGAAACCTGGGATTAGGCAAAGATTGCTTAGCATTGTTAATCATAAATGAAAATATTTGAGAACCTGGACTTTATCAAAATAAACACTTCTGCTCTGTGGTCAAAACCATCAAAACATAAAAATATGAGACACAGACTAGGAGAAAATATTCCAAATGACTTGTATCCAGAACATAAAAATGACTTGCAACTCAATAAGATGGTGAACACCCTAATTCAATATTGGCAGAATCCAGGGATTTCTTAAAAGATGATATTTGGATAATCGATCAACGCATTAAAAGATATACAGCATTTGGTGACCAGGAGAATGAGAATAAAAACCACAATGAGGGGCCACTACCTGACTCCTGAAAAAGCTAAAATATTTTTTAAAACAGTAACACTGAGTAAGGTGGGAATCCGGAAGAGCTGGAAACCTCATACTTCAGTGGAAAGAGGGGATGACTGTGCAAGCTGCTTAGAAAATAGCGTAGCCGTTTCTTATAAAGTTAAACACACACTTGCCGCCATGTAGCCCAGCAATCCTATTCCTGGGCATTTGCCCAAGAGTAATGGAAATGCATGTTCAACACAAGGCTTACACACTTACATCCCTGGCAGCTTCCCTCAACAGTACAAAACTGGAAATGATCTCAATTTTTTTTCAATTAGAGAATGAATAAAAGTATTTTGGAATATCCATATAATGGAATAATATTCAGCAATAAAAATGAATACAACACTGATTTACATGACAACATGGATGAATCTCAAAAACATTATTCTCATCAAAAGAAGCCAGACACAGAACAGTGCACATAACTCCATTTATATTTCTATGGAATTCTAGAACAACAGAACAAATGCATAGAGACAAATAGCAGCTGCCAGAGGGTAAGGATGGGAAGATTGACCAGAAGGAAATTGAGGACCCTTTTAAGGTGACAAAAATATATCTGTCAAAACTCAGCAAACTGTAAACTTCAAATGAGTGTTTCTTACAATCTGTATATGCTACTTCCATAAACTTATGTAAAGCACAATATTGTATACTACCTACTCAGCAAAATGGCCAGAATTGAAATGGTAGATGCTATTGAGTGTTTGAAGCAGTGTGGAGCAGCTGGATCACTCATTGATATGATTTGGATGTGTCCTCCCTAAATCTCATTTTGAATTGTAATCCCCAGTGTTGGAGGTGGGGACTGGTGGGAGGTGACTGGATCATGGGGGCAGATTTCTTCTAAATGGCTTAGCACCATCCTCTTGGTACTGTCCTCATGATGGTGAGTGAGTTCTCACGAGATCTGGTCCTTTGAAAGTGTGTGGCACCTTCCCCATGAGCCTTGTTCCTATTCTTGTCATGTGACATGCCTGCTCCCCCTTTACCTTCCGCCACGATTGTAAGGCTCCTGAGGCTACCCCGGAAGCTGAGCAGATGTTGGTGCCATGCTTGTACAGACTGCAGAACCACATTCCAATTAAACCTCTTCTCTTTATAAATTACCCAGTGTCTGATATTTCTTTATAGCCATGCAAGAATGGCTACTACCCTTCTCTACTGCTGGTAGGAGTGTACATTGGTACAACTCTTTTAGAAATCTATGTGGCAATTCTATTGAACTGAAATAGCATGTAACCGAGCAATTCCATTCACTGTTAAAGATGCCACAAAAATGTGCACGTGCACATGCCATAGTGTTTATTGCAGCTTTATTAGCCAGACCTCCAAAAGAAAGCCATCCAGATGACCATGCACAGTGGGAGGATCACACAGAACACTGGAGGGAGGAGGTGCAACCGCATATAGTGACATGGACACATCTCACAAACCCAATTCCGAGTGTAAAGAAGACGTGCACAAAGGAGCACATCCTGTGTGATTCCAGGCTTATGGGGTCCAGACCCCAGTGAGTATATGCCACGCTGTCACAGGGTCTGGCTTCCCTCAGAGGAGGTGGGGGTGTGACCGGAAGTGGACTCCAAGGAGCTTCTGCAGGTGCCGTAACGACTGTTTCCTGATCTCATTGCTGGTTACATTGATTTGTGCACTTTGTGAAATTTCAAAATGTACATTTATAATTTGTGCAGTATTCTGAATGTTTAATTTACTTAATACAAAGTATACATCAAAATGTCAAAAGAAAATCATGTTTCAATAGCGAACAAAATATTTGACTAGAATTCAAAGAAATACAAATGGGGCTGAAGCTGTATCAAGGTGGACTGTGAGGGAGCTCTGTGTGTCTCGTGAAGGCGATGGGAGATTTGGGAGGGGATTGGGGACCTACTGGGTGACAGGAGACTCTGAAGGCAGCCCTGACTCCTGATGGACTCTGGAGGGATCTGATTACAGGCACTTTTTTTTTAGTAGAACAATCTGGTATGTATGTTGGCATAGGTGTTCTTGTATATGCAAAACTACTTCATGACTGACCCTAAAAACTTTAATTGTGACTCTTTCTGAGGAGCATAACTGGCCATGTGAGGAGAGATGCATTTTATTGATCCTTTACTTATACGTTAAGTATTTACCAGTCATTTACTTATCCATTTACAGTAAATAAATTCAGCAAACAGAATGAACACAGCATCATCACTCAAAATCAATAGCTCTACTTTGCGTCCATTAGAGAGTGTGACAGAGACAGAACCTACACGTAACAGGGGCGAATCTGAACAGACTTGAGCTTTGATGGTGCCTGTGGTGAGAACCATGGGCAGAAGTGGAGAGGACCTCCCACCACTGGAGGCGCCTGACCCCACCTGTGTCCAAAGGGAGCCGCACCTGCCTCCGAGGTGTGCCACTGACCGCCACAGCCCTTACACTGTTTCCAGAATGTGCCTTCAAAACTTAGTCTATGCTATAGGAGGTAGTGGTTCGTTTCTCAGAAAAATTGTTTAAAAGCAGACACTCTGTGAAGGAAATCAAGGTGGGTCACACATGCCTCTTTTTTTCTGTAGAAGCATACCATTTATTCAAAATTAGTGATGTCAAATTTTGTTTAGAAGAAAGAAATAATCCTCTGTCAGTGTGTGAGACAGAAATAAGTTTGGAAACCCTAATGATGTGTTCAGGTTGTGCTCACCCCTGCAATTTTTGCAAGTGAAAAGGTTTGGAAGGAAAGAGAAGTATGCATGTTCATTAATTCAGCAGATGAGACTACAGGGTGCAGTGGAGAATGCACAAACTGGGCAGGCCTGTTTGACTTAGTGCCTGCCTTCCTCACGTTTGGATTTCTAGTCACAGTGACTAAACATCTCATTTAAAAAGGTAATAGAATGAACTATTTTCACTTGTTCCAAGTCTTTCATATCAACAAGCGAGCTGAATCCTATGATAACTTTATAAATGAAGAAATTCGAGCTTAGAGAGGTGAAGTTCTTGGATTAAGCAAGGCAATTAATTTGGACATCAGTACATTGAATTACAAACTTTCAAATTCCATGTTTTGCCTCTATTTCATGCTGTTTACTAAAAATTTTTTGTTTTTATTTTTCCACTGTGACAATTCCTTGGCAAAGCAGACAACAGGGTTCATTTACTGTAGTTGGATGTTTTGCTTTTGTTGAGGTCAGAGTGCTCCCTGGCCGCCTAATGACACTGGAGACTTCCCATTTCTTGCCGAAGAATGGACTCTGGAACACTGTCATCCTACATGTAAGCAGTGTCTGTTTCTCACTTTCCAGCATCTTTCCAGCATGCAAACACATCCATGGCAGTAAAGTAGCGAACTGCCCCAATGCACTATATTTAAGGTATGCAACAGGAATCTGAGTGCTAGTGGGGAGTGCTGTTTGGTCAATGAGTTGGCTTACTTTGGAAAAAGATCATCAATCGGGGAGTGCTGTTTGGTCAATGAGTTGGCTTACTTTGGAAAAAGATCATCAATATGATAAGCAACGAATACAATGTTTAAGATGTTTTCAATTCTTGTGTAGAACTAACTTTTCTACAGCATTCACTTTGTGAACCACCAGAAAAAAAATAGCTGGGGCAGAAATGATAGTTTAATTTACATGTCAGAAAAGCAGCCAAGAAAACATTGAACAGCTTGAGGATACAGTGCTGCCAAGTAGCATGACTTAGAAATGCAATTCAGCTTTGTAAGGCAAATATTTCTCTTCCCACTTCTGCAGAAGGAAAAGTCCCAGGATCCTGGAGGCTGGGTGGAAACGGCAATCATCACAGCCTGGCTCCCCATAGCCCCAGCACAGACACAGGACATGTGAATCATTGGCTGTGGACATCCATGCCACCACTGTCCTCAAGGGGAGGGATGGTTGGAAGGCATTGGAACCCTGTCCTGCCATGGTCAGTCCCCAGCTTTGGTCTTGAATCTGCAGAAAGAAGAATTTGCTTCATTAACCTACAGGATCAGCGGGGGGCCATCACAATGGAGTTAAGAAAAGAGGTCCTGGTTCCCAGACCGAGGGCCAAGAAGAGGTTAGACGTGATGATGCTTGCTATGAGAGCATGTTCCTGCCATGGATTTCAAGAGCTGGTCATGCTTCATGTGTCTTCAGTATCTGCATGTAGCTTGGCACCTGGCACCTAGAACCTAATAGGTGTTCCAGTAACACCTGTTAACTAAATGACCCCGAAAATAATGCTGATAACAGTAAAGTGAGAGGAACCTCACGGTGAGCCATTTTGAATATGCCTGTGTCCTGGGCAGACACCATACTGGGACCTCTGAGTTTGTCCTGGGCAGACACCATACTGGGACCTCTGAGTCTTCAAGACAGAGAAGCCATCTGGGGCCCCTCGTGATTAAGAAACTGGTCAAGTCACACTTCCAGTTAGAGGCAGAGTCATATCACAAAGCCCAAACTGCTGCTTATATAGAATCTGAGCCTCATCTCTCTCCAGTACTCTGTGATCGTAATGAAATTCCTGAATGTAAATGAAGGAAAATCCTTTTTAATACTTTATTTAGCTTAGAGATAGGAAGGTCGGGATGTGTAAGCCGCTGGTGAATGTAGCACGTGGCAAGTTTGTGCATGAAATAGAATGTTCCAGTATTTTTTTTCTCCACTATGTAGGCTCTTAGAGGCCATGTGCTTCACATGATCTTCACGTCCCGTGCACGCTGAGCACCACTGGGTGCCAAGTACTGCTCCCACTGAGATACACGTCCTAACCTAACAAGGTCCCAGTCTAGCAAGGGAAGTCGACCCATAAGAGGTGGATAAGACGTGGTATGGCTTTTGCACATTACAGGAATATCCCTGTTGTCCTGAGAAACATCCAAGAAGGACTGGCCACCCCTGTTTGGGTGTTCAGACAAACATCACCAGAGAGTTGCATCTGACCTGGAGCTTGAAGAAGAAGCAGACCTGTGGATAATGGAGAAAGGACATAGGGCTTGCAGCAGAGGGAAGCTCAGGACTGCTTGGTGTGGAGTCTGTGGGAGGGGAGTCATGTAGTGCAGGGATTCCTTTAGACCCGTGGAACCTCCACAACAGGTGACACATCAGGTGTGGTTTTACAGAAATGGTTCTAGCAGAGAAGTCGTGTGGGAGCTGTTATGAAATAGAAGGGGTAAGCCTAGGAGCTGGGGCACCTGGGAGCATTTGCTTTTCTTACTTGCACTCACGGGAAGCACCATGAGAAGGAAGGCTGAGGCTTCAGAGGATGGAGCAGGATCAAAGGACCAATCTGTAGGACCAGAGATGGACAGAGAGGATTGTGCTAAAATGTCTGGAGTTGGCATTTGGAAGGCTGGGAGCTTCCCGATCTGAGTGGGAGTGCAGAGGAGCCAGCTGTTCCGGGATCTGGGCAAAGGATCCTGAGCTTTGGGTATGTCGACCTGGAGGTGTTGCCTATGCAGCTGAAGCTTGCAGAGCCTGGACAGAGATCAGGGAGGGCAGGGCCAGCACCATACTGGGTGGAGTCACTCAGGGAAGACAACCAAGAGGGAAGAGACAGCAGGGAATAAACAAATCTGAGAAACACCAAGGGTCAGGCTTGAGTTGATGAGGAGAAGGCTGTGAGAAGGGGCATGTCTGGAGCATGGCTGGAAGAGAGAAGAATCTGGAAACATGGGCACCAAGAAAGGCAGGGGTCCAGACGGTGGGTACAGCCAGGGCGGATGGAGAGGCAGAAGTGAATGGCAGAGAAAATCCATCACTGGTCTTTGCTGACCATCATGCTGGGAATAAAGTTCAGGCTGGGCTCGCACCAGGTGAGGCTGGGTGGGGCTGGTGATCAGCAGAGTATGGAAGGTTCTGCCTTCCTGTCTGAAATTGGGGTCCCTTGTATTCAAAAAACAATGGAATGAATAAATTGATGAATAAGCCTGTCTTCCCTGAAAGACCAAGGGATGAATCACACAATCCATCAAAGTGCTCGATGTGGTGCCCTGTACAGATCCGCATCAATTAAACCCTCAGTTGTAATGAGATTCAGTTCATTTTGTGAAAAATTAATTGAAAGCAAATATCACCATTAAAATTCTCAGTACCACTGCCCTAGGGTATTAACCACTTGGAAATTAGTGATGCCCCAGTGTTCCCTGCACAGTGGTGCCCCAGTCAGGGATCACCACGGGGCCAGCTGTTTCCAAGTCTGTGTCCCTGTAGGGCCACCACCATGTTTCCCTGCAGAGTGGCTGGGAAACAGCTTTCCAGGATTCCCCCTTCTCGCCATCGTGACGCTAGGACCCTGCGGACAGGACAGCTCCTCCTCCCCGAGGACCGGGGGACGTGAGAATGAGCAATAACCGTGGCCTTGGATCCAGAGTCGTTGCCTGCGGTTGAACTGCCCCCCCCCTGAGGGACATCTTGGTTCAGGGAGTGATGACCTGGAGCAGAGGCAGGGCTGATGGGCAAAGGCGCTTCTCACTTCATCTGTGGGAGTGCTCAAGCTGTGATTGTGGTAAACCAACGATCTTTGAAATCTCTTCTGTTAAAGTACAACTGCCACTGGAAACCAGGCCTCTCAATCACTTCCCAGCCTTTTGGCTAAGATCAAATAGAAACAGGCCTTTCTTAAAACCTTCCCTTTCTTACCTACAAGAACTTCTTTCAAGTTGAACCAAGAGTCTATGAAACATGTTTTCTCCGAATAGTATTATTGAACAGATAAAATTGAGATGGAAGAAACAAGAGTATTTTCTACAAGGAATTAGCATGTTTCCCCCTCAAGTGCAGATGAGCCTTAATTTTTGCAAGATACCTCCCTCCCCACCGCCCCTGCCCCGGGACTGACCACTGGCTGGATCTCACTGGGCTGTCTGGGCTGATTCTGCGCCAACAATAGAGAAGGGGGCCTTGATGCCGCCAGCGGGACCTCTAGGAAGGGTCCCACTCTGGGTCCCATTCAGCCTCATAAACGCCCACCTCTCCCCAGCACAAGCATCTCTAGACGGCCGCACCCCCTCATAACTCCCGGCACTGTCCGTAGTTTCATACTTTGCTTCTCTTCACAGTAATGCACCAGCATGGGCGCTGTGACGGCTACTCAACAACGCCCAGTTCTTGCCTCCTTCCCAGCAAATAAATAGTCTCCCTCCGCTGACTGCTCAGCGTCAGAAGGGCTATATGACTTCCTCAGTCCAGTGGGTTGGGGGCAGGGTTGACATGTGTCACCAGCAGGCCAAGCATTTAATTATCAGCATGAGAACTTCTAGCCAACCAGGAAGCTGAGCATCCAGACTGTGCAGACTCTAGAAGGTCCGGCCTTTGTCCCTGGCTGCTGTCTCCACCTGGAGGACACTTGTCTTGGGGAGCTCCCAGACCCATGGCAGTCCTTGTGTGAGTGAGAAATTCAGCTTAGTTTTTAAAGCCCTGAGGTTTGGGAGATTTTTGTTACTGCAGCATAACGTCACCTGTGGTGACAGAGACACCTGGCTGGAGCATTATAGATATCCTTTCCTGAGTGCTGGAGCCAAGAAGTGCCCTTTTCCTCTCATACCCCCCAAGCTGCTCCTCCATCTGCCTCCTTTGGCTTCTGCTGTTGCTTGAATGCAGCTCTGGCTGGTCACACCATCAGCCTCACATTCTGTGAACCCCCTCACTGCCTCCCTCTCTCTAGCATGGGCTCCATGAGGGCAGGTGCTGTGTCTGTCTCAATTATTGTTAGAAGCTCAGTTTATGCCCAGGAATGTTTGTGCAACAAATAAATGAATGAAAGCTTTTTTACAAAGAGAAGAAAAATCGTATGATGCAAATGACTACTCACTAATTTATTGTTTATGTACATTAACAGGATTTTATGTTGGATTTGTTTTAAATGGGATATACATATTATACAGGCACTAGAATTTAATTTTAATTAAACAGACATTTCTGCTGAAGTTGTTTTTGGTTTCCTCTTTTACTGTCTCACATTGTTCATGAATAGTTCTGCTTGATACTTTTCAGCAATGTGACAGACTGGAAGATAGCCACACTTCCAAGAGCGAGTCTGCCTATCTGCCTCAAAATGTAGTCAGCTCAGACACGAACAGACGCCTTCCTAAGTGGGGCTCTGAGGGTGGCGCGGATGGAGTTCTTATCCCAGGATATCAGTTGGCTCAGAGGGCAGGAAGAGCAGTGTGGGGAGGGGTTTCCCTCTCACCTGGTGAGTTGCACATGAAAAGGTGGCCTCATTTAGTCTTCAGTGAAAAAAAAACCTTGCTCTGGTTGTATTAACTGTTTCCTCACCACACAGTCGCCATTTTATTCACTTTCAGCCGTTATTGAAGACTCACCATGTGCCAGCATCTGAGCTATCTTGGCAGGAAAGCCATAGCCCTTGTCATCAGAAGCTTGGAGCTTCTATTTCTGGTCCTTAATACGCTTACTTAGATCATCTCCCCACAGCGGGTCCCTGTTAGAACGGATGAGCATGCACACACACACAGATACACAGTTGCACAAACACAAAATGCATGCATGTGCAGACAGACGTGCAAGTGCACACGCAGGCATCACACATCTTCGGACTCAGAGATTGGGAGTGGGCTGCCAGGTCCATGGTGCCCATGAGCCACAAGACATAGCTGGCGGCTGCTGAGCCTGAAAGCATTTTTTTTTCCCGAGACAGAGTCTTGCTCTGTCACCCAGGCTGTTATGCAGTGGTGCGATCTCAGCTCACTGCAACCTCCGCCTCCCGGGTTCAAGCACTTCTTCTGCCTCAGCCTCCTGAGTAGCTGGGATTACAGGCACCCACCACCACACCTGGCTAATTTTTGTATTTTTAGTAGACATGGGGTTTCACCTTGTTGGCCAAGCTGGTCTTGAACTCCTAACTTTGTCACCTGCCCACCTCAGCCTACCAATTTTTTTTTGTTTTTTTTTTTGAGACAGAGTTTTGCTTTTTTGACCAGTCTGGAGATGGTATGATCTCAGCTCACTGCAACCTCTACCCCCTAGGTTCAAGCAATTCTCCTGCCTCAGCCTCCTGAGTAGCTGGAATTACAGGTGCGCACCACCATGCTGGGGTAATTTTTTTGTATTTTTGGTAGAGACGGAGTTTTGCAATGTTGGCCAGGCTGGTCTCAAACTCCTGACCTCAGGTGATCCACCCGCCTCAGCCTCCCAAACTGCTGGGATTACAGGCATGAGCCACGGCACCTGGCCAGCCTGACAGCGTTTCTGCCATAGCCTTCAAGGGAGCCATGGATGACCACGGACTGTCTTTAGGCAGATGCTACAGTGCTATTGTCGTTGTGATATGTTGACAAGCTTCTGAGCTCTGATAGTGCAATCATTACTTAATGGAAGGGACGTTATCTGCTTCGGGGAGCTCTGCCAAGTGCTTCTCCCTCTCAGCTTCAAAAGACAATCTCGTCAGCGTGCGGACCACATGAACAGATAATCGCCTGCCTTCAGGAGGTGGAGCTGCTGAGACAGGCAGGCCCTGAGAGCCGGAGCAGGGAGCGACAATGTCCCGGCCTGGAGCTGCGTCCTCAGCCAGACCCAGTGGTCAGCTCCCGGCCACCAGGACTCCATTTAGCCAAGAGGCAGTTTCACCGCCTGCGGGAGCCAACTCACACGAGGCAGAGTCTCACTTCCTTAATTAAGAGAAGCGCCCCTTGTTTTCTCTGCTCGAAATTTTCCAATGTGCACACACTCCAACAACCTTATTACTAGGTATAAAATGATAATTTCTGTCATGGAGAACACAAAGAGATGAGGAAAATCCTCAAACCCGGGGCCCCCTTGTGGCACACAGGATCGCTTGCCAAATGTTTTACTGTCTTTACTTTTGGGGGAAATTCTCTTCCTTGGTCAAAACCTCCTCTTCGGACAGGCTGGAGGATGCACCTGGCATTGCTGCTTGCCCAGGCACAAGGACGACAGGCTGGGCTAACCAGGGCCTGTACTCCGAAGGGCAATATAGTTATTCATTTATTTATTTATTTATTTATTTATTTATTTATTTTTGAGACAGAGTCTTGTTCTGTCATCCAGGCTGGAGTATACTGGCACGATCTCAGCTCACTGCAACCTCTGCCTCCTGGGTTCAAGTGATTCTCCTGCCTCAGCCTGTCAAGTAGCTGGGATTACAGGCACACACCACTATGCCTGGCTAATTTTTGTAGTTTTAGTAGACAGGGTTTCACCATGTTGACCAAGCTGGTCTCGAACTCCTGACCTCAAATGATCCACCCACCTCAGCCCCCCAAAGTGCTGGGATTACAGGTGTGAGCCACTGCGCTGAAGGGTAATATTCTTTATTCTGCTCTTGCGCTTACAAATAATTGGCAATGAGAAAGAAAGACGCACTGACGTGAGGCCTTGAGATGGTGAACCTCGTGCTCCCCAGTCCCTGCCGCCGTCCATCTCTCGGTGACATCCTAGCAGTTGCACATTTTATGTTGAAACAAAGTGAGGAGCTGAGCTTGAAAACCTTCGGTTAACAGAATTGAATATTAATCTTCAGTGATGTGGGGAGGAACTAGTTCACAATCCTGTTCCTTTCTGGGGGCAAAGAAGTTATCCCTCAGAGCCGGGGCATGTTTGGTTGTGAGCTGCAGAGTCCGAGAATCAGAAAAATATTTCTTATTAATGTAGGGGACGAAACAGTTATGCTGAGTAGACACATTTCTCCACTGAAAACTGCAGTAATTGATTTTTAAAGCTACTGTAGGAAATGCCGTTTTTCCCATTCGTTCCTCTGTCATTAAAATACAGCTTCTTGTGAGCGCATTCCTGCACCTATTCCCTTATTTCTCTGTGCAATAACTAACAATTTTGTCAGATTCTTGCCCTGGGATTTGCCTTCCTATTATTTCAGTGAAAAGTGTCTTTACAGGCAGCCTGAGCCTGACTAAACAGCTGAAAGGAAAACGTCAGGAACCGCCTTTGAAAAAGGACAGAGAAATGATGTGAATGGTGGACTGATTTTCAAATAACTGACATATAATTAATGAAGGGAATGGCTTCGGCCTTTAATAACTCCTTACAAAGTAAAAGATGTTGCATATCCTGAGCCTGCAATAGTCACTTGGGAGCCCAGACCTAAAAAGAGCTGGTTCATCTCAAAAGCTGTCAGGATTCCACATTAAACCTTATAGTGAGCTGCATGTATGATTTGGGGGTCATTCCAGGGCAGCCCCTTATTGAGATGTGAGCAGCTATGGCCTCTCTCAAAGCTTGTATGTGATAGCCGTGTGAGAGCCCTGTCATCCTTGATAATCATCATCGGTTCTGGGTCTAGCATCAAGCTAATAGCAAGGGCAGTGTCTGGGATAACCAAGGCCCACGGAGTGTTTGCAGGGGTTCTGCCTCCCTCACGCAGAGCATCACATTGGATGTGTCTCAGTAACAAGTCAGGCTGCAAACAACCCTTTTTATGAATGTGAAAATAAAAACCCCAAGAGCAGTATTTTTGCCATTGCATTTCAGTTGAACTTGCCGGTTTTTAGAAACCATTCCGACCGAAGGAATGCAAACCCTGTGTTGTGCTTTAACCCACTCTCAATTTAAAGCTATAACTGTGCCCAGTGATTTTAACACTGGCTGGACAGTGGGGTCAGTTTCCAGTGTTCAGGATTTGATTGATGAGTCCTTCTGGGATCCTTTGTGCTCTGTCCCTTCTCTCATGATCTTTATCAAGTTACTACTTATCAGAATCTTGTATAGCAAGAGGCAGAGACAACAGCTCAAAGGGAGAAGGCATTATCAATGGCAGAGGACCAATGGCACAGCGTGTTTTGTATTTTGAGCACTAAAATCTAGAGTGAAGAAGTTACTTGTCCACAGTCCCAGAACAAACTCATGTGGGTCCAAATGGCAGAAGGAGCATGGAGCTCTGGGACTGCACTTCATGTGGCAGCCTGAGTTCAGGCTGGAAGCAAAGCTTGTGAATCAGGTGGCATCCCCCTCTCTGTCGTGGGTCTCCCCCTTCATTCTGAAAGCGATTTCTGAGATAGCGAGAAAACAGACTATGTTAGGTCAGTGTCTGCGTCCTGGTGGAGACTCTTTTCCCGCTGGCTGTCATTGTCAATTCTACACTGAAACGCATCCAAGTGAAGGGTTTCTTTGCCTGACACTGAGCTATAAACTCCTGTGGACTGAGATAAACCAATTTGGAAGGAGGGCTATTATCCCACTACATGGCAAAGGGGAGAAAATAAGCAATCGGCTCATGCTGAAAAAAGCCTCGATAAATGGGAAATTCACTGCATTTGGCAAGGCTTCGAAGCAGTTTCAGCTTCTATTTTAATAAAGTGACATTGAAAATAACCCCAAATTTCTTTTTAAATTCCAAAAATGAAAAATCCTTTTAGATATTTCCTGCTATAAAAATAAGTCCAAATGTTAGGTGAAGGGATTCCAAATGATCAGCTAGGTGTTTCGTGGGTTGCCCTGTGACTTTCAGCCCCAAATTGATGTTGTGAACATGATCATTATCTTCTGCCAAGGACCAGGGGAAAGAGCAGAGCAGTGAGGCTCGAGTGCGGCAGCCTCCTTTGATTTCTGTATCATTAAATAGTAAAATGGTAAATGGAAGCTACTGGCCCAAATTCTAGGGATGCTACAAAATTGGGTTACAATGAAAAGAACGCGCACCCTTCAATTAGGGATCTGAATCAAGATGCCTTTAATGAAAATTCATTGAACACCAGGGACATGCTCAGCGCTGTCCGCGGTACTGAAACTACCTCATGAATGACCGCTGCCTTCCAAGACATGAATGAATGAATCCAACCAAAATCACGTGAGCCCCACCCAAGTTGCAGAGCCATATGCTAACCTGTAGACCCATGAACAATAAGAAAGGCGTAATTTTTTAATACTAAACAAAAACCAAAAAAACCCCAACAACACATCTTTGTCTTCGTAGAGCTAACAGCTTATGTTCTAGTGCACGGACACAGTCAACAAATAGAAAATAAATAAAATCTGTGGTTAATTAGATGATAGATGCTATGGAGGAAACCAGGGAGGTATAAAAAAAAGGGTGAACCATGGGCACAGCTGGGACACCTATGTGTATACCCACATACACACCTATGTTTATATCTGTGTCTTACTCCAGGGTAAACTGTAACCACAGATCCTGCACACATATACAGACAGACACACACACACACACGGACATGAACACACTTCTCATTGTGTTTCTCTAGAGAACCCTGATTGGTACAATTAGTCATAACAAAACATAGAAAAGTAAACCAACATTTTATTGTTTTATCTTGGCAAATATCCAGAGAAATCTAAACTTTTCCCCCCAAATATCTGCCCATATGTCAAAATGAACCTCATCAGGGTCCAGGCACAAAGAAAGCCAGAGAGATCTGCCACCTGCTTTGGAAAGAACCACAGAACTCTGAGATGCTTCCTTGCATGAGAGAATTTTACATCAAATTATTAATTCTGAAAGGAAAATGACAAACAGATTGCTTGGGTGTTGTTGGTCCCACTCATTCACCACTTAATTTTTCCCTAAAAGTTGTCTCTGGGGGATTTTATTAAGCTAGCAATCAAACCATTTAATTTTTCACAAGGCTATTTTGCCATTGAAAATTCAAATTTTACAATAAAGCAAATATTTATTTAATTCATTTACTTAATTTTTATTGGATAACTCCACTACTAACTTACTTATATATTTTTTTTTTCATAAAAAGGGAAGAAACACCAAGTCACTTCTCCCTAACAGCTGCAGGGCCCATAATGAAGTCAGGGGTCCCTCCTAGGGGGTGAATGGTCCACTGAAGTCTTGAGTATTGGATGTGTTGGCAGCTGTACACCTTGTTTCTGATAAAATAACCAGAAACAAAGAAGACACAAACCAACCACCACCATTACCTGGTTCTTACATGATCATCCTAGGAAGTTACCATGTTTGTTTCCTTTTGTACTCTGGAGTACATAAATGCCACCAATGTCAATCTAGTTTTGAATCAGGGTAGAACTGAGGATAGGCCATGCTGCCACTCTGTCCCTCCAGGGAAGCCAAGGTTGCTTGTGTGTTAGTTTCAGGTTGCACAGGTAAGGACACGGCCGACCGCGGGGATGGGTCAGTTCCAGAGAGACAGTGGCCCAGCCTGACCTGACCCTGTGTGTGATCCTGGGCCAGTGTGAGAAGCTCCTAACAATTCCCGGCTCTGGACGCTGGCAGGTAGTGCCCCTGTGGAGTGCAGTGGATGTGGCTTTCCTTATTCTGTGGCCAGGCCCTGTGCAGGGTCCCTTATGGTCAGTGTTCCTCTGCCCCATGCCCCACTCGGGGCACTCTCTAGCCCTCCTCCAGATGTGGTCCTGAGCCCTGCATCTCTCTCCACACTGGCCTCCAGCTCCTGATGGTGAGTGGTCTGTGGGATCCAGAGCCAGCTGAACTCAAGTCTCAATAGCAACTCTATCCTCAGGGATGGGAGGGTGCTCCATTGCTGCAATGGGAAGATTCTTTGAACTAGACCATACTTGTCTGATAATGGACTTCTCATCTGCCCAGCAAGATTCCATTTACTAAGGAAGCCAGTCTCCACTGAGCCTGGATTAGACCTGCCACTGTGTGCGGAGCTTGTGTGCAGGAACAATTTTTGATGTCTTCCATTGAGTAAATTCACTGCGCACCAGGTAAATTTGCTTAGCTGGGCTACATCGATCCTGAGACGTGCATTTGCCCAAATCTGCAATGTTGACTTCATGCAGTTTTCATGATGTGTTTGGGGCCTGCAGTGTGTAGGATAAAAACGCAGATTCTAAGCTGGGGTTTTAATCCTGGCCCTGCCCCCACCCTGCTGTGTTACTCTGCAAAGCACGTAGCCCCTCTCTGCCTCAGCTTCCTCCACTGCCAAACGGGCATGATAGTGACAGGGGCATGGACCTCAGAGGTCTGCCATGAGGATCCGAGATGCCGTGCAGTCATGTGTTGCTTGACAATGAGAATACATTCTGAGAAATGCATCAGGAGGAGATTTTGTCCTTGTGCAAGCCTCCTAGAGGGTACTTACGCTATACTCTAGGAGGTACTGCCTCCAGCATACCCAGGTATCTAGTGTAGCCTAGTGCTCTAGGCTACAAACCTGGACGGCGTGTGGCTGTGCTGAATACTGGAAGGCAATTGTAACACAATGGTAAGGATTTGTATATCTAAACATAGAAAAGCTACAGTAAACATACATTATAACCTATGGGAGTGCTGTCATAAGTGGAGTCCATGGTTGACTGAGGCATTTTATGTGGCATCTGACTGCACACGTGAAGTGGTAGGATGGTGCCTGGTGTGATCACGCACCTGCTGTTTGCTCTTTGCTGTCACTGTTTGGACGCATCAGAGTTCAGGTTCTGATTAACTTTGATCTTCATGGCCCTTTTCTGTGTCTGAAAGTTATGGTGCAAATTATGGAAAGGATTTTAATGCAAGGTGGAGCTGGGAGCCACACCTCCAGTCCTAATGTGGACATCGAATCCCCCATATTCCCAGAGCAACCCCGAAAAGCCATAGCATCCCCTGCGGTACATTCTCAATCACATGTCTCAGTCACAGAAACAGTAGCAAATCAGAGGTGGAAATAGCAAGGAAAAAAGGGAATTCTGATCTTTAAGAAGCCTTCTTCCTTATAAGATGGGGACGGGATTGGGAAGGAAGGGTAGGAGGCCACTGAGATTCCATATATGTGGTCATGTACTGGTTACTCATTACAGGTGTCTGTCTCTCTAGTTGATGCTCGCGGCACACAATGTCTGCCCACTGATAGCTCAATGTCTCCCACTTTATTTGGGCTCAGCTGTTGTTATCAGGTTCCAGGAGGAATAAGTGGGAGTTTGGATTGGGAAGGACCCAGAAGGCAGGTCAGGTTGGTATCGGAGCGAATACCTGGATTGCGGGGCTCAGCTGGGAGAGAGGTGGGCTTTCCTGCAAGTCAACAGCTTCAGTCCAGCACTTTTGTCAGTTGGCCTTGCCCAAAGGCCACTGCCCAGCCAGAACAAGCTTCTGTTGGCGGTGTTTCCACCCAGTCAGTGCCTGAAGACTGTCCCTTCCCTCCTCCCCAGCCTCATCATGAGAGGAATTGAGCCGTTCCCCATCATCTGGTGTGTAATACCCTCATCCCCTACCCACTAGGGCTTCCCTGGTGGTTCCTCTGGGGTGCACAGGAGCTTAGGAGACCCCCCCAAAGACAGCACTTTCCCCTCCACAACCCTCAGATGCTCTGGATCCTGGCGCATCTCACTTTCTCACCTCTGGGAATAGACAATGCCTTCAGAGGCTGAGCTTTTACCAAGAGATTATTTCCTTCCAGCAAGGACAACCGCAGTTTGGCTCTTTGAGATTTATGGACAATAAAACATCCCGCACACATAAAGAAGTGCTCACGACAGCCACATGGTGTGTCTGGCAGGGACTGCAGAGGAGGATAAAAGTCTCCTCCTCTGCGTTGTCGCGTTGTCGTTCTGTTATCCTGGCCACCTTTCAACCTCCGGGTGTATTGTTTGCATCCATGGAGAAGAACGGAAATGCATCTTAATGCAGCCATCCCACTAGCTGGAGGACAATCAGAGGGCTCTGGAGGGGAACCAGCCCAACAAAACAATAGCCGACAGTCTGTAGATAAATATTACATCAAACAGCAAATCTCCGGAGTGCGATTGATCCTTGGGTAATAAAGATTGAACACAAAGATTTCCCCCAAAGGCGACCCACACAACTCACATGAATTTTCCCTGTGCAAAACCTCCACCAAATGGGGGCTTTGGCTGAATGCTGCTACATTTGCTGGTATCTGGCCCTCACAACGGGGCACCAAGAATTAATGCATAACAAAGCTCCCAGCCTCTGCAGCTGGAAGACCCCACTTCCTTGAGGACTAAATGCATCTCTCTTCCTTCACTCCCGGGAGCAGGGGTTGCTTGAAGGGGAAATGAGAACTCGGGGCTCTGACTCCAAGCCTGTAACATCCATGACAAGTACCTGGGACTCAAATACTGATTCTGCCCCTCAAAGCCTGGGATGGGGCCCGGAAATATGCCATCAAATGAGTGCCCAGGTAGGCGAATCTACTCCTGAGCAACAGACACACTGAGGAGTGCTGCTGCCTTACAGGAGGATGAGGTGGAGGAGCAGCCTCCTTTGTCTGTCTTTCCGAGGCAAGAGGGCCTGAGGTCCAAGGATCAGAAGGAACAGAGGGACTGCTGCAACCCAGAGACAACCAGACCCAGGTGTCTGCGACAGGTCAACCAGAAGCCCTGGCTGCTCAGTGAAGGTGGTTAGAAGGAGGGTGGTTGCTGGGCAGCCATGCTGGGGAGTTTGGGTGAGGAGATGACAGAGACTGTCCCCACCTCAAAGGCCACCTCAAGAGGTACTGTGAAGAGAATGCTGCCAGGAATCTCCCAAGGGTGAATGCAGCTTAGAGTGATGGAGAGGAGTTTGGGATTTTGCTGAGCACCACCTGCAGAGCCCTTTGTAGGGAAAAACTGGGGGTTTATGGCAAAGCACCCAGAGCAGGAGCTGCTGGAGTAAGGCCTGCAAGTCAGGGGTTGGACCATGGCGGAGCAAGCCCACCCTGGGTCTCCTACCTCCGGGCTTTTTCCAGAGGCTTCACTGGATCTTGGAAAAGGAGATATAGCCCAGGAAGGGTGGTGGGATGTCACGCAGGTGATGCACACAGGTGACACACAGGAGATGCATATGCAGAGGGCACATGGGGGTTACACACAGTTGGCACAATCAGCTGGTGCACAGGTGGCCCACCCAGGTGGCACACAGGTGACACACAAGTGGTAGACACAGATGACACAGGTGACACACACAGGTGACACACAGGTGATACACACAGGTGACACACAGGTGGTAGACACAGATGACACAGGTGACACACACAGGTGGCACACACTGGCAGGTCAGCACTCCCAGGGCTCTGCGTTCAGCTGCCGCTTGGCTTTCTTGGAGATAGCGGCTTCCCCAGGCCCTGGCAAGAGAAGGCTGATAGCTCACGAGAACTATGCCCAGAGCTTCCGTCTGGCTAGTGATAACTGAGCCCAAGTTGAGAAGAGTCAACCTGAACTCTGTTCACCTGCGAGGTGTTGGGTCTTTGCCAGAACCCCTCGTAGAAGGATCCAACCAGGGGCAAACTGGCCAGTCTGGATGGAGGTTCCTCTCCTGACCATCATACCATTATCGTGACGCTATCGAGGGATTCATTGGAGATGACCAGGCCCTGACCACAGACACATGACCCCAGTCACACTGAGCCAGTGCGTGAAGACTGTCCCTTTCCTCCTCCCCAGCCTCATCTGGAGCATGCAGGTGAGCTTCTGCACAGGTGCACACAGTGAGGGTTTCTGAGTGCAGTCACCTGCTCCTTTCTGCCCTGGCAACTTGGGACCATGGGGGTGTGTCACTCCCAGGGTCTGGCTGCTTCTTCCTAATTCTGGGCTCCCCTTTTAGGAGCTTAGATGGGTGGTTGGGTCACTCAGCATTTTGCTTCAGTTTCTTCATCACTAGAATAAGTGGAGTCTCAGCAGCTATCTCCACAGCCTGCTGGAGGTTTGCACCAGGTGACTTAAATTTACGGGGCAAAAGACAGTTCCTCACATGTGGTAAGACTCCATAAATATACACAATTGTCATCAAAGAGTTTTACCACTGGACTTCGAGAATTGAATTGTAGCTTCCCTGTATTATGTGATTTTCTCTCAGTGAAATCAGAAAAAATCCTTTATTTTTGGTGAAGTCTTCACACCTTAGGGATGAAAAAGTCCTCACCAACATCTGCAAATGATAATAAGCTTGTTCATTTTCTTGCAGGGTCACCGATGCCCAGGGAGTGAGGCGTGGTGGCATTGCACAGGGGGACTGCGCTGTGCCTGCCCTCGCCCCGGGACCTGGGGGACGAAGTGGGTTGACTATCCTCTGCCGATCCCTGTGTCGTTTCCATCCTTCATTTTCTGGTGTGGGATAGGCCAGGTCTGAGTGTCTGAGTGACTTCCTACGATGAGGTTAAGGGAAGGTGGTCCACGGTCCTGGAGGAGCAATTTCTATTAGGAAATCTCAAGGCTGCAGGAAACCGATCAAGTGAAAAAAAACAAAAAACCCACATACCCTTAAAAGAGCAGACTCAGAATCCAGCGACTTGCAGCAAACTTCACACTCTGCGTCCTTTAAAGATGACTTAAAATAGGAGGGCAGGGGCTCTCAGGCTGTAGGGGCGTGAGAATCCCTGGAGGGCTCCAGCCTCCAGTGTCTGGCTCAGTGGTCTTGGAGGACCCCAGCATCTGCCTTTCTGACAAGGTCTCAGGAGACACTGCTGCTGCTGTGCCAGGCACACACTGAGGCTTCGGTCTCCATCAGCCGATTTGCTGGTGGGAGGACTGGGTAGGAGAAAGTCTGATGGAGGAGGGAGCTTTGCCAAGCCCTTCTGCAGTGACTCCTGGCTCTGCAGGGTGCTGGCAATGAAAAGACCACCACCTTTGCTCTCCTGCAGCAAAAGCCTCCCAGAAGCTCATGGGTGAGGGTTGCAGGAAGCCCTGTCATTACCATGAAGGTTTTCTACCCTGATGCAAGGTGATTGGTCACACCTAAAAGCAGTGTGCTGCCTGGCTTAGGATCCTCACCTTTCCTATAATTCACCCACATTCCAGCATCATCTGCACTCCAGATTTTTCAATACAGTAGTTCAATTTCCAAAGCCTTATATATTACAGCCAGCCACATGGTCAGAAATACAGCTCAACAGGAACCTTTCTATTGCATGACACTTGGCTGTGGAGTGTTTCTTAAGACGCAATTTATAATCATAAACATCATTTAGAAAAAACAAAATTCAAAAAAATGGTTTTCAGTTGTATCGCCATCACCTGCCTGCTAGGTTTGTCATCTGCATTCTTGTGAGTTCCTTGACTTGGGCCTGGTCCCCGGGCTGGAGAAAATGAGGTGTTGCAGGAAGGAAAGAAGGAAGGAAAGAAGGAAGGAAGGGAAGAGGAGAGAAGGAGAAATGAAGGATAGAAGGGAAGAAGGAAAGAATGAGAGAAGGAGGAAGGAAGGAAGGAAGGAGATAAGGAAGAAGGAAGAAGGAAGGGAGGAAGGAGAGAGGGAGGGGAGGCAGGAAGGAAGGAAGGAATAAATTAAGGAAAGAAGGGAAGAAGAAAGGAATGAGAGAAAGAGGAAGGAAGGAAGAAAGGAAGGAAGAAAGGAAGGAAGGGAGGGGAGAAGGAAGAAGAAAGGGAGGAAGGAGTGAGGGAAGGAAGGAAGGAGAGAAGGAAGAAGGAAGGAATGAAGGGAGGGAGGGAGGAAGGAAGGAGAGAAGGAAGAAGGAAGGAATGAAGGGAGGGAGGAAGGAAGGAAGGAGGGAAGGAAGAAGGAAGGAATGAAGGGAGGGAGGAAGGAAGGAAGGAGGGAAGGAAGAAGGAAGGAATGAAGGGAGGGAGGAAGGAAGGAAGGAGAGAAAAAGAAGGGATGTTCACTGCCTGTCAGCTCTTCAAAGCCCACTTGTCACTCTTGAAGATCTAAGAATCTGACCTAGATTCTGATGCCCAGTAGGTGTTTAATGAGCAGCTGGTGCTGAACAGACAAGCTTGATGTCCGGCAAATATTTGTTAACAGACGTCTTTCTGCTTAGCTCTGTGCCTGGTGCCAGGAGGTGAGTCTAAACAAAACCAGCAGAACCCGGTCTGGGAGGCTGGCCCAGTGCCCCTGACATCTACCTGGAGGTGCTCTTTCCCATGAGAAAACATCAGCCTTGCAGGCGTCTGGGGTGGGGATTTTGTCACCCCATCCCCATGCCTGGTTGAGCCCCATGTGACATTCCTGCAGAAGCTCCTGAGGCCCGGCAGGCAACTTGGGAAGGGGCTGTCCAGGCTGAGGCCCAGGTGCAGGATGTCCCATCGCTGTAAGCGGCGTGTCTGCTTGGAACATCTCTGGACCAGCATTGTGGTTACACAACACCAAAGAAAATACAAACACCAAGGCTGAGGAAGCGTGTCCATCCCAGGCTACTGGAGGACACTGTGAGTTTGGAGGTTACAGTAACATGCTATTAATATTTTATTTGCTCTATGTCACATGTAGGTAAAACTCCCTGCATGGCATCTAGGGAATGTGTATGCAAATCTCTATTTTTCAAAATGAGCCTAAAAAGCAGAACTTACAACTGCCGTTTTGGAACCTGAGTAGAGGAGGGTGGCAGATCTTACATAATTTGCTCAAATTCACAAAACCTATATTGAAAGAACCAGAATTAACAGTGAGCAGCTGTTGAATCCAAAGGGAATTTTTCCCCCGTGATGACAGAGCCCGTGCCCGCTGGGAACCCTGGACAAGCACTGGGGGTTGCAGAGTCAGATTGGAGGACGGAGGTGAAACCCCAGGTGGTGCCCCGTGCTGGCGAGCTTCTTCCAGGAGACGTGCGGTTGGAAAAGGGGCCTTCACCAGCTGGTGCTGCTGTCAGCTTGGTGTCTGGCAAGTCTCCCTCCTTGCCATCCCAGGGGACAGTTGTGTGGCCCGGGACTGAGGAGAAGGCTCCCGCCTAGGATTCATCTCCACCTGCAGAGGGTCAGTCTCAGACCGCACCACTAGGCACACAAAGCCTGGCTTCCCCCTCCAAGATGCCCTTCCTCCATCGTAGAAGGCCTGCCTCCTCCTTTTTCCTTTTCTTTTCCTTTCTTTGCTTTTTTCTCTTTTCTTTTCTTTTCCTCTTCTCTTCTCTTCTCTTCCCTTTTCTTTTTGAGACAGAGTCTCCCTCTGTGGCCCAGGCTGGAGTACAATGGTGCGATCTCAGCTTACTGCAACCTCTGCCTCCTGGGTTCAAGTGATTCTCCTGCATCAGCCACCCAAGTAGCTGGGATTACAGGCACACACCACCACATCTGGCTAATTTTTGTATTTTTAGTAGAGACAAGGTTTGGCCATGTTGGCCAGGCTGGTCTGGTCTCAAACTCCTGACCTCAGGTGATCTGTCTGCCTTGGCCTCCCAAAGTGGCGCTCTGTATTTCTTCTCCTAAACCATCCCTATTTCCCCAGGGTCCATCCCTCCCACTGTCCCTCCTGTTGCTAACTGAGATATGGCATCAATGTGCCAGGCTGGGCTTCTTGGCCCACATGACAGGCATGCGGAGGGCAAGAAGCTGCGACTTTGGGTCACAAAAGCCGCTGAGTGCCATGGAGACCACACAGAGGTGGCTCGCTCACCCCAGCTCAGCTGCATCAGGCCAGGCCCATGCATGAGAGGGTGAGGAGGTCTTCAGAATGGAGTCTGCCATGGCTGGCCAGAAGCAGACCTGCTGTGACGGATCTCAAAATGGCCCCACGCGCCCTCCCTCCCACTTGTGGAACCCTCATCTGTCAACTCTGACTCCAGACCCAGGCAGGGAAGTGCCCTGGCGATGGGGTGCCAGCAACTGTAGTTCCAGCAGAAGCCCAGAAAGCACATGGAGGCTCGGCTTCCCAGGCTGTTTTCTGCCTTCCTCAGCACCAGGCTCCAGGCACCTGCCAGAGGATGAAGCAGGTCCTCTAAGGTGTGTCAGACAACCTGCTGTAGTCCCACTGACGGCCATACAACCTCCAGCCAAGATCAAAAGAACCACTTAGCCAACCCAGGGATTCACGAACTAAATAAACGTTAATTGTTTTCAGCCGCTGAGTGTGGGGGCCATTTGTTCCACAGTGGTCCTGCGAGCATAGAGAACCGATGCACTTATCTGAGCTGATACCTGGAACCGCGCGCCCCGATGCCTCTCCCTCTGAGCTGATACCTGGAACCGCGCGCCCCGATGCCTCTCCCTCTGAGCTGATACCTGGAACCGCGCGCCCCGATGCCTCTCCCTCTGAGCCGATACCTGGAACCGCGCGCCCCGATGCCTCTCCCTCTGAGCCGATACCTGGAACCGCGCGCCCCGATGCCTCTCCCTCTGAGCTGATACCTGGAACCGCGCGCCCCGATGCCTCTCCCTCTGAGCCGATACCTGGAACCGCGCGCCCCGATGCCTCTCCCTCTGAGCTGATACCTGGAACCGCGCGCCCCGATGCTTCTCCCTCTGAGCTGATACCTGGAACCGCACGCCCCGATGCCTCTCCCTCTGGGGCCAGGCTGATGATCAAGGCCACGGGAAATGTGATGAGAGATGCCTGACTCTTGGGACCCTGTGGAGTTGCCTGCCCTGCCTGGCACGAACCGTTCCCGGCAAAAGCTCTCAAGTAGTCTGCACTTATTGGAGGAAGAGAGAGGAACCTCCCTGCTAAGCCCTTCTGTTATAGATTCAGCTTGTGGAGCTGAGAGACTGGCTTCTTCCCTGCTTTGCGGCTTGAGTAAAAGCATTTGAGTGTTTCTGGGGAAAGAGCTGCCGGAGGAGTGGAGCTACTTCCCTGTAGGAAACACGCATGGCACTTCCTGGGGGCGAACCACACTTCCAGGGAAGAATGAATCCTGGTCCCGAATGGGGGGAAGGCAGCCACAATTTTTCTTTCGGAAGTAGACTGTCTGCTCTCACCGTAAATGCAGCTATGTGACTTGACATGGCTTTTGCAGCCTGATGTTAAAATAATCAATACTAAGAAGACAAAATGATGCATTTGGACAGTGATGAGCCAAAAAAAAGAGCAAGATTGGTGGAATTAAATTAAACAAAAACCTGAAACAGAAACAGACATCCCATTATTTGAGCTACAGAAAAACCATTTCTGTATATTTTTTATAAAGATTTTATCCAGTTATTTCAGGATCACAATTATTCTTAAAAATGAGACAAGCTGACAATTTAAAAAAGCTTTCTTTTAACTATTCAGTGCCAAGGGAAAATATAAAAATGACTCTATCTTAATGAGTAAAATTTACATACACTGTTGACCTCACGTGCAACCTTGCATCATTTCATGTCATCTGATGTGCATTTTCCTTTCCCACAGCTGACATTCAAAACTACTTCTCAGAGTCCAGAAAAATATCACATAATCCTTACTTTTCCATAATCTAAAGAAAGGAAAAATAAAGAGCAAACATACATTTCTCATTGATAAAAGTCAACAAGTGAAAATTCCCATAGAATCATGATCACAGAGCACATGCGTTCCTTCAGGTAGTGCAGGGGGAGAAGAGGGTGAGCCCCCATTAAACCTGCAAAGAAGCTTTGGGGGTCAGCATTCTCCTGGAGGGTATGCACCCCTTTCTTCCTAACAGTGTGTTGAGCACCCAGGCTGACACTGGTCTGCCTCAAAGGCCTGGTGTCTGCGCGGCCAGGCAGCCCAGCAGCGAGGCAGCCTGGGGAGCGGTGGTTTGCAGGCATGAGGGATTTCACGTCTGTGTGCCAATCGTCTTCCCTCTGACTGTACCTGCTGTGGCCTTGCCTGTGAGTGCCCATGGAGTCCTGGCACCCAGGCTATCCGTTTTGGCTGCATTTGACAAGCAGCCAGTGTCAGCTTTCCAACAACACACTTTGCTCAGAGACGCTTTTTCTTTTTTTACCCAGATCTCTGCCTCAGTCCCTGCTGAAGGTTGTTCTCTCCATTTTGCCTCAAATTTATCACACAGGAAGGTTGATCAGCTCCTCCTTGGATGAAGAACCAGGCATCTCTGTTTGTGCCCTTACTGCAAGCCTGTGGGCGCTGAGCAGGGGCACAAATGCACACATTCATTCATTCATCCAGGAAGCGCTGACTGAGGGCCCACTGACGCAGAACAAAGGAGAATTCTTGTCCTCAAAAAATCATCTGAAATCATGTGCAGTGTATAATAGAGACACACAGTGAGCTACGGGAGTATAGTAAGGTGTGGGGTTAGAGATGCCACAGAGGGAATAAATGCTTTTCAGAGGAGAAGGTGTTTGATTTAGCCCTTGAAGTATGTGTCTGCAAGGAAAAAATGGTGTGGTAGGTTTCTCAGGCAGGGTTTGCATGAGGAAAAAGTGCTTGTACCATGCAATAGTGAGCAAGGAACATCATCCCCTAATTCACAGGAGAAGACCTACGGACACCCAGCTAATCAACAGCTTTGAAAACATGATGCAACCTCAAGAAGAATCCAATATATGTAAATTAAAACTACAAAAAAACATTGCTTATGGCCAAGCAGGTTAGAAGCATTTTAAAATAATACTCCATGATGGCATAATGAGATAAACTGGCTGCACTCACACACTACCGACTCAGCCATATGGATCAGGAATTTTAAAAGGGTCCATACCATTCAGCCTTATATCATCTGAAGACCAAGATTCATACTCCAAGACTGTCACACAGGACTGGGCATATTAGCAAAGCTGGGATGCCCCATGTGCTCAACACAGGAATAGAGAATACTCATGCATGAATGATTATCTGACTGTGAAAAATCAGGCTCATGAGAAATGTTGGATGACATGAAAAATCGTGATGGTATACACAGAAAGTTCTGTTACCAAAATGCATGACTCATGGTATCGCGGCTACATGAAAGTTGTGTTTCAGGTTGCATGCCTTTAGATGTAAGTAGCAAAGTGCGACTCAGGGTGTCTTACGCCATAGGGGTTTATGATCATCCTGAACAAGACATTTGGACATCAGTGGCCCTAAAATTAGCCCAGAGCACTTTTGAGCACTCCTGTGCTTCCTCTCTGCCATTCCTGTTGCTTGGCCCATTCTCGGGTGTGGTCTCTTTTGCTCACGAGATGAATTCAGTATCCTGGACTCACATAGCCATGTCAAGATTTTACCCAGAAAACAATCATTCTTCCTTCTCTCTTTTCTCCACATAGATACAAACATGACAACTCTTTAAACAGCTCCCCAGGAGATGGTCTCCTCCAGCTCAAATTTCTGTGGCCGTGGTGCAATATATCCACACCAAAGCCAACCCATGGTGATGGGAAGAGACAGGACGAGGCCAATGTTGACTTTCTGATAGTGTAGAGGGGCCCCTGTTTCCAAAATGCACTGTCCCCAGTGACCTTGGACTGCCATAACAAAACACCACAGACTGGGCAGCTTAAACAACAGACATTTATTGTCTCAAAGTCCTGGAGGCTGGAAGTCCAAGGTCAAGATGTTGGCAAGGCTGGTTTCTCCTGAGCCCTCTTCTCAGCTTGCAGGTACTGTTTCCTCCCTGTATCCTAATCTCTTCTTGTAAGGAAACACGTCAAATTGGATTAGGGCCACACCCTTTTGACCTCATACAGTCATGCTGGGGGTCAGAGTTTTAACCTATATATTTTAGGGGAACACAATCTGGGCCAAATGAAAGGTCAATAATTTTGCTAGCAAGAACCATGAGTAGAGAAAAATGCCATTGCATAGACCACAAACCCTCAGCCACACATCCTTGGAGTAAAAATATATATGCCCTCCAAAACTGTAACAGTCATCCTCTCTGGAATATGGCGGCATTAGGGTTGAATTTCATCTTCTTCTTCATGTAGCTGGAATTTGCAGAGCAGAAGGAAGGAAGTGGAGCATAGAAAGACCTCCAGACATTTTCATATTTGCTATTAGGTATTCTCCTGAATATGAAGCTGCACACGCACAGTGTGGAACTTTATAAAACCAGTGAAAGAATGACTGCTGTGTAGCTGTAAAATGAACAATTCCCAGAGCTCAAGCAGAGCTGGAAGATATTTGGGGTCTGAGCAGTCGAACAAAGAAGAGTGACCTTGTTTAGCGCCAGGGCATTCACCAAACACCTGGGAAAATACAATGTTCAGGAAAGATACTGTGGAGCTTATAACAAATGGAGCAAAATGTGTTCCAATCACAAAACAGAAAGTGGAAATTGAAGCCTACTGTTGTAAGCTTCTTACATTAAATGCAAAGTTGTATATTAGTAGAAGATTGGTCGTGATATTTTAAATAGGCATGTTTTCTATAAAAATATTACCAAATAATGCTTATTCACATAATGCAAGTGGTTTACATTAAAAATCAGTTTGATTCACCATATTAAAACAATAAGAACAAAAAGTGGCCTCAATGAATGTGGAAAATGCATTTGATGGAATCCAACATCCATTCTTGATGAAAACTATCAGCAAACTGTGAAAAGATGGAACCTCCTCAAGCAGTGGAAGAAAACTATTAATACTGACCTTGCATATTTTGACCTTACTAAATTCACTCATAAATTCTCTACTGTTGTTCTTTTAAGAAAATTGTTTTCAGCCAGGCATGGTGGCTGAAGCCTGTAATCCCAGCACTTTGGGAGGCTGAGTTGGGTGGATCACCTGAGGTCAGGAGTTCAAGACCAGCCTGGCCAATATGGTGAAACCCCGTATCTACTAAAAATACAAAAAATTAGCCAGGCATGGTGGTGTGCACCTGTAATCCCAGCTACTCAGGAGGTTGAGGCAGGAGAATCACTTGAACCTGGGAGGTGGAGGTTGAGATGAGCTGAGATCATGCCATTGCACTCCAGCCTGGGCAACAAGAGTGAAACTCCATCTCAAAAAAAAAAAAAAAAAAAATTGTTTTCATTTTTCTAGGTAGTTTTAATTTTCATGTGATCATACTATCTGATTTTAAGACTTAAGATAGAGCTACCTTAATAAGAAAATGTATAATTTGCATAAGGGTAGACTAGTAGCCCCAGTGAACAGAATACAATGCCAAGGTAATTCATGGACAGCGAACATTCTTTGAGCAGCCTCTTCCAGAGGGGCTGGGAACTCTGGAAATCCACTGCTTCATAAAGGCAATCAGAACACTCTATAGTACTGTCAAAATCAATTTTTTCAGGACCCTGTAAATTAACCACAAGCTTGCAACAATCCTAGGAGCAATTTATCCGTGATAAATGTCTGAATCTTGAAATTAAATCCAAAGCATAAATAACCCATACAACTCAATGAGAAGATAAACAACCTAATAAAAAATGGTCAAAAGACTGGAACGGACACTTCAACAAAGTATGACATTAAAGCATATGCTTTAAATGAGTGCATTTTACCCTATGTAAATTACACCTCAAGTAATTGATTTTAAATTTCGATATTAAAAACCCAGCAAAATATTTGAAGAGGGGTTTGTTGAAGGAACGTGCATGAATGAGCATTAGGCACACAGAAAGCTGCTTAGTATCATTTACAGTCATGAAAGGGCAAGTTAAGGCCCCAGGGAGATAGAACTGCATAACATCATCATGGATGCAATTTTAAAATCACATTTTTGGTGAAGATGAGAAGCAATTGAAACCCTCTTACATTTCCGGAGAGATTAAATGTGGTACAACCACTTTGGAAAACAGTTTGACAACTTATTATAAAGTTAAACATACACTTTTCACAAAACCCAGAAATTCCATTCATATCTTTTCTAAAAAGAAATGAAAACATATAGCCACACAATGAGCTGCACACAAATGATCATAACGGTTTTATTCATAATGGCCAAAAAACTTGAAACAACGAAAAAGTCGATCAGAAGATGAATTGATAGCCAAGTCTTGGTTACATATAGTAGAATAGTACTTAGCAATAAAAAGGAAGGTACCACTGATCCGCCTAAAAACATGTAGCAGCCTCAAAGGCATTAGGCTGAACAAAAGAATAAAGATGCAAAAATGTACATACTGCAACATTGCTTTTACATGGAATTCTGGGGCAGTAAAACTAATCAGATACAGAGCAGGTGAGTGCTTGCCTGGGAACCGGGGTAGGCTAATGGGATAGAGGTCAAAGGGCACTTTCCACCAAAAGACGCATTCAACCAAGTGAAAATGTAACTCAGAGAACTGGAGAAAATATTTGCAGATCCTATATATGATAAGAGGTTAACATCCAGAATATATAAAGAACCCCTACAACTCAACAACAACAAAACAAACAACCTATTTAAAAATGGGCAAAGGACTTGAATAGGCATTTCTCCAAAAGACATATACAAATCACCAGTAAGCACGTGAAAAGATGCTCAACATCACAAAATCATTAGGGCAATGCCAATCAAAACCGTGATAAGGTATCGCTTCACATCCATCACAATGGCTATTATAAACAAAAGAAACAGAAACAGAACATGAAAGTTCTCAAGGTTATGCAGAAGCTGGAACCCCTCTGCACTGTCAGTGGAAATGTAAAATGGGGTAGCTGCTATAGGAAAGAGTTCCTCAAGAAATGAAAAATAGAATTGCCATATGATTCAGCCATTTCACTTCTGGGCATGCACTCAGAAGAATTGAAAGCAGGATCTCAGGAAATATTTGTACACTCATGTTCGTAAGAGCATTATTCACAACAGTCACAGGGCAGAAGCAACCCAAATGTCTGCTGACAGATGAATGGGTAAGAAAAATATGTGGTCTACTCTACAATGGAACATTATTCAGCCTTAAAAGGAAGGAGATTCTGACACAAGCTACAACACGGATGAAACTTGATGTGAAATGTCAGTCACGAAATGACCAAGGCTGTATGATTCCACTTATGTGAGCTACATGGAGGAGTCAAATTCACAGACGGAAAGTAGAATCCTAGGTGCTGGGGGCTGGGGAAGGAGGGTGGGGAGTCAGCGTTTACTGAGTACAGACTGCAGTGTGCAAGATGAAAGGAATTCTAGAGATGGGAGGTGGGGATGGCTGCACAATAAAATGTGAATATGCTTAATGCCACTGAACCATACACTCAAAAATAAGACAGTAAATGTTATGTTTTGCGTATTTCGCCAAAACTATTTGTAAAAAGTTAGGAAAAAGACAAATGGAGGTAAATGGAAGCATTGAACCTAGCATTTCCCCACAGAAAGATGCAGAGAGAAAAAAGAAACAGAGATTGGAAAATTGAGGAAAAATGAGAAAAATGAGGGGGTGAGGTTACTTGCCATGAAGTGCTCAAACTCATATGCATTTTGCCAAAGTGGAATTGGTCAGCGAGTGGACAGAAGCAACTGTAAAAGTGATTTGGAAAACAGGTACACGTAATTTTTTTCAGTGTCTTTTGCATCCCACCATCCACCTCCATAAAATATTCTAAATAACTTCTAGCGATCTGAGTACCAACTGTCCTTTAATGCTGAGGCTTTGCATGGCAACCCCTACTCGGCAATTTGTGAGAAATGATGAAATAGTGTGTGGGTTGATGGTAATTAATGCCTCAGGAAAAGTCTGTCCTTGGCACGAAATAGGATTCCCTCCTCATCAGCAGAGGAAGTGTAGGTTTATTCAGTGCTGGTGGTGCAGCTTGGTGGGTGGGCTTCAGAAGCTTTGAACCTTCCCACCTAACACCTAGAGCAGCCCTGGGGATAGTTTTTGGTTTTGAAGTTGCCTCTGTCTGGGTACGCTGCATTATGGTTGCAACAAAGCTGACTTATATGTGTTAGGAAGGATTTTGTATGTAGACTGATAGATTAAAAGAGGGACAGTGTCATTCTATTTAATTGTTGGAGGTATTTTTAAAGATACTTTGCATCTTTCTAATTTGCTTCGTTATGTTTATTAAAATAGAATATAGAATATAGATGAGTACTTATTTAACAAGATGATTGCATCACTAGCCATGTGTTACATGTGTTATGTTGACAGCATACCACTGCTTCATTTATTTATGTGTCCATTTAATTATTCATTTACTCACTCATCCATGCATTAATGTATCATGTGTTGATGAAATGCCTACTATATTCTAGTCCTAGGCTGGGTCCTACAGGAATTGAAAATCTTCCAGTTTAGGGAGGAATGATATTTCACAGTAACTTCTATTAGTGCTATATGAACACAGAGAACACAGTGACCAGTCCTGCCTGGATATCCCAGGTCCACAGGAAACCACTTCTGGGCTGGGCCTTCGAGAAAGAGGAGGGTTTGTCTGAATGGAGAAGACATGTGGGTGGGAGTAACACATTCCAGGTAAAGAGGACAGCAAGACCAAGACAAAACCCAACATTCTGCAGTTTGAGAAGCAGTCAAAGCCTGGTAACCTGGACAGAGAAATTCCCTTTGGGATACCCCTGTGACCCACTTGGGAAGCAGGAGGCTTTGCTCAGGCTCTGCCCCATTTCTCCCTGCAATGGACAAAGCTGTCCTCCTCCTTCCCACTTGACTTCCTCCAGTCTTCTCACTTCTCTGCCCCTGAGGTTGGATCCTCCTTCTGTAATGACATGCGTCCTCTGTTTGCCATTTAATACACCAGTGGTTTCTTGGAGGGGAACTCTTGTCCTGTGGAAGCAGACTGTGTGAGTCAGCGTGGGCTGCTACTTATAAGAATAGACACGTGCTCCATACAGGTCTGGAGGTTGAACGTTCAAGATGAAGATGCAAGCAGGCCGGTTCCTGGTGAGGGCTGCCTCCTCACATGCCCTCCTCTGGTGGAGAGGGCTCACTTCTCTCTTCCCGTATGTATAGGACACTAATCTCATCATGGGGGCTGCACTCTCAGGAACTCATATAACCTTTCTCACTCCCACAGCCCCCATCTCCAAATACCGTCGCATTGGGGGTTAGGGCTTCAACATATGTATTTTGGGGAGTCACAATCAGTGCACAGCCCAGCCTTAGTCTGAGGAGCAGGAGAGGAAGTTCCAGCTCCAGAATCTAACTGGAGCGCAGTGCCAGTTTCAAACCCACATGGCTGCTTTGTGACTTCCGAGACAGGTTTCCATGCTGTGGTGACCACACAGCAAGCTCTCCACCAACATCTGCCTGAGAATCTCCTGATTGTTGTGCATTTGGTGGCACCCTTCCTAAATGCTGCTACCAGGAGATGTGGCTGCGTCCCACAGATGGGAGTCTGGGACATGCCTCACTCACATGAGGGTGATCGGCTTTGAAACAGCCTTTCTTTCACAGCAAAGCTACTGTGGTGGGCTTCCAGCAGCAGATGTGCCACTGGCTTGGGGGCCAGGTGATTGCTGGTGTTTAAAGGTGCTCAGGCTGCCTGCATGATGCCCCCTCCACCTCACCCTCACTTCACTGGCCAGCTTCTGCACAGCCCAGGAAGATGGGGCTGCTTTTGCATCTTTTATTCATAGGTTCTTCATGAAGTGGGCTCCCAGGAGATATCAACAATGGCATGAGTGATGTTATTTTAAAGCATCTTGCCACTTGATAGTAAAAGCGTAAGTATTCTTGTAGTCCAACTCATCAATCTCTAACTTTGGCTTTTTCATGCTTTTGCTAGAGAAGGTCAAGTTTGAGTGAAATAATAGGAATGGCATTGTTGGTGACTGATTGCGGCTTTCCTTGATGTTCTTCTATGAGGGCTATGAATAAGGATTTTCCTTTATGGATGTTGCTCAGTGGATGGCACTTCTGCTGTAGCAGGAATGCAACCTAATGTTCCCTGAGAGCAGGGACATTGTGTGGCATCAACTGAAGCTGCTCTTAGACAATGTGGAAATGTCAGAAGAGCAGAGCTTGGCCCTTCAGAGCATGATGCTTCATCTCCCTGAGAAGAGTCAGTCATCCTGGCAAGATAGATTGGAAAGGATGGACGGCCATGGGGGCAGTGCAGGCCCATGTCATAGTGGAGAAGCATGCCCACCTCTTCATGAAATTGGCGACCCACAGAAGCAGGGATCTGTGTGCTGACAACTTGGTGCTTGGCATATGGACACAGAAAGAGAGCTTTAGTCCAGGGACTGGTGAGAATATCTGAGGGTGTCTTTTTAAGACATGGTTACCAAAGTGGTCCAAGGTGCTCCAGTTCACATAAGTGTCAGGCAGGCATATCAGAGTGTGTGACAACTAGCAGACCCTGTTCTAGACTCTGGATGGTGGTTCTGCTTTGGCCATCTTGATGACAGGTCTTTTGTCATGGTTCCAATGTTCTTTTTGCTATTCTCTTAATCTATAATATTGGCTCTCAATGAGGGCAGGGAGGGTTCCTCGTAGGGAATATTTGTCAATGTTTGGAAAAATTTTTTTGATTATTATGACTTGAGGCAGGTATATAGTTGGTAGAGGCTAGAGTGGCCAAGATGGCCTTCACCACTAGGTGAATTATCCACCAAAAACATCAATACTGTTGAGGTTTGTAAAACCTACTGTATGCTATTTACATGCTCACAGCACCACAGCTGTCAAAATAGCATAAAAGAGAAAAAAGTTAATAAAAAATAAAAAATGATTCTAGGGCTATTTCATTAGAAACTTTAATCACACCACAAAACAAGTCCATCTCAGCTGTTATGTGGAGAAAAACTGAGTAAACACGTGGTAGCAGTGAATGCAGAAATAATGACACTAAAATTAAAAAATGATTTTCCAGATTTGAATCATGTTAGGTATCACTCTAAGAACTCTAGACAAATTATACCATTTACATTTTACAACAACCCGGTGAAAAAAGTTTAATTAGCCATTTAATAGATGAAAAAACTAAGGATGAAAGAAATTTTAAAATCTTAATAGCAAATATTGACGTGGGGCTTATAGCAACCCAGAAGCTGCTCTGAGGATTTTACACTGCCTAATACAAAACAATCCTTCCAGGTAAATTCTATTATTATCCCGACTCTGTAGATGAGGAGGTATGCCCATAGTTATGCAGTTAATCATTGGAAAGGCCAAGATTTGAACACTGGAAATTTTATATCAGCATCTGTACTTTCTATCACTCTTCTAAACTTAGCCAACTTACGAAGGATGGGGCCAGATCTCCTTTAACTCATGTGTCCCTAGAATGCCCTCAAATATTACTCTGCATTGAAAGATTTAGGGATGTCCCTTCTCACCTCATGAATAGCCAGTGCCTGGCCAGGAGGACAGTGTGCTCTGAGTACTCCCATGAGCCCCACAGGCAGCCGGGCATGACCTTGGGGTAAAAGCCAGCCATAGCCTGGGTGCATTTTGCCCATGGTGATGAGAATTATTCTCTGAATAATAGAAAATTGACGAAGAAATGAAAAGAGCCTCAGAGACCAGTGGGACTGTGACATAGAATTTAACATTCATGTCATTGGAATCTCAGATAGAGAAGACAAAGAACACTGGGTTAAAAAAGTACTCAGAAAAATAGTAGTCAAAAGCTTCTCAAAATTTTTTAAAGAAGACATAAAACAAGAGAGTCAAGAAGCCAAGAAAATCCCAAATATGATGAGCCAAATGATATCTATACCAAGAAACGTCATGGTCAAATTTTTGGACACCAAAAACAGAGAAAAAGTCTTAAGAGCAGCTAGAGGAAAACCAACCAATCACCACTGGGAAAACTCAATTCAAAATAGAGAAGACATATGATTTAAAAAAAAAAAAACTTGGAAGTCAGAAAGAAGTTGCATAGCATTTTTCAAGAGCTAAAAACAAAGAACTGTCAACCCAACATTCTATGCTCAGTGAAAATATCCTTCAAGAATAAAAGAGAAACCAAAACATATGCAGATAAAGGAAAATGAAGATAATTTGTCAGCAGGAGGCTAACCTCATAAGGATAGCTAAAGGAAGTTCTTGAAACAGAAAGGAAATGATGAAATAATAAATCTTGTAAAATCAGGAAGGAAGAATATGATAAGCCAATGTATGGGTACTATAATAGACTTTCTCCCCTTGAGTTTTCTAAATTATGTTTGTCAGTTGAAACAAAAATTATAACATTATCTGATGTGGCTCTGCATGCATGTAGATGGAATATTTAAGACAATTATAATTTAAAAGGAGAAAATGAAGAGATGTAAGAGAGATAAGATTTCTATGCTTTACCTGAAGTGGTAAAATAAAAATATCGGTAGATTTTGATGTTATGTATATAAAATGTAATCCCTAGAGCAGCCAGTTTAAAAGCTAAACACATATATTGAGTCAATATCACTGTAATTAAATCAAAATGGGATTCTAAAAGAAATAGTTGAGTAACTCAAATTAAGGCAGGAAAAAGGAAACAAAGAAAGCTAAAACAGAGAGAACAAATAGAAAACAAGAAGCAAAGTGGCAGACAAGCCTTAACATATAAACAATTATATTACATGTAAATTATCTAAATATACTAATTCTGAGACAGAGATTGGCAGAGTGGATTAAAAAACATGACCCAACTATATGCTGTCTGTAAGAAACTCACTTCAAACCTATTAGAGTCAGATTGAAAGTAAAAAGATAGATAATCTTTGCACATTATGCAGAGATTATCAATGGAAAGCAGGAGTAGATTTAGTAAAATCAAATAAAATAGGCTTAAAAATAAGAAAAATTCCAGAGCCAGAGAAGGATGTTATATAATGATAATAGGGTCAATTCACCAAGATAATATGGCTATTATTCTAAATGTGTATGTATCAAATAAGAAAATTGCAAAACATGTAAAGCAAAATCTGATAGAACTGAAAAGAGAAATAGACAAATCACAATTTGTCTTTAACAACTTCTCCCAACAACAGACAAGAAAATTAAATAAACTTCTCACCAATTGGTAAAGCAAACAAAAAGCAGCAGATATATGAGAACTTAACACCACCTGACCCAAACCAATTAGACTCAACACCACTGCATAACCCAATTAAACCAATAGGTTTAATAGACATTTATAGTATATTTCATCCAACAACAGCAGAACTGACATTTTTTTTCAAGTATCCACATAACATATACCAAAATAAACCATATCCTAGCCCTCAAAAATCTCAGTATATTAAAAGAATTGATGCCATGCATGTGTGTGTTCTTCTACCACAATGTAGGTGTGTTCTTCTACCACAATGAATTCAAACTAGAGATAATAATAGGGAAATCAACAGACTCTTAGAAACAAAACAGCACATGTCCAAATAATCCATGGGTCAAAGAGAAAATCTGAAAAGAAATTTTTAAAAATACATTGAATTTAATGAGAATTAAAATACAACATATTAAACTTTGTGAGACACAGCTAAAGCAGTGATGAGAATAAAATTTGCAGCACTAAGTACACAAATTAGAAAAGCAGAAAACTGTTAAATCAATAACATGAGCTCACATCTGAAGAGCCTAGAAAATGAAGAGTAAACCAAATCCAGGAAGAGGAAGGCAATGACAAAGATAAAAGCAGAAATCCATAGACTTGCAAACAGAAAATGACAGAGAAATAAATGAAACATAGAGGTTTGAAAAGCTCTATAAAATTAATAAACCACTAGCAAGACAGACAAAGGAGAAAGAGAGAAGATGTAAATTACCAATGTCAGGAATAAAACATGGAATATCACTACAGACCCTGAAGACATCAAAAGGATAATAAAGTCATACTAAGAACAACAATACATGCATAAATTTGACAACTTACATCAACTGGACCACATTATTAAAAAACACCAACTACCACAATTCACCCAGTATGAAACAACTAATTTGAATAGCCCTATAATCATTAAAAAAATAGAATTTATAACTTTAAAAACATCCCCAAAATGAATCTCCATTGCCTAAGTGGTTTTGCTAGAGCATTCTATCAAATCCACTAGAGAATTCTATCAAAACTTTAAAGAAGAATGAATACTGATTATACACAATACCTTCCAAGGAATAGGAGAAAACTCTTCTTAATTAATTTCATGAAGCTGTATAACCATTATACCAAATCTCTCTCTCTCTCTCTCTCTCTCTCTCTCACACACACACATGCCCCAAACAAAACTTCCCAGAACTGAGTGTGAATTCAAGATTGCAAGATACATGAAAATATATGAAAATAAATTTTATTTCTATATACTAGCAATGAACACATGGTTATCAAAATTAAAATACAATACCATTTACAATTGCTTAAAAAATAAAATATGTGACTTGGTACAGTGGCTCACGCCTGTAATCCCAGCACTTTGGGAGACCAGACGGGCAGATCACGAGGTCAGGAGATTGACATCATCCTGGCTAACACGGTGAAACGCCATCTCTACTAAAAATACAAAATTTAGCCGGGCATGGCGGCGGACGCCCATAGTCCCAGCTACTTGGGAGGCTGAGGCAGGAGAATGGCGTGAACTCGGAGGCAGAGCTTGCACTGAGCCGAGATTGCACCACTGCACTCCAGCCTGGGCAACAGAGTGAGACTCCATCTCAAAAAAATAAATAAATAAATAAATAAAATAAAATATTTAAGGACAAATTTAACTAAACATGAACAGGACTTGTATGTTGAAAACTATACAATGCTGATGAGAGAAATGAAACAAAGATCTAAATAACCGTGTTCAGTGATTGGGAAACTCAACATAAGGAAGATATCAAGTCTCTCCAAATTGATATACATGTTTAATGTAATTCCTATTGAAATTTCAACAAGATTTTTATAGATACATTTAAGATGAGTCTAAAATTTATGCGGAAGGGATAAGTGAAATAACTAATATAATTTTTTAAAGAGAAGAAAGTGGGAGGAATTATTGTACCTGATTTTAAGATTTATTATAATTATATAGTTATAGTAGTCAGCAGTGTGGTATTGAATCAATGAAACAAAAGAGATCTCCAAACCTGATACACAGAGATTTCCCCAACTGATTTTTTCAACAGCTTTATTGAGATACCCATACAACGTATTAAAATTTGTGAGACACAGCTAAAGCAGTGATAAAAAAGCACCATACAACTCATTTAAAATGTATAATCCCTAAGTTTTTAATATATTGACAGAAATGTGCGACCATCACTACAATCAATTTCAGATGATTTTCATCATCTCAAAAAGAAGTCCCTAACCATTTAGCTGTCAATTCCCATTACCACATCCCTGCCACCCCTAAGCAAACATTAGGGATTTGCCCCGACATTTTATATAAATGGAATCCCATGTGCTCTGCTGTGATTGGCTTCTTTCACTTAGTGAAAGGTAGAATGTTTCCAAGGTTTATCCATGTTGTAATATGTATCAGTACTTTATTATTTTCAAGGCTAAATAATACTCCAGGTATGGCTATAACACATTTTGCTCATCCATTCATCATTTGATGAACGTTTGGTTGCTCCCGCCATCTTCCACCTACGTTTTCATCTGATGAACACTTGATTATTTCCACCTATCTACCTAATTTTTGACAAAAGCACAAAACCTATTCGATGTGGGAAAGAGCATTTTCAACAGATGCGCTGGAGCAACTGGACATTGGTAGGCAAAAGAAACAAAACTGGACCTTGACCTACGTCTCACATTTTACACAAAAATTAATTCAAAATGAATCATGGATTTCATGTACAATGTTAGGGAAAAAAATATGAGTAAACTGTTGGGTATATGGCTAGGAAAGGAGTTCCTAAACTGGACACAAAAAGTATGAGTCAAAAAAGGAAAAAGAATAAAATGGACTGCATTAAAATGAAAATATTTTTCTCTGTGAAAGTCTCCAGAGGATGAAAAAGCAAGCTTCAGATTCAGAAAATATTCATAAATCATATCTTGCAAAGGACTATTATCTAAAATACATAGAGGACACTCCAGACTCAAAAGTTAGTCAAATAATCTTCTCAGAAAATGAACGGAGGTATAAAGAGACATTTCACCAAAGAGGATACAAAGATGGTGGAGAGGCAACAGGAAAAGATGTACAACATTATCACAAATTGGGGAAAGGCAAATGGAACCCGCAATGAGGTAGTACTGCATATCCATCAGAATGGCTTAAAACAGTCACAACACTCAACGCACCTGAGGTTGAGGAGAAACGCTCTCTCATACATCACTGGTGGGAACGCAAAATGGTACAGCCGCTCTAGAAAGCAATCTGTCAGTTTCTCACAAAACTGAACATTCTCTATAATTTAATAGGAGAAAATGAAGAGATGTAAGAGAGATAAGATTTCTATGCTTTACCTGAACTGGTAGAATAAAAATATCGGTAGATTTTGATGTTATGTATATAAAATGTAATCCCTAGAGCAGCCAATTTAAAAGCTAAACACGTATATTGAGTCAATATCACTGTAATTAAATCAAAATGGGATTCTAAAAAAAAATAGTTGAGTAACCCAAATTAAGGCAGGAAAAAGGAAACAGAGAAAGCTAAAACAGAGAGAACAAATAGAAAACAAGAAGCAAAGTGGCAGACAAGCCTTAACAAGAAGTTGCTCTTCTAGACATTTTCCCCAGGGAAAAGAAAATCTAATGTTCATATAAAAATGTGTAGAAATGTTTATGGACACATTACTCATCATAGCCAAAAACTCAAAACAATCCAGATGTCTTTCAAAAGATAAAGGTTTAAACCGTGGTGTATCCTTACCGTGGAATTCTTAGTAATAAAAAAAGAAGAAAGCCCTGATGTATGAAACCACCTGGATTAAACTCCAGAGAATGACACTGAGTGTAAAACTGAAAAGGTTACATTCTGCATTATTCCATTTATATAGCATTCTTGAAATCATCAAAGTATAGAAATGAAGACCAGATTAGTATTCGCTGGGGTTAAGGAGGGCATGGGGGCTGGACTGAAGTGGACATTTCAGCCCAACATTAGGAATTTGTGGGGATGGAAACCTTCATTCTCTTGACTATATTAATGCCAATATCCTGGTGGTGATATCATCCTACAGTTTTGCACTGGGGAAACTGGATGAGGATACACTAGATCTTTCTGTATTATTTCTTACAATTGTTTGTGAATCCACAATAATTTCAAATGAAAGCTTTAATGTTTAAAAGCATAAGACACTTGTTTAATGCTTTTAAGTGTTAACAGATAATGTATCCCCTGTTAAATATCTATGTTTGTTTGTGTGAGATAAAGTTTGCATAGAGTGAAAGACAGAGATTGGAAGTGGAAACTGGTGAGTTTTGATAAATGTATGCATCTGTAACCCCCATCCCATCAAGACACAGAGAACTCCCATCACCCCCTGAAAAGTCAATCCCCCTCCCCATAGCAACCTCTGGTCTAATTTCTAGAAATACAGATGACTTTTGCCTATTTTTGGATTTAATAAAACTGGAATAATTCCCTATGTATTCTTTCAGGCTGGCTTCTCTCACTCAACATAATGTTATACTGATCTGTGTTTCTTTAGACTATTTTATTGCTGAGTAGTATTCCACTGTTTGAACATAAGACAATTCATTTCTGCATTTTCCTGTTGACAGATATTTGGGGTGTGTTATGGACTGAATTATGTCTCCCCCCAAAATTTGTACACTGCAGTCTCAACCACAAGTACTGCAGAATTTAATGTAATTGGAGATAAGGTCTGTACATGGTGATGAAGTTCAAATGAGGTTGTTGATAAGGTGGGCCCTAGTCTAACATGACAGGTGTCTCAGGTAGAAGAGATTAGCACATAGGAATGCAGAGGGGATTCTGTGTGAAGATAAAGGGAGAAGATGGACACCTGGAAGCCAAGGAGAGAGGACTCAGGAGAAACCAAGCCTGCTGGCACCTTGACCTTGGACTTCCAGCCTCAGAACTTAGAAAATAAATTCCTGTTGTTGAAGCCACCCAGTTTGTTGTACTTTATTATGACAGTTCTGGCAAACTATTATGGGCTGTTACTATTTGGGGTCTATTAAGACTAAATACGCTAAAACATTTTGTACAAGTTTTATTGCAGACGTATGTTTTAATGCATCTGAGCTAAGTACCTCAGAGCGGAAGAGCTCATCACAGGACAGGTGCAAGTTTAGCACTTTAACGTTACAAGAAACTGCCAAACAGATTTCCAAAATATTGGGACAATGCAACTCTCTCCTCTGCAATGTATAGGAGCTCTGGTTACTCCACAAGCCTCACTGGAATTGATACCATCAGTCCTTTGTTTTGTTTTGTTTTGTTTTAACACTTTAGCCATCCTTGTCGGTGTGAAATGACATTTTTCAGGGGTTTTTAATTTGCAATTTTCCTGGTGACTAATAATGTTTGGCACCTTTTAATATACTTACTAGCCATTTGAAGACCTTATTTTGTGAAACAGCTAGTCGAGTCTTTTCTTATTGGGTTGTTAGTGCTTTTGTTATTGGAGTCCTTTCTATATGCCAGGCCCTTTGTCAGACGTCTGAATTACGAGCTTTTTTTCCTCTTGGGTTGTGCATTGCTTTTTTTGTTTTCATAGCAGCGTCTTGCAAAGGGAGAAGCTCCACATTTTGTTGAAAGCTAATGTATCCGTTGTTCTTTTTACAGTTCAGGCTTTCCCTGTGTTGTGATATTTTTATCTGCTCCAAGGTTGGGAAGATTTTCAAGCATGCTTTCTTCTAGAGACTTATACATTTTAGTTTTTAATTTTAGTTCTAGGATACATTTTGCTTTACAGTCTGTATGTGGTATGAAGTAGGGGTTCAATCTTGTTGTTTCTTGTACTCTCATATTTTTATTCTAATCCCATTTGTTGAAAAGATCTTAAAATGTGTAATTTATTAACTCTTTGTACCCTTTGCCCTTGCATAATGTGTTTGAGAATCAGTATATCAAGTTCTATAAAAAAAATCTTTCGATTGCTTTGATTGCATTAAAGTTATATATAAATTTGGGACAAATTGGCAGCTTTAAAATATTGAGTCTTTCTATCCATAAAATGCCTATTTCCCCACTTTTTAGTTTGTTTTTAAACATTTCAATAAACTTATAAAACTTTATCTTAAATAAATTGCACATTCTTGGTTAGATTACACTTTGGGGTCTCCGTTATCATTTTCGTTACCATTGTATATTATATATTTTTACATTGTATGTTCCCTTTATTGCATGTATTACAAAAATGCAAATAACATATTATATACTGATTTTTTAACTTGCCAAACTGTTTTATTCATTATTTATTCTAGAAATACTAACATGCATATTTAATTTGACAGTTAAAATTTAATAAGTCTGTTTACCTCTCTCCAAATTTATGTGCTGTTTTCGTCCAGCACTTTAGTCTTAATTTTTAACCCCGCAGAGTGTTCCTTCATTACTGTTCGCTCATAGATCAAGGCAGATTCATATTTTGCCATATTTAGTGCTTTCTTTGCTCACTATTCTTGCAGGCATCTGACTTTTCTCTTGGGATGACTTTTTTTCTTTCTCTAGAACTGCATTATAACGTTAGTTAGTGAGAGTCTGTTGGAGTAAATCTCTGTTTTTTTTTTTTAACTTTTCACCTCTTTATTTTGCCTTTGCCTTTATATTCTACAGATGTTGGGTACTGTGTTGAACATTTATTTAAAAAGGTAAACTTAGTTACCCTCTTGTGTGTATCTTCTGTGTACTTGCAGATTTATGTATTCATCTGGCTATACTATCAGTTATTAAGACAGCTATATTAAAATCTACCATTATGATGATTAATTTGTCTACTTTTAAAAAATTCTGCTCATATTTATTTCATATATTTTAAGGTTCTATTATTAGGTACATGCACGATTAGAACACTTATATCTTCCTGTTATTTTATCATGTGCTGCCCTCTTTAATCTCAAATAATGTTTTTTTCACTAAAGTATACTTGGTTTGTTGTTAATACACATATAGCAGCTTTCTTTTCCTAGTGTTGTGTGTAGAGCTGCCCCCAGTGTTAGTGAGATCCTATGCAAATCTTTTACGTGGGGCCCCTGTCTAGAGAAATAATTTGATTTTAAAATGTGTCAGAAGATCCGGGGGTCCACCTGGGGTGCCATCATTTATCCCTGAAGACCAAGAATGAGGAGGAGAGCAGAGGGACACACCCACTGGGTGATTCTCTGAGCAGTGCATGGGGATCCTTCCACACTCACTGGGTGAGTCTCTGAGCAGCTCATGGGGATCCTTCCACACTCACTGGGTGAGTCTCTGAGCAGTGTCCTGGGAATCCTTCCACACTCACTGGGTGAGTCTCTGAGCAGTGTCCTGGGGATCCTTCCACACTCACTGGGTGATTCTCTGAGCAGCACGTGGGGATCCTTCCAACTCACTGGGTGATTCTCTGAGCAGCACGTGGGGATCTTTCCACACTCACTGGGTGAGTCTCTGAGCAGTGTCTTGGGGATCCTTCCACACTCACTGGGTGAGTCTCTGAGCAGCACGTGGGGATCTTTCCACACTCACTGGGTGATTCTCTGAGCCGTGCGTGGGGATCTTTCCACACTCACTGGGTGATTCTCTGAGCGGTGTCCTGGGGATCCTTCCACACTCACTGGGTGAGTCTCTGAGCAGTGTCCTGGGGATCCTTCCACACTCACTGGGTGAGTCTCTGCGCGTGGGGATTCTTCCCAGTGTCCAGACACCATTTCCTCCTGTTCAGGTCCAGAAATCCCTCTTCATGTTCTTTATCATCAAGTGCACCATTCCTGGCTGATTTCATATCTCCCAACATGACAAAAAGGTGACCACCCTGTTGAGACTCACAGTGGCAGGGCCCTTGGGATCCTGTTCGCATGAGACCTTGTGGGTCTCCTGGCCTCTGCAGCGCTGATGCTGTTGGCGTGGCGCCCGCTACCTCTTCACTCCAGGAGCCTCGTCCTCAGCACTGACTTCCTCAGAGCCTTCCAAAGACTGTGTGCCTGCTTCCTTGATGAAAGCCACGAACCACGTCTCCAGAGAATGCAGGAAATGAAACGGGCTGGGCTGCGGATGAACCACGTCTCCAGAGAATGCAGGAAACGGGCTGGGCTGGGGATTCTCCACACTTGCGGAACCTGGGGGCTTGGGGTTTGCATCAATTCTGGAAAACGTTTGGTCATTCTCTCTCTGTGTTGGGCATGCCTCTTCTCTCTCAGCTCTTCTGTGGCTCTCTAGACATTTCCCAGCTCTTCTTACCTCAGCCTCCGTGTTCTTCATCTTCACTTTCACGTTGCCCAAACGCTTTCCCTCTGTGGGATGTTTTTTGAATAATTCCTTCAAATCTCTCTTTTAGTCCATTTATCACCTCTTCAATTGTGTCTAATCTACTTTTTAATCCACACATTGTGTTCCAAACCTCAACACTGCGTCTTTCGTTTCTAAAAGGTTTATTATATTCATTTACAAACTTACTTGGTTATTTTTAGAAATTCTCATCCTTCCATCCTAACTTTAACATAGTTTAAAATATTTTAATACACCCTTCAAAGAGCACACTAAAACTTTTAAATTATATTTAAACATATCAAACACACACATTGATACCCTGTGTCCCATAATCCTAATACCATTTGTCTTCTGGAGTCTGATCCTTCTGTTTTGATTTTTTCCTGTAAGCCTCAGTCATGGTGGCCTCTTTCCTCCTGGGCTTCTGCTTTCGAATATGAATGTGTCCCTTTGATCTGTTTCTATGGAGTCTCTTCAGGGACTGGATTTGAAATGCGTCCCTGCAGAGGTTTTCCATTCCTCATTGTCAGCTGCCTGGAGCCACTTCCCACCAGGGACCACTTCAAACCACTTTTTTTTTTTTTCACACAGGTAGTGTGAACACTGACTCCAGAATCACATGTGGATGGTCTGTGGCTCTTCATTTTGCAAGGAGGCTTCTCCCTCCACCCAGTGCTGGGCATGTTTCCTGTCTTCCTTTGTAGAGCATTTTCTCCTGGCCCACAACGAGGACCCTGCTTTTCTGGGATGCTGGGGGGGTCTCCCGGGCAGCCTCCTGCCCTGGCAAGGGCTTGGTCACCAGGTGCTGGCACCTGCACGGATGGGGTGGGTTAACGTGAGAGTCTCCCGGGCAGCCTCCAGGTCTGGACACGGGTTCCCCAAGACAAGGGCTCCGTCACCAGGCGCTGGCACCTGCACGGATGGGGTGGGTTAACGTGGGAGTCTCCCGGGCAGCCTCCAGGTCTGGACACGGGTTCCCCGAGACAAGGGCTCCGTCACCAGGCGCTGGCACCTGCACGGATGGGGTGGGTTAACGTGGGAGTCTCCCGGGCAGCCTCCAGGTCTGGACACAGGTTCCCCGAGATGAGGGCTCGGTCACCAGGAGCTGGCACCTGTGCTGGTTGGATGGAGGCTCTGCTTCTCTGCCTCTCTTTACTGTAGGTTTTCTCTCAGGATCTCCTCTTCTTCTTGGCCAATTCAGCCTTGCACTTTTTAAACATTGTAACCATATCATTGAAAAACTGTTTCATACTGGAAAGGTTTTTCAACACATGTACCTGGTAAGATCCTCATTCAGCAAGGGCATATAGAAGTGTCAGTCTGTCATGTCCCAGATTCTGAGGACACAGCCACACCCTGCCACATGCAGCTCACATTTCAGTGATTCTCAGGGTAGGATGGGAGGGGTTTCTGGACAGCCCCGGACCCCTAGCCTGCCCCTGCCTTTCTCTCCTCCCTCCCCAGTGGCAGTCAGGGGAGTGGCTGCCCTGGCACCTGCCTGGGCTCCCCTGCTGGGAGGGGGAAGAGAAGAACGAGGCTCCCCTCCCAGCAGGAGGAAGGGCGAGTGGTGACCCAGCTGGCTCCTGGAACTGTAGAGAAGTAAAACTAGGACAAGGATATGGAAAAATATCTCTGAAAGTGGTATGAGTGGAAGGATAAAAGAAATCCTCTCTCTTTCCTCATTCTGAAAAGCTTAGGGGAGAAGTAGGCACCCGACAGGCAGGGAAGGGGCGGCAGAGCCGTGGGACATCGGACTCTGGAATTCAAACCCGCCAGGAAAATTGATTAATTTGTCTACTTTAAAAAAAATTCTGCTGATATTCATTTCATATATTTTAAGGTTCTATTGTTAGGTACATGAACGATTAGAACGCTTACATCTTCCTGTTATTTTATTATGTGCTGCCCTCTTTAATCTCAAATAATGTTTCTTGCACTAAAGTACACTTGGTTTGTTGGTAATATACATAAACCAGCTTTGTGTAGCTGAGGCAGGAGTTTCAGGCCCCAGTTAACTTCCTTGACTACTGCAGCCCACTTTCCTCCAAGGCTGCCTGGGCCCTGAGATGGCCAGGGTGAGCTACACAAGGCGCCGTGTCTGGTGCCTGGAATGCAGGCAGTGAGCAGGTTATTGCTAAAAATCAGAAAACTCGGTTCTGCTCAGCCCTGCGGGGCTGCTTTCAGGCTGCCCTGAGGGCAGAGGAGCCTCCCAGGAGCAGGCTCTCTCCCTCTCTTCATTCCCTGTGTTTAGTCAGAAGGCTTTGGGGAGAAGGTGCATAACAGGAAGGCTTTCTTTCCCCTCCCGCCTCTTTATTGAGATGCGGTGTGGCTGTCGCTTCCTATGAGTGTTTCGCTTTCCCAAATGCGAGCAGGCCGACTTGCAGAAAGGCGGGTGCTGGGACCTGCTGGGAAGAGGCTGCAGCCCCCACGCTGCACTCCTTGTGGACTCACCCCAGGCGGCTCTGGCTGGCTCTGGCAGGGACAGGACCTTTATATGTGATAGTCCACAAGGGTGCCCTCTCTTTCCAAAACCAGTTTGTCCAGCAGTGACTGGTCCTCGTCTTGCTGATAGAAGGAAGAGCACTGCACTGGGCCCAGGGGCCCAGGATCCTGGCCCCCACCTCAGCTGTCTGAGTGGCCTTGGGTGCCCCAGGCCAGCCCCTCGGAGCAGCAGCAGGGGTTTGTTGAGAAGCCAAGGGTCCTGAAGCTCCTGCAGCTCCCTTGCCTGTGGGTGGGCTTCAATCCGGTGTGCAGCACTCTGGCCCACAAAGCTGAGGCCTGTGGCAGCTGCCAGCCTCAGTCCCAGCCTGGGGCTCGGCTCTGGGATGCATGAGGCTGTGTCTGGTTGGGTGAAAGGAACTGTTCTCTCAGGATAAAAAGCATGGGGTGAAACAGGCTTCACTCTCTTCCCTGCCCTGGACATTTTACATTTTACATTTTTCTTTTCTTTTCTTTCTTTTTTTTTTGGCCTTTTTCTCTGACTGTGCCAAGGAAAAGTGTTCTCTCCTAAGGCCCCAGGGAGGTGGTCAAGGCTGACACACCCTGGACCTGGCCCATGGACTCCCGGCTCATAGGAGAGGCAGATCCTTATGATCTGCTTGAGGGCTTGAAAGTTGGAGCCACTGGGAATCTTCCCTCAATGGTGTAAGGACGTCTTATGGGCTGGCTCTTGTGCAGGGAGGGGTCTGGCTCTTTGCTGGAGTCCTTCCCACCCTGTCTGGTTTCACAGAAGCCACAGAGCAGGTGATTCAGCTTGAGGTGGCCCCGCTGCCCTCCCAGACCCCCGTGAAACCCTATTCTCTCTCAGGCCCCACAGTCTCATGGGCGTATTTCTATTTTACCTCTTAGCTCCTTAGATAATCAAAACTCTTGCCCCATCTAATTCTGAACATGGAAAAAGGTCAGAAGTCAGATGCCCCAGGGACTGGTCCCAAGGCAAGCATATCTCAATGTATTTATTAATGAGCAGGAAGAGTCAAAGGAAAGGTTAAGAGGCAGAATTCCCTGAATGCACAGAATTATTTAAGTTAACTCTTCAGGAAAGAAAAAATAGACTATCTTCTATGAAATTCTATTTTTTCCTTACCCTAAGACTATTTTATCAAGGTGAAACATATTAAGACAATCGACGGTGAAGAGAACATACTTAGTCTCCTCTTTTTTTTGTTGAGACAAAATTGACTAGTGAGAGTAGAGATGTAGAGATTGGGGTTTAAAGGGACTAGGATTGCTGCGTCCAGAGTTGCCACCTCTTGGGAATATGTGCAGCTCCACAGTCACAGACATGATTCCAAAGAGAAGGGAAGAGTGGGAGCCTGTGCAGAGGGCTAGTACGGATATGTCCTCGGTCACCAGGTGTCCCCACCACCTCAGCTACTCTCTGATCCTTTGGCCTCCTTTCCTAGAAAGCCTGGGCTGTGGGAGGCTGCTTGAGTCTGAATCCCAGCCCCCACTAAGGATCAGCCTCGGAGTCCTGGGCAGATTGCCAAATTTCTCTTTGCCTCGGTTTCTCATCCTTTAAACAGGAACAGGAACATACCGTCTTCATGGCACTTTGGGATGGATTTAGTGAAGTGATGTGTGTAATAGCTTAGGATAATATCTGGCTTCTGTGTGCATGTCTAATGACCACGAGCCGCATGGCCCTTCATCTGCGCATATCATGACCAAATGTTAAACCAAGCTCTTGGGGACTCCTGCACACACAGAGGGAGGGCTTCACCCTGGCCTGATGAGGCCTGTCGATAGCTGGGTCTGCTGAAGGAATACCTCTTCCACTCTTATTCTTTGTGCTCTAAGCTCCCATCCGCAGCACACACTGTGGGCCGAATTGGGGCATTGATAATCCTATTGTACAGCCAGGCTGCACCACGGGCACTGCTAGCTTAGATGTCACTGGCAGAATGGGAGGTGTGGGAATATCTTTAGAAGTCTGATCAGCTCAAGCACAGGCTGCAGAAGCTGAGCTACCAGAAATGTGCAGACCACTCTCATTCTTCTGGTGCCTCTAGAGAAATGTGTTTGGGGTTCGGTCGTGAATTCAGACCCTGTGCATTGGAGATTTGCTAATTTGAGCCTGGTGGGAATCTGCCTCTCCACTGTTTGGGGGCTGTAGGGTGATAACAGTCTCCGAGCAGAATGGAATCCATGTGCAGAGGAGGCTGATTGGCTTCCAGAGAGAAGCAGACACTGCAGAGCGCGTTCTGCCAAAGCTTCCACCTGCTCAGAGCAGGCACAGCAGGCTGCTCCTTGGCCACGGGGGGCCTTGTGCTGCTAGTTTTGCCCCCAAACAGTGAAACTATGTTAAAAACACACTCGATCATGGACAGTAACCCCAAGTCGGACAAGGCCACTTTTCTTCTTGAATTATTTCCAAGCAATGGGTTTGTTGTCACCTGCTTCCCAATTGCAGCCCCTCTTAGGTGTCCGGGTGTGACATGCCCACACAGTGATGGAACCTGGAGGCAGGGAGCCGCATCGCCATCTTAGCTCCAGATAAGAAATCAGGCAGGTGCACCTTGCAGCGGGACAGATGGGAGCAGGGCTAACACAGTGGCTTCATCCGCACGGGATCTGCAGGCTCCTGCACCAGAAGCTACTACATGGGAGTAGAGACGTTTGTGTCAAAATGGGAAGTTTGTGTGTTTTCTGACTGGTAAATGCCTGCTTAACACGAATCAGTGTAGCTTTCTAGTTGTTTGCACAAGGTTTGTAGAGAAAATGCAAATGATTTCACGTCACCAAACCCCACAAATCATACCACCATATGTGTGAAGTGAGCAGGAGGCAGAGGAATTGCATGGCTGTCAGAATGCACCGCACCACGCTGCGTCCTTTCTCCTCCTTTTATGTCTTGTAAGTCATCTTCGGATAAGATTAAAGACCCCCGTCCCCTCTTCTAGCAGCCGGATGCTGCCAGGCAGTAGTGGGGTAGTAAAGGGCACAGGAAGCAGTCATGGGTGAGGGGGGCAAGCTCAGGGTGTCCCCCTCAGAGCCAGGAGCTTGTCCTTCAGTCTCTGACCTTCCTGCCCCCTCCCCACAGGCTTTTGCCCTTCCTTCTCCTCTTCCCTCTCCCTTCTACCTCCCTGCCCTCCCAGGTATTCCCAGGTCTAAGAAGCAGAACAAATGAGGGAGTGGGCAAGGGCTGGGCTTTGCTAGGATCCATCCCCAGGCTGCCTTGATGTGACTCTCACAAAGGTGCCCTCTAGGTGGGCACATCCCTATACTGGGCGTGGCTGGGCAAGTGGCCTGGCTGGACCCCGTCCTCCCCTTGGCTAGGAAACCCCTACAGAGCTCACCTGCAAAGCCTCGCTGCACTTCTGTTGGGTGGATGTGGGCATAAGGCAGTTTCCTCTTGGATTCATCCATGGGGTTCAGGCATGAGCTTCCCAGGGATCCCGGCCTGGGTCTTCCCTACAGCACGAGGGTTCTTCTGTGTCCTTCCTTAAGCATTTATTAACTTCTTACAGCGTGCAGTGGAAGAGAAGAAGGAAGAACACATGGTTCTTGCCATCCAGGGACTCTCCACCGAACCAGACAGAGGGGCACATGTGTGGCAGGACCCTGGCACAGTGAGGGCCTTGGGAAGCATCTTATGGAGGATGAAGGATGGGAGGGCAGGCAGTGGGAAGAAAAGCGGCGATTGGAGAGTGGAGGGTGGGAGGTGGGGGATGAGAGAATAGGGGCATGGAGGGTGGAGGGCTTGGTAAAGAGAGGAGCTTTGTTCCCACCAGGGGCTCAATCTGGACCTGAGCATCCTGGGAGCCACAGCCCAGGCCTGGGGTTTTATCACAGTCCATGCAACCTCTGCCCACTGCATGATTTGGGACATTTCTTGTATGTCTCACAGATGATCTATAGATAGGTAGACGGGTAGGTTGATTAACTTTTTTACTTAAAAATAGAATATGTAATTATTTTCACTTCAATTAATATTCTTCTGTAACAATACTTTCATGGCAGAGAGTATTTTATCATATAGATATTTTATTATTTATATCACCAGCCTTTGATTATGAAGTTAATTTTTATACTACAAAATAAATATTCTAACATATTCAAAAATAAATTGTTAACATTAAATGTATCCCTGGATATGCTGGTAACCAGCCTGTTCTCATTTCAAGATCCTTGTCTTAACTATAGCTGCAAAGTCCATTTTTTCAAACACAGTTATAGGGTAGACAGTTTTGTTTGTTTGTTTGTTTGTTTGGAGGAGGAGGACACAGTCAACCCACCATGGTGAGTCTGTGGCCAGCATCCTGGACCACAGAAGGAAGCGGAGGGCCTAGGCGAGTTGCCTCATGAAGGGGGTCAGGCCTCAAGAGGACCTCGATGCTGGGGCAGAGGGGAAGGGGGACATTTTGGGGCTGGCGGCTGCTGGTGCCTGAGCCCTCCACGGGGAAAGTGAGACGTGAGGAAATCCAGAGCGGGGCTGTTCTGTAATCGCATTTCTGAGTGCTGAAGACTGAAGGAAGTTTGGTGCCTCTTTCAGGTATGTTTGTCAGGGGAGGTGGAAGAAATGTGTTCAGAAATGTCACCAGGGTTTGGGCAGCAGCATCATGAGCAGGCAGGGACCCAGGAGCCCTGCGTCCACTGGGTCTGTGTAGGCAGCAGTGCTACCCAGAGCCTGAGGGCCAGACCAGCGAGGGCTGCACCAGGCAGCAGGCAGCGACTGTGCGGGGAGCCTCAGGCTGGCAGAGGGACAGGGCGCTGGGAAGCGGGCTCCATGGAGCTCACTGTCCCTCAGCCAACATGGGCTGCTCCGTGCACACATGGGCTGGGCCCCAGAAAGGCTGGAGAGCTGCTTCAGAGGAAGGGATTCCTGAGGGCCGGGGAACATGCATTTCTAAACATAAAGATGCTTATGAAGATACATAGCCAAAGTGGACCTGAACGCCACACGCGAGGCCAGGGGGCTCCTGGCTCCAGGCCTGTAGCTGCCCTGGAAGGAAAACAGTGAGTGCGTGGAGGCCAGGGAGTCCCAGGACTCGGAGGGTACAAACCAGGTAGGCAGAGGCACAGGCCAAACAGGCGAGGGGCTCTCCGCAGCTGCCTTTTTCCTGCCTGACTCCATGTGGGGGTCCCTGTCTCTCAATTATGAACACAGGTACACATTGTTTAAACAAACAGGCCACAAACTACTCATCTGCCTTGGTGAAGGCTTGGGGGGAGCGATGTGCACTAAGCACCTGCTCTGCACCAGCTTCTGGGTGGCTCTTTTCACACGTGTGGTCCTTCGACAGTTGCAGAAAGTCAGCACAGTGGATGCAAATTCACACGACAGGGTGCCCCGACCTGAACCTCCATCTGTCCTCCATGGGGTATTTGCTCTGCTATTGATAAGTGGGTTCTTCTAAGATTTTTAAATAATGTGGGGAAATGCTTATGTTGCGATACTGGGTGAAAAATAAGATTTAAGGTTACATATAGTACAGGCTGCATTAAAGCTATTTATTAGAAAATGCAATTTAATATAAAATGTAATACTGTATTACAAGATGCAATATATTATTCATACTACACACACACACACACACACATACACACGTATACACGTTAGAGAGAGAGAGAAGTGAGGAGAAAAAATGATTGTACAGAGGTCACCGAAAGGTTAGCACTGCTTCTCCCTGAGGGGTTCTGACTCATAATGCTCCGCAGTATTTTCCAGATATGCTACAGTAACACACTGATAACAAAAATAACAGTAATAACAGCCTTTATCAGACAAGCATGCTCCTGGCTGCCCAGGCGGCCTGTGGGCCCAGTGTACCTCGCTCTGTCTTTCGCTGGGAGCCTCACTTCCCGTCACTTGATTCCATGAGTGGCCTCTCCTCTTCCCACTCTGTGCTTGCCTTGGGCGATCCCACCCACATCTTTGATCACAATCACTACGGACAGCTGCCACTCTCGATTTTTGTGTTAATTTCAGTTCTGTGGCTCCATCCAAGACCTTGCTCCTGAACTCCTGGCTGAAGTTTTCAATTGTGAAGAGGATAAGTCTTTCCAGGTGACCTTGGAGCCCTCCAGGTCAGCACGTCTTCGCCAACCTCTTGGCCCATGGTGCATCCCAGAGGGCTCCTCATCTCTGAGCACAGACTTTCCAGGCTCTCCCCAGTCTCACAGAACAGGGGGAGCCACTCTCACACCCTCCTGCTCCTCACCCTGCACTGAGTCAGGTGTCACACTGCTGATTCCTTCTCTGGGTCCTCGCTGGCACGGCTTTCATTCAGGGCCTCATCATCGCGCAGCTGGCGAGTGTTCAGAAAGGAGTTGGTCTGATTGGCAATTGCTTTGGAAAGAAGTTCTGGCAGCGTGGGCGGTGGGTGGTGCAGGGAACCTCCGAGGTGATATGCAGGGCCTAGACCTCCCTCCTGTTTCCCTGCTGTTTACTTTAACTCTGCAGGGCTGGAAGGAAATGTTTTCATCTCTCCCATTTTGGGATTCTATTAGGTTTTACTTAGAAAAACAAAATAAAATAACTTCCAAAAAGAAAAAAATATTCTATGGGCTTCAAAATCTTATTCCACTGATGTCTCTGAAACCTTCCCCATGATTTTTTCCTGAAAGGTAATAAACAATCGGGAACTCATTAGCACATGTAGGTAATTCACACGTTTTCCCTGCTGCGGATCTCCTCTTCCTAGGTGATATCCTGTCTCAGCTTAGCAGGAAATTTCTGCTGGTTTTGCCCAAATAACATGGAAAGACTTAAGGTTGTTTTTATTGGATAGGAGAGCTGGAGACTAGACTGTACCTAAGATGCTTTATAAAGCAAATTTCTCACTGATTTTTACAGGGAAACAAAGGGCGAGTTTATGGGGTGCCTGCCACCTGTCTGCCCAGGGCTGACCTCTGGGGGCACTCACAGGGAGGGAGATGTGCCTGCCAGCACACATCTCTCTGGCAGAGAGTCCCAGCTCAAAGCTAGACATTCACCTGGCTTCTGGTCCCCAGGAAGAAGGTGGCATCCTGCTTGTTTGTGTGACAGCTGTCTTCTTTGCATCTTCTTTGCCTTCGCTCTTTCAACCATCCTCAAGATGTACAAATGACATTTGCAGAACCGGTTCATGGAGGCGGTCCTTCTAAACAATCATTGAAATGAGTGTATCTATGAGGGGGCTTCTCCTATCCATGAGGGTGTAGAAGGTTCCCGGGTTAAACGGGATGAGAGGCAAACCTTGAAAAGAATCTGACAGAAATGAGAGCCAGGAGGAGGGGGAGAAGCCCTGTGCTGGGTCCTTGGCCCTAGCAACGATTAGTGGAAATGGCCGTGCCTGCGTCGTTGAGGGCTGTTTTCCCATAATTTAGCACACAGAATGGTACAGAAAAGGGCTCCCAAGCATTGTCATACAAAAGGAGAGTCAAGCTTGTGGCAGGAAATAGCAAGAGTTTAGGCCGCTTTGTGGTTGAGTCAAGAGCTGCTTTCGACTTTCCAGCTCTTCTTCAGAGCCAAGTAGTGGCTCAAGGGGTCCTGAGCTCAGAGCATCAGGAAGCCCGGAGGGGTGCTGGCAAAAACGGACTTCAGCAGAACCCTTTCTAGGACAGTGGGGATGGGGCTGGGATTCCCCAAAGGAGTGCTACAGCTCCCACAGACTGTGGCCAACCCTACCTTCCCAGGAACCTGGGGGCCACACACGCAAAACCCTGCTTTTGCAGAGAACAGCATGCAAGCCAGGCACGAGCACCCCTGGCCTTCTGTCTCTGCCTCCAAGCAGAAGGAAGGAGAATCTCCTGTGCAAAAGGGACTATGCGGTGGGGGAGGTGGGGGGTGGCAGGGGCATGTGAGCCTGCCTGGAGACGCCTCCCCAATATCCTGATCTGGCTCTGACCATTAAACTAACACATTTATAACACATGTGCACATACTAATATATGCACATAAATTAAGGGTGTAAGTGAATAGTAACAGCCTTCTAATGTGCAGAGCTTTCTGATTTTAGGTGAATAAAAAAAATGCCAGTACTTTTGCATCAAAGAGAGAGATAAACTTGCTAATTGAAAACTGGTTTTCGTGGAGGAAAATATGGAGGCGCCAGCTATGTAAATCAGCATATGCCCAGATCTAAAAGAAATCAGGCCAGGCCAAGAGGAAATTAAGCAAATCAGGATAATGAGGAAACAACCCTAGACGCAAATTAAAAGCACTCGGGTGCTTTAGGCCATCTCAGGAGGTTGGCAGTGGACAGGTGGGAGGTGATGCGAACACGGGTTTGGAGTACCAGGCGTGTCAGTGCCGCTGGGTGGGTGGGTGCCTGCTCTCCCACCCAGGTCAGGGAGGGTTTTTCATGCAAGTTCTTAAATGCATGGATCATAATGCTGCCTTTTGCATCCAGAAAGACCCTTCAAATGCCTCTAACAACACTGGTCTCGCGCTGGCATTAGCTGTGCTTGGGTTTCCTGGGTTTAGCGACCTAAGGGGTTTACAGCGCACGGAAGTCTCTGCCCAGCTGTCAGCGCGCGTCGCCAGGGGCTGCACTGAAGCTGTGGACCCGGGATGGGGAGGAGGCTGGCGGCCTCCGAAGCAGGGTCTACAGCGGGGGAGGGCTAGCGCCGTCTGGCGGTGGCTGCGCGTGGCCAGTGCGGACCCAGGCTCGGCTCGGCCGGCGCTGCCTGCGTGTGGTCCGGGCGGAGCGAGGGTCCTTGGAGCCCGGTTCGTCCTGGGTCCCAGGAAGCTCGGCGTGCAGCGTCAGAGGCCGCGTGTGCTGGGGGAGGGAGGAGTACAGACTGTGCCTGGGGGCATCCAGGACGAATTCACAGAGGGGTGGTCCTGCCCCACCCAGGGGGTGTCGTGGGCAAAGGCCCTGGGGCCACCTGCCTGGTGCCTTGGAGGGCGTAGGGCAGGAGCCGCCGAGGCCCGCGGGCCACTGTGGGGCGCGGAACTTCAGACCAGGCACCCGCGGCTCAACTTCCGGGCCAGGGGACCCGCGGGGGCCTTACGAACCTGTTTGGCCCATTTGTGCAACAGAAATCCGCCCGCGCCTAGCAGCGTCCGGGGCCGCCTGCGCCGGATCCGCAGCCCAGTACCCTCCGCGCCCTGGACTCCGAGGAGGCCAGGTAGAGAGCGGCTCGCGCGGTCCCCGTCTGCGCCCTCAGCCCCGCGCTGGGCAGCGGGACATGCCTGGCTCCGGCGCCGCCACCTCGGCTTCCGCTTGCCCTTGAGTGCGGAGCCCGGAGCCTCCCTCGCGGTGCGCTGGGTCCCAGAGGGCCAGAGGCCACCAGGGGGCCGGCATCGGCGGGAGCCCAGCCGGGCGCGCCCTCGGCCCTCTCCCACCCACGTCCTCCGCGGCCGCCCGGGTCCAGGGGCGCAGCGGGGAGGAGACCCCGGCCAGGGCCGGGGAGCGCGAGGGCGGGGCGGGGTCCGGCGGGGAGGGGCGCGGGCGGGCGGGGACCGGGGCGGGGGCCGGGTCCGGGGGCGGCGGCGGCGCGGGCGGGAGGAGGAGGAGCTTCCCGCGCGGGGCAGGGGCGGAGCGAGCGGCCGCGCCGCGGAGCCAAGTGAGTTCGCTCCGGAGCCGCGCCGCCGCCGGCCCAGCATCTCGGGCGCCCGCCGCCCCCGCCGCCGCCGTCAGCGCGGGGATGTAGGATGCAGGCGGGCGCCAGGTTCCAGCGGCGGCGGCGGCAGCTGCAGCAGCAGCAGCCCCGGCGGCGGCAGCCTCTCCTCTGGCCGATGGACGCAGAGCCGCCGCCGCCGCCGCCCTGGGTCTGGATGGTGCCGGGCTCGGCCGGGCTGCTCCGGCTCAGCGCGGGGGTCGTGGTTCCCCCGGTGCTGCTCGCCTCGGCCCCGCCGCCCGCGGCCCCGCTGCTCCCCGGTCTCCCCGGCTGGCCGGCCCCGAGCGAGCCGGTGCTCCCGCTGCTGCCGCTGCCCTCTGCGCCAGACTCCGCCGCCGCCGCCGCCGCGCACCCCTTCCCCGCGCTCCACGGGCAGGTAACGTGTCCCCGTCCCGCCTCGGCCCGGGTCGCCGTCTCCCCTGCTCCTGGGCGCGCCCTGCCCGGCCCGGCTCTGGCCTCCGGCTCGCGCGCCCTCCTCCCCGGCGGTCCTCGCCGCCCCAAACCCTCAGGACGGAGCCCGGCAGCCGTGCCTCGGCGAGAAAGTTCGTGCTTGGACGCCCGGTCGTCCACCTCCGCAGCTTTGGCAGGTGCCTCCGGGTGTCTGGACGGAGCCGTGGAGGGACCCGCCGCCCAGGCCCGCGTGGGGACCGCAGGGAACTCGCGCCACGCCGGGGGTCACTGTCCATCGCGAGGTGCTGAAGTGGCTCCGTGACCGCCGCGGGCCGTGGCTGACATCGCGGAGAAGTTAGGACTTTCACAGTCTCTGCCAGACTTGAAAGCAAGCTGGAAATCGATAGCTGTTTCAGCTGTTTCAGATTCTAATCTGGTTTGGGTTTTTCCCCCTTTCATTTGAAAATAGACTCAGGGCAATGCTTAAGAGAATTCCAACCGACGGAAGTGGCCGGGAAATCCTGCCTTCGGTACTGAGGGATGTTACCGGAGATTCCCCTGCCCCAGGCCTGCCGGAGTCCACCACATTCGCTAATGCCACACTGCACTTTAGAACTAGAGTTTGGCTTTTAAGACATGGGATTAAAAAGAAAAAGTGACTGAACCTTTGATAAATGGTGCAGCAGAGCTAGGCGGGCTGGTTTGGGCAAGATTCATTGTCAGCTAACTATGCAGATGCATTTAAATCAGGGAATAGCGTGCATTTTATTCCAAGGATTGACCTCATTAGCATATTCAAACGGGTGTTATGTTAGAATACACCATTTGATTAATTTAATTCCAATATTATCTTGTGAGCTTTTCTAAAAGATGTTGTTAAACTCCTGCTAAATTGGTCTTTAGACTTAATGATACATCACATATGCAGCACTGGATATTGTATTTTTATGTGTGATGCAGTTTATTTTGGATTTTATTCAAGAAACGTTGGTAGTTTTTGCCGTATTTTGGAGGGGTGTTATATCAGAGTGCTGCCACTAGAGGTATATAATGTCAAGGAACTACATTTTTTAAATTCTGCTTTAAAAAACTGCATTTTTTCACTTATATAAATTTAAAAGAAAATTTAAAAAACCTTAGCATTAATCTTTTAAATATTTTTGTGCTACCCAGCTTCTGTAAAGTAAGAATATGTACAACCAGAAGAACATTTTCATGTAACAGGAACATCACAAATGCTTTTACGATTTTAAAACAATAGGTACTGAAACGTTCCATGTCATTGAGCAATGCATTTTATTAGTGCCTTATGAGGTCTCAGTTATTTTAATTAGAGAGACGGTGCCCTGAATTACCAGCCCCTTTCCATGACTGATGTTTTATTCTGTGTATTGAGATCTTCAACTTAGAAGATGCTTAGTTTTTTTTTTTTTTTTTTTTTTTTTGCCATAGAATCTATTTGTATTGGTGAACCTTGTATTGGTGAAACTTGGAATCTTAACTTCCTAGATATTTTCATTTTGAAAGTATTAGTTATTTGTAAAACGACAAAAGTAATTAATACAAAATGCAATGCTGAAAGGAATATTATAAAATATAGCCCTAAGCCTGCCTATAAAAATAATTTAAGAATTAGAAAAGGAATACCCAGCATTTCTCTTCTTCATGGTGATTTCTCATTATCTCAGAGCAGAAACCCATTTCTTACTGCGTGCTTGTGGTTTTGTGCTTAGAAGTTCTTTTTCAGTATTGAAGAATGCAATGTTGGTAATGCTTTGTGATGATTCAGATATGAAAACTTCTATAATTTTTTCTTTGATTGGTACATACTTATAGTTTTTCTCGAGGAAATTTATCTGATAATCAAATACATACATTTTGAAATTCCCTTTTCAAAGCAGTTATTCCAGCATGTTTTGGCATGAAGTCGAGTGGATGGATTCAGGCTAATGCAGCTGTCTTTTCTTGCTTGGCTTGCAGTGGCTGTTTGGTGGCCATTCTCCGTCCCTAGGACTGCCCCCCTCTTCCACAGTGGAGCTGGTGCCCGTCTTCCCACATCTCTGCCCTTCTGCTCTTGCAACCCCTATTGGGAAAAGTTGGATAGACAAAAGGATTCCTAACTGTAAGGTAAAAACGCAAGTGATTTAATTGGATAAGGGGCTTTTAATGATTAAGTTGTCGAACATCGACATAACAACAAAAATACCCATGTATTTTCTTGTTGCCATAAATTGGCCATCTAGGTATAGAAATAAATCATTTCAGGATTAGATTGATTTGTTCAAAAATATCAGCTGGTGGGGGGCATTTTGTTTTAGTTTAGGATATTTGGATTCCACAGGGCAATGTAAAATTTCCAATTTTTGAATCAGAGTCTTTTTTAAAATTTTTTTGTTTTTAAATTTGTATCCATTGATCAAAAATCTAGACTTGAACATTACACAATACCAGTTGAAGTTTTAAAAGTCAGTTTTTCTTCATATGATGCTTTAAGTTTTCATCTTTCTAATGGTTTGTTTTGGCTTTCGGGTTCAAATTTACTGACTACATTTTGTTCACAAGGAAACTAAAGAAGTAAAGTATTGACTTGTCATACAGCTTAGTCATTATCTCATTGGGGTGATTCTTCAATCAGTGAACTGAACTGCTGGGCTGAAGTGACCAAGTCAATAGTTGAAGGCCAGCCCAGAAGACATTAGCTAGATGGTGATCGGTATTGAAGCCCTGTGGAACTTCTTTAAGTTTTAGAATGATGGTTTTATAGAGTCCCCAATAATAGAATGTTCAATGTTGGATCAACGTAAGGCAACACAAATATTTTCATGGTCATGCTCAGCTTTTATCATGCACCTTGCCTTCAGTGTTATGCTTGCATTATTTTTCGACAGATCTTTTTTAATAATTCCTTTGCTCTGGACTCAACGTGGATACATCCTGAGGAGTCAAGGTTTTTCCATGGGCATGAAAAGCCTCGTTTGCTGGCAAATCAAGTAGCTGTGTCTCTGTCCAGGCCGGCTCCTGCCTCCAGGCCGCTCCCCACGGTGGTGTTAGCACCTCAGCCCATCCCAGGTTGGTGCCCAAATAACATTGACAATGTCTGTTTCATTTTTGCTTCAATCATAAATTAGTTTTAGATATGAAAACCATACTCATCATTTTAATGAAACAATTATCTTGGTAAAATATAATTCCTTTTCACAAGCATGAAGCTTTTTTAAAAAAAACTAGTCTTGGATAGCTTATCCACTATTTTTTTCTGGGGTGGGTGGATATGAGATCTGATGTTGAAGAGATGGCTGAAGGGGTTTTCACAGAATTGTATTTGCAGTGCTCTGTTTTTAGGATTGGACCAGGTTTCCTGCTGATAGCTCTTAATAGGGGCACTAATTGATCAGTCTACTCTTTAAAAAATGTTGCCTCTCTGTGGCGACGTGCAAGGAATAATGTTTGCTGGTCTGTAGGACGCAGGAACATGTGTGATCTCTGAATTTTGCCTTCACATTGCGGGTGATAGTGAGATGGACTATAAAATGCCCTCTTTGAAAGATGGATTTTGTTCTATCTTTGGAGTCTAGTGACCTGAAAGAACATTTGTCCTGGAACAGACTCCCATGAAACAATGCCTAGATGAAAGATTGTATAATAAACCTATATAGTAACAGGGGAATATAATCATCTTATGAATTTTTAAATTGATTTTTAAAATCACCTTAACATGTGGATCATTTTATAAAAGCAAATGCTGCCCGTGCCAAAATTGTCGTGCAACACCTTCCATTATGGAATATTTTATGGCTTCAGAATTACATTACCTTCTTGTAATTTCCTACCTACCAAGCTTGTCTCAATATGTGTCTCTAAAATTTAGTAATAAGATGTTCTTGTGAATAATGCAGTGCTGATTTAGGAGATATATTTATTTTGTTCTCTGTTTGCCTACACATTTATTCCAATTTGCTATGAATCTTGTTTAGTAATAAGTCAGGAAGAACAACTAAACTATTTGTGTTTCTCATAGGCCTAAATGATTTCTGACTGCAACTTGTCCTTGTAATTATGCATTAGGGATTAATTGAAATCTGAGTGAGCATGGTACATGCACACATTTATAAACATTTTACACTAAGATGATCATGTTTCCTATTTAATTTAATGATGATAAAAGATGATTCAGTGGCATGTGTTATATGAGTATGACATGACTTTGGAGGGTTCTTTTGGTATATGAAAAGGTATTATTTTAATTTCCTAACGCACTGGCAATAACTGTCATGAAAATAACCAGCAAATGTAGTTTAAAAAATGGTGAAATCAGCTCACCTGTTCCTACAAAGTCTTTATGTGAACTTCCCTTCTCTCAGTTCACCCCTGAGTATAATATAGACATTTTCCACCATGCCTTCACCTTCTTCTTAGGAAATTCATATATAAATGTGCTAAATATCTTTTAGTTGGAGAGGCTTATGGCCACCTCTCATAGATTTTCCATCTTATGGACATCATTTACTTACTATTGTGTGGCAAATATGCAATACTTCATTAGAAACATATTTGTATTGATTTTACCTTCTTTGATTTTTGGATGTATCTATTTTTTAAATTTTTACAAATTATTATAATTTTTTGTGGGTACATAGTAGGTGTATATATTTGTGGGGTACGTGAGATGTTTTGACACAGGCATGCAATGTGAAATAAGCACATCATGGAGAATGGGGTATCCATTAATGGATCTATTTTTAAGAACAAAATAAAATAATATTTCTTATAAACATGATAAATAGCAGAACAACCTTTCATTCTAACCTAGTCTACTATTCAACAAAGCTTAGATTTTTCTCTTCTCTGCCCTTTTTTTTAATTTACGGATCATATATGAATATAACACCTACAATTTTAATTATGTTTTGGGGAGAAATGTACCTGACACCAAAGGTAATTTAATAATAATCAAATGTATTTGTTTTGAGATGGTAATTTCTGAGTTGCTTCATGAAAACTTTACTTTTTTGATAAATTTCAGAATTCTTTGAATTTACCCAACTTTGGCATGCACATATTGAATGTCTCTTAGGCCAAAGAAAGCATCTAAGGGGTTATTTATGTGTTACTAACTGTTTAACAGAGAACTGGGATAAGAACGGGGACAAGTGAAGGTGGTAGGTAGGGTAAGCTCCAAGTAAGTTAAAAATTGAGGTAAATCGTTTTAATTTTACTGCAGTTAATGAGAAAATAGAACCTTATTAAAACACTCACACGTAAATGTTCATATATGCTGTAATTACTAAAAATTACTATTAAGTTTTCATATCCTATTATGAATTGATAAATTTATATGTTATAATAATTTGTATCACAAATATATATTATAAAAGTATGCATTTACAAATATATGCATGTACTACATTTAAAATATATAATGTATAAATCTATTATATAATAGTTATATTACAAAGATCAATCTTGTTATAAAGTTTTATATTCAGAAATAAGTGGCCTTAGAATCAGATATATTTTATCGATCCCCTTCAAGTTAATCATAGAAGCAGAAACAGAGCTCCCAAAGAGCTGGAAGAGTGAATCAAACTCACTCATTGTAAACAGGTCTAGTGAGCTAAGCTTATTTTCTTTTCTTGGAGAGGTAGTAATTTTTCTGTAATGATCATTCTTTAAGTACTTTTAAAATTTGCACTGTTGTTTTAGGGATAATAGCAATTTATACTATGAACTCAAATGATGTAACCCAGAAGGCAGGTTTGTTTGAATGAACTGGATCGTTTGTTGAGCTAAGTTGGAATCTCTCTGGTAGAGATGGGGGTGAGACTAATACCGGACCACCCCTCACTTACTGTTGATTAAGAATGAACTGCATGGCACAGAGTCTCAGATAATATAAAAGCACAATTTGGATGAATTTGGAAAAGCTATCTAAGCTTTAATAATCATTATAAAGGACCCCATTTTTATATACACTGCACTCATTCGTGACCAGGAGGATGATGGTCGCCTGTTATCACGCTCTGTTGTAAACAAGCCTGTTGGCCATTTTTGAGCCTCCCAAAGGGCTAGCCTCCTCATGCCATCACCTCGGGGGCTAGCCTGTCAACATATGACCTGGGGGAGAAATGCAAGTGGCGCATGCTCTCTGCAGGTGTTTGAGGAGAACCTTAGCGGGGGATCCTCAGGGAAGGCCTCTGTGGCCGATGCCACCTTGAGGCAGGAAGAGTCGAATGAATTCCAAATTAAGGACATAGAATGTCCAAAGACACAAAATCAAGGGGAGCATTTTGTAATCAGGCAATTCCAAGTAGCCAAGTGTGGGCTGCTGGAGGAGACGTGGCAGGGATGGGCTCTGGGGCCTCTTCAAACAAGTCCCATCACATGAGACCTGTGGGGTGAGTCAGTCCCCAGGATCCTCACGGACTGTTGGGGGACTTTACATCATTCTTCCACTCAGGATTCTTGGCTCCTCCAGGAAAGTGTGAACTTGTTCTCAGGAAGCAGAGGAGCCACAGAAGAGGCAGAGCCTTCTCACAGACAAATACATCCAAGCATGCAAATAATTACACCTGCACTGGAAATTAAGGTCTCCAATTAATAATTTTGCAGCTTTCAAAGAAATTCTTCCTGATCATTGTGAATGGGTTGAATGGAGAAATTATCTAGGACCCATTGATTCCCAGACCTCAGAAGCTGATTCAGGGCTGGACAGGCAGGGAGAGGCCACCTGCCCCACAGTCACCACCTCTTCCTCAGCAGTGCCTGTGCATCAGCTGCCATATCTCTGTCAACACCTCCCCACTCCCTGCAGTCCTGTCAGTCCCTCTTCTTCCCAGGAAGAAGGGGCTCACCTTGCATCTTAGGACATGTGGTTCATCACAGGCAGACGTGGAGAAGGGTCTGGGGGGTAAGAGTACCCTCCAAGGAGTCTCTGTTTTCTACTTCTGAAAATAAGAGCTTCGGAGTCCTTCAAGCCATTCAGGAATTAAAGAACTTATATCAAGAATATCAAGCAGTGGGAGGAGAAAGTAGTTAATTCAGCTTCTTTCCAGCAAAGGCAAATGAAATAGAAGGATCTTGCTAGAAACTAGAGATTTATGTAAAAGTTGTCCATGTCCCGTTGCCTGCCAGCTTAAGATCAAAGAGCCTGATTCTACCAATAGACACCATGATGGGCAAAACAAACCAAACCACAACAAACCACTGGCTGTACCTCTCTTCATTCAAAGATGATGAAGAGAGAGACAGGGAGAGAAAGTGGAAGATGAGGGCATCTGGAGTATTCTGCTTCATCAAAGATTCATTTTCTCAAAAGCTCCAGAAAAACATATCTGAGAAATGGATTTTGCACAGGAATTAGTAACTATTTTAGGCAAAACAACTTTTGCCTATCTTAATAGATAAAAGAAAATAGAACATAGAAAAGCAGTAAAAGATAAACTCGAAAGAGAGTTGGCCAATGTGAAAAGACAGTTTGAGGAAATGAGAAAAGAATGCAAGGAAACTTTTGAAAACTAGCAACTAAAATCATTGAAGAGAAGAACGAATTATGCATCTGATGATAGAAGACAACATAGAAAGATTCTTAAGCATAAATAGATGTGACTGTAAAAATCAGATCGTAACAGTGGGAGAAGGTGATATCTGTGTAAAATAGAAAGCAAACAACAAACCTATATTGCTTTGACCTCCTTAAAAACACAGATTTCGTGAATGGAAGAAAATTTTTGCAATCTATCCATCTGACAAGGGGCTAATATCCGGAATCTACAAAGAACTTAAACAAATCTGCAAGAAATAAACAAACAACCCCATTACAAAGTGGGTGAAGGATATGAACAGACACTTCTCAAAAGAAGACATTTATGCAGCCAACAAACATATAAAAAAAGCTCATCATCACTGGTCATTAGAGAAATGCAAATCAAAACCACACTGAGATACCATCTTATGCCAGTTAGAATGGCGATCATTAAAAAGTCAGGAAATAACAGATGCTGGAAAGGATGTGGAGAAATAGGAACGCTTTTACACTATTAGTGGGAGTGTAAATTAGTTCAACCATTGTGGAAGACAGTATGGTGATTCCTCAAGGATCTAGAACCAGAAATACATTTGAACCAGCAATCTCATTACTGGGTATATACCCAGAGGATTATAAATCATTCTACTATAAAGACACATGCACACGTATGTTTACTGCAGCACTGTTCATGATAGCAAAGACTTGGAACCAACCCAAATGCCCATCAACGATAGACTGGATAAAGAAAATGTGGCACATATACACCGTGGAATACTATGCAGCCATAAAAAAGGATGAGTTCATGTCCTTTGCAGGGACATGGATGAAGCTGGAAACCATTATTCTCAGCAAACTAACCCAAGAATAGAAAACCAAAAACCACATGTTCTCACTCATAAGTGGTCATTGAACAATGAGAACACATGGACACAGGGAGGGGAACATCACACACCAGGGCCTGTTGCGGGGTGGGGGGCTAGGAGAGGGATAGCATTAGGAGAAATGCCTAATGTAGATGATGGGTTGATGGGTACAGCAAATCACCATGGTGCATGTATACCTATATAACAAACCTGCAAGTTCTGCACATGTATCCCAGAACTTAAAGTATAATAAAAAAAAAAAAATTGAGAAAAAAAAAAAAAAGAATTGGGAGGGCCTGGAAGTAAAAGATCTAGCTATGTTAATAGAGATTCTTTACAGATGCAAATTTTCTCCTACCAAAGATGGCTCGCAGAGCCGTTTCAAGGTATGGCAAAGAAACATGTTTTGGGGGAAATATTTTGGTTTTTCTTCCTTGTCTCATAATATTATACCAGAGTCAGGTTGGAAAATAAGTCAATATATGTAAGGTTAAATAAAACCCATCTGATGAGAAAAAGAAAAAATATATATCTCCCCTTTAAAAAAAAAAAACAAAAAAACAAATTTCAGCAGAAGTAGTAAATGGGGCAAAGCCAGCCGTATATCCTGCTCACCGTATCCTGGAGGCATTTTATGAATGTTGGAGGCACTACTTAAAAGAACACAGAAGTTGACACAGCTTCAGGCCATTCTGCAGTACTAGACAAGCTTGGTTCATGGGGAAAAGTTTAGAGAATTATGAGGAAAGCATCTTGTGATTGAAGCAATTTATGCCTCGCAAGAAAGTCATACAAATGCATTAGTATGGAAAAGATGTTCTTAAAAAAGCGATCAAATGAATTTACCACACCTAATGTTTTCACCTCAAATTCTCTGTCTAAAATTAATGTTGCTGCTGCTCTGTCTACATCTTGTATTTTATTCTTCTTATCAACTTTTGCCTTATTTTTGTTTTAAGCTCAGGTCAATTATTTAAATGTACAATGTCTGCCTTTGCTTTTTGAAAACGAAGTTTAGCATCTTTATATTTGATTTACTATGCGTATATTTATCTGTAATTGTTACATTCTGCTTTTTTATTTTCTTTTATTCTTTTGATTTATTCTGTTTTTATTTTTGTGGGTGACATTCACATTTTATTTCATTTTGTTTACTTTTGTTTTATATGGTTATTTTGAATGTGTTCACACTGATCCTATTTTCTCAAGCACTTATCAGCATGATTTTTTTTTTAAAAAGCAGACGAGGTTACGTTTTCTCAGTTTTCAAATCATTGAAACACAATTACTTTAGAATTCTTCTGTGAAATATGAGACATTTGGAAAAAGTTTATTTTATCAAATTTCATTTTTTCTTTTAATTTTCTCAGGTAAGTGATAAATACAGCTAAAACAAGAACTAACAATGGAGATGTCAGTTTTCAAAATATCTGTAATTATCAACAATTTCTGTTAATCCTTTAGGATATATGTGAGTATTTGTTAATTTGGTTGCAGGAATGAGTGAAAAATTTAAAGCAATATTTTTATTTACAAGAGTTTTTTATGATAATTATAATCTGGATACATAAATTATGTCAGTAAAATTGAGGAGGTGAGAAAGAAGGATCTTGAGAGTATAAAGCCTTTAAAAATCCTCCACGTTTGTTAAAAGCAGAAGGAGTAAGAAACCCCCAGTCTTGAAGACTAAATGAACAAAGTTACCTAGGACTGAAATTGACAAGGATTTCTTCCCACTATCCAGTTGCAAGTGCTGAGTAAAAAGCAATAACACCCTATCACTGGTGGAAGGAGAGGGACATATAGGAATCCTTTTCTGTGGTGCAGGGATGTAAGGCTGGCTGAAAGCTGGGGTAAGGGTACAAATACTGAAAAAGATTTTCATACATGCCAGAATTTGTCTTAATCAAAATACATTTTTAAAGGATTTGAAGCTTGTGGTGCATTGAAGGCAACCATGACAACAAAATCCAAATCCAGGTCCACCCCCTGAATACACTGACAAAATTGCATTCACTAACAGCTTGACATAAGAAGGGGTGTGCCCATTCCCAGGAGTAAACCGTATTTATCTCATTCATTGTTCTATTTATGATGCCTAGCACTTAATAAATAAAGTTACAAGACACACAAACCAAGCAAGAAGTGATAAACTATTGACAAGATACAAAATAATCAACAGAATCAGACCCTAAGATGACACAGATGTTAGAATTATCAGATAGTTCTATGATTGACCATGATTAGCATGTTAAATTAACTCATGGAAAGGAGAGCAACGTGAATGAACAGAAGGAGAATTTCATCAGCGATATAAAAATATAAGAAAGTCAAATTAAAATATTAGAAAAAATGAAAGCTGGCATAATGAAAAATTACTTTGATGAACTCCTGCATAGATGTGATACAGCCAAGAATTAGTGAAATTAGATCAATAGACCTGTAACAAAACGAGAAAGCAACTGAAAACATGGAACGCCTTTTTCCAGAGCCAGGAGAGAATATCAAATGGTTTAACTTATGTATAACTGAAGTCTGAAAAGGGCAAGGAGAGAATACGTAGAAGATAGAATATTTGAAGACGTAATGAACAAAGGAAATAAAAATGGACATTATGAAACTATAAATCCAAGAAGTTCAGCAAACCATAAGACTAATAAATAGCAAAAACAAGAAAAAGCTGAAATTGAAAACTAGATGAATCACATTTAAACTTCTGATTCAAAGAACTTTATACCAAACAGAAACAATTATTGAAAGCTAAGTGGAATAAAGATTTTTAACAAGCAAACAAAAGCTGAGAAGAATTCATTCTCTGTAGATTTGCAGTTCATGAAATTACGAAGAAGCTTATTAGTCAGGAATAATATACTAGCATAGAGAAAGTTACCTCTACACAAAAGAAGAGTGCTAGAGATGGAATACATTAAGGTAAAATATATATTTTTCTGTTTTTAATTGTTTTAAAAGATAACTGACAGTATAAAGAGCAAAAGATAGTTATATAATGTGTAAAATTATACACAAAATAAAAATGTGTGTCAAAAATTTCACAAAGAATGTAAGGAAGGAATTGGAAGTGTGGAATTGTAAGGCTATTGTACTATACATTATGTGCTATAGTATTATTTGAAGGTGCCAAGTTAAAGACATACTTTATACCTTTTGAAGATATAAGTATGTCTTTAAATTCACCATCCATTCAGATTAAAAACAAAACTATACAAAAAACTGCCTATAAATGAACTAGGAATTAAAGGGGACTTCCTCAAATTGACAGAGGACATCTAAGGAACATCTACAGCTAACGTTGTACTTAATAGTGGAAGGATAATGTTTTCCCTCTAAGATGAAGATATACTTTATCTTCGAAAGATATATCTTCGAAAGATATATCTTCAAAAGATATAAAACAGTAGAGCAGCAGACACTTAAAACTGTGAAAAGAGTTATAACTAGTAAAATAATTATGGAGATTAAAATGATATGATAATAAACAACCCAAAAGCAGACAAAACAAGAAAGCAAAGGATCAAAATAAAGTTGGAACAAATATTTTAAAAACTATAAAATGGTAGATTTAAATATAAAGATCTAACCTCCCTAATGAATAGACAGAAGTTTGCAGGTTTTCAGTTCCAAATATACGATGTCTATAAAAAACTCACTTTTTATAAGAAGACAGAGTGAGCATAAAAGCAAAAGTCTGGAAAAGATATAAGATGTAAATATAAATCAAAAGAAAGCTGAAGTGACTGTATTAATATTTGACAAATTAGATTTCAGAACAAAAAGTATTACTAGGGATAAAAATTTCTAATAAAATCTAATCAAATACATTTAATCTAATAAAACCTAATAATTTAATCTAATAAAAGAAATTCACAATTGAAAACACAGAAACTGATAGAACAGAACAAAAAAATAGACAATCGTGTTTACAGTTGGAGATTTCAGCATCTCTTAGTGATTGTTGCAGCATGGAAGCTCATCTGTGAATATCAGTGAGAATTTAGAGAACTTGCATAATACTGTCCAACAACTTGACCCGATTGACATGTATAGAACAGTCTACTTTACAGTAACAGGGCATATATTTTTATCTGCACAGGAAACATTCATCCTTACCATATTATAGGCTATAAAACAAGTCAAAAATTTTAAATAATTAAAAGTAGGGCTGGACGCCGTGGCTCATGCCTCTAATCCCAGCACTTTGGGAGGCCGAGCTGGGCAGATCACCTGAGGTCAGGAGTTCGGGACCAGCCTGGCCAACATGGCAAAACCCTGTCTCTACTAAAAATACAAAAATTAGCCGGGTGTGGTGGCATGTGCCTGTAGTACCTGCTACTTGGGAGGCTGAGGTAGGAGAATCACTGGAAACCAGGAGGTGGAGGTTGCACTTAGCCGAGATCATGCCACTGTACTCCAGCCTGGGCAACAGAGTGAGACTCTGTCTCAAAAAAAAAAGTTTACACAATTTATTTTCCGACCACAACAAAATTAAGTTAGAAATCAGTAACAAGGATATCCGGAAAACCTCCAAATGTTTGAAAATAGAACAGAATGCTTCTAAGTAATGCATAGGTCAAAGAAAAAGTGACAGTGGAAATAAGAAAATATTTTGAATAGAATGAAAATGAAAATAAAAGAAAATCAAAATCAATATCACAAAAAAAGTCTTGTGGGACATAGCTTAGATGGACATTTATAGCATTAAAACGCCTATATTAAAAAAAAAAAGAAATACCTCAAATTAATGATCTAAGCTTAACCTTAAGAAACTAGAAAATGGAGAAGTAATTAAATCTAAGGATATAGTAAAGATAACAGCAGAAATTAAAAAATTAAAAAACAGAAGAATATAAGGAAAATCAATGAAAACAAAACTTCATTTTTTAGGAAGAGCAATAGAATTTATAAACCCCTGGCTATAAAAAATTAGAGGAAAGATGACACAGATTACTGATGTCAGGAATTAAATAAAAGACATTATTATGGATCTTAACACTAACCATGCAATAGGAAAATATAAACTATAATCATAAATGCAACAGCTTAGATGAAATAAGTTATTTGAAATAGAAATAGAAAACATAAATAGAAGTAGTAATAGAAAACATGAATAACTCTGTATCTGATAAAAACAGTAAATTTATGATTTAACTCTTCCAACAGGAAAACATTCAATCCCTGACAGCTTCACTGGTGAGGTCTACCAAATATTTAAGGAAGAAATAATACACAAATTAAAATAAACTTGTTCAGAAAATAAAATGAAATAATATTCCCTAAGTAATTTTTTTCTAAGGTAGCCATTACCCTTACACAAAAACCAAATGGTTATTACAGAGAGAAAATAGCAGACCAATACAATTTTTGAACATACATGCAAAGAAGGCTCAAGATAACATTAACAAATCAAATCCAGCCATATTTAAAGTTGATAATATATTTGACCAAGAGAGTTTTTTATTTTTTATTTTTTTGAAATCCAATGCTTGTTCAACATTAGAAAATCCATCAATGCTGTTTATCAAAAGAAGGGAAGTAATAAGTTTATTTCAATAGATTCAGAAAATGCATTTGTCAAATTCACCATCCATTCAGATTAAAAACAAAACAATACAAAAAACCGTGTGTAACTCAACTAAGAATTAAAGGGGACTTCCGCAAACTGACAAAGGACATCTAAGGAAGATCTACCACTAACGTCAAACTGAATAGTGGAAGGATAATGTTTTCCCTCTAAGATGAAAAACAAGGCAAGGATTTGTGACGGGAGCCCTAGTTATGCAACAAGGCAAAAAGTAAAAAGAAAAGAAAAACATACAAACTGGGAAGGAAGACACAAAACTGTCTCTATGTGCAGACAAATGACGATATAGACTATCTCAAAGAGTCTACCAAAAGCTACTAATACGAATAAGGAAGTTTAGCAAGGTTGCAGGATGCAAGGTCAATGTACAAAATTCAATTGTACCCCTGTATTACTGGTAATAAACAATTGGAAGTTAAAATAAAATACAAGTACCTTTAAAATTGCACCAAAATCATGAAGTACTTAGGGATTAACCTAACAAAATATGTGAAAATCATGAAACATTAATGAAAGAAATCAAATAAGACATTAATAAATGGAGGGATAGACTGGAAGGCTCAATAATGTTAAGATTTCACTTCTGCCCAGATTAAGCTACATGTTTAATGCAACCCTAAACAAAATCCCAGTTTCATGTAAATTGACAAGCCCATGCAATAATTAATATGGACAGGCAAAGGAAGTGGAATCACCACAGTAGTTCTGACGAAGAAAACGAGTGTGGAGGACACAGGCATAGCTGATCTAAATGCTGATGACAAATCACCAGGAACTAAGGCTTTGTGCAATTGGCAAAAGCATAAGAATAAAGACCAATAGAACATCGTAGTAGACCATCCAAAAGTAGACACATGCACGTATGGCCAATTGATTTTTATTACAAGGGTACAAAGAAAAATCAATAAAGAAAAGACCATCTTGTCAGCAAATGATTTTGGAACAAGTGAACATCTGTCTGTCTTCAAAATAAGCAAACAATCCTTGATGAATACATTTTACTACATATAAAAATGAACTCAAAATAGATGGTTGATCGAGTCGTGAAACCAAAAACTAAATTCTGAAGAAAACATTGAAGAAAAATGTTGTGACCTTGGATTGGACAAATATTTTTAATACATGACACCAAAAGCATGAACCACATTAGAAAATGCATTGATGACTTGAACATCAAAATTTAAAAAAAGCTGTTGGTCTTTGAAATCACTTTTCATAAAATAAAAAAGCAGAAAAAAGAAAAGGCACACAGTGGGAAAAATACTCACAAAACATATGTCTGATAAAGAACAGAGAATACAAAGAACCTTCAAAACTTAGTCATAAGAAAAAAAAATCCAACAGAAATGGACAAAATATATGACCAGACACATCACCAACAAAGAAAGATGGATTGCCAATAAGCACAGGAAATAGGGAGGTATTTGTGAAAGTCTACAAAATTGTAGCTAGAGAGCAGGAATAAGTTCTAGAGGTCGTTACCACTGTAGGGTGGCTACAGATGACAACAATGTAATATATACATTCAAATAGCTAGAAGGAGGGTTATTGGAATATTGAATGTTTCCAACCACAAAGAAATGGTAAATGTTCGAGATGATGGATATGCGCATTGTCCTGATCTGGTCACTAGACTTCATATGGCTCAAATTATCACTATATACCCCAGGAATATGTATTGTTATTTTATGTGAGTTTAAAGAAAATTAAATACAATTTTTAAAAATGTTCAACATCATATTTCATTAGCAAAATGCAAGTTGAATCCATGATCGGAGTCCCTACATACTTATTAGAATGGCGTTCATGAAAACAAAACAAAGACAGAACCTGGCAATACCACGTGGTGGTGAAGATGTGGCACAGCTGAAGTTTTCATAACTTGCTGGTGGGAATGCAACACGGAACAGTCACTTTGAAAGTCAGTTGAGCAGGTTGTTATTAACACTCTTATCCTAGTTCCCAGTAATCTCACTCTTACGTATTTTTCCTAGAAACATAAAAAGATGCCCATAGCAACCTGCACACAGACGTTTGTAGTAGCTTTATTCCTAAGCGATGTTGGCTGGTGAATGGGTAAACAAACTTGGTTAGATCCAAATAATGGACTGTGACACAGAAATAACAAGGAACACACTTCTTACATGTGCAATGATGTGAGTGGATCCCAAAAGCATTATGCCAGTGAAGGCATTCAGGATCATTTATGTCATATATTATTCCACTTTTGTGACATTCTAGGCAAAGCAAAACTATAAGAACAAAAAATACCACAGTGATTTCCAGGAGGTGGGGGTGGGACAAGGGTTTTGACAACAACAGGTCAGAGGGCAGGTTTGGGGATGGTGGACGTTTATCTGGCCTCAGTGGTTTCATAAGTGTATACATTTATTAAAAGCAGAGGACTGTACACAATGTAAATAGCACCTGAGTGCATCCAACTTAAAAAAAAAAAGGCTTAAAAGACATACCCAACAAAATGCCAGGATTTTGTTTGATCCTGGTTTGAATAAAACCAAAGAAAAAAATGGACAATAGAAGAAAACACCGACTATGTATTTAGTATTTTTAAGTAATTACTGTTAATTTGTTGGAGTGATGAGTTCTATGCTCATGTTTTTCAAAAGAACTCATAATTTAGAGATGTCTTCTGAAACATGGAAGGGTGAGATAAAATGTCATGGGTTTACTTTAGAATAATCCTGGCGTGGGAGCTAGGTTGGTGGTGTTGACTTAAAAGGAAGAAACTGAGGCAAAATTAATACAGAGAGTTTATTTGGGCCAAGGTTGAGGACAGCTGCCCTGAGGAACATTTCCAGGTTGCTTTGGGGAGTGCTCTGGAGAATGAAGGAAAGGCTCAGATTTTTAAAGAGATAATGGGCAAATCATCAGGAGGGGGCAGTTACAGAAGTGGCTCATCAGAGATTCTGCTTGGTTTACAGAAGTGACATTGGTTAGTGATGGGCTACACTGTGTGGCGCTGTAGAGTGTATGGCCTTTGATGGAGACTTGGTGGCACAGCAGGTGGCTTCAGGAAGCCATGATTTAGCTCGGGGGCAGGGAGGTGACTGCTGTTGCATTCCAAAGCCTCTCTGGGCCTGATCATTTAAAGGGGCTCCCATTCTTCAGATATACAGTTTCCTTTGTTTTTTTTCTTCCCACAGTGTGAAAACAGGGATACTGGTTCCTTACACTATGATTTACTATTGTTGAAAGATTTCATAATAAAAGTTAAAGAAAAAAAGTAAAAAATGAGATTCTACATAACACCAGGAAGTACACTCAGGAAATTACAGAGAGCAATTGCCTGGGCCTTACCTACAGCCACCACGCGTCTGAACCAGAAAGACAGTGATGGACTATAGGGAAATGCCTATCAACCTTGAAGTTAAAAGGCTACAAAAAATAATGAGTGAAACAGAAGTAAAAATTACAAATATAAACTCATAAATAAAATTACCCAACCTGAAGTGCTTCTATTAGAATTAATAACTTGCAGTCTGTAAGAGTTAAAGAAAGAGGAAAGAAACATGAAATGTGGCTTAACAGTTAAAGACAGATTTATTTTAGAGAAAATAAACCTGAGAGGGGCTTCTGGTGGATTTCGGTCAGGAGCACGTTCTCTTACAGGCCAAGGGTACAGATTGGTTTTAGGGTGAGGGGGCTTATCACAAGCTTGGGAGGTTTCTGTGTGAGGGAGAAGTTTTATGGTGGGGTGGGAATGTCTCTGGGCAGAGGGGAGGTTATCTTGGGGCTGACATCTTCCCAGCCGGAGGGGGGTTATCTCAGGGCTGGCATGTCTCTGGTCGGGGAGGGGTTTGGAATGTTTCTGGTAGGAGATGTTATTTGGGGCTTATGGTCATGCTGACTTTAGCCCTTTGGATTTAGGCGGTTTTTGATCAAGGTGAACTTTAGCATGATGGTGCTTGTCCAAGACGGCGATACTCCTGCACTGTCACAGTCAAATAGCACTGCAAGTCTAAAGCCTGGAACAATGATGATGTTAAACATGAAACCATCAGCAATGCAGAAGTTAGCTTTCAAATCCAGGCATTAGAAAACTCAAGGAGAAAAAGGAAAACATGGGGAAGCATATGATAAAAAATAAAGGCAGGCATTGACGATTTTAAAAACAGAAATAAGACCGGGCATAGTGGCTCATGCCTTTAATCCCAGCGCTTTGGGAGGCCGAGGCAAGCAGATCACTTGAGGCCAGGAGTTTGAGACCAGCCTGGCCAACATGGCGAAACGCTGTCTCTACTAAAAATACAAAAATTAGCCAGGTGCGGTGGCGTGTACCTGTAATCCCAGCTACTCGGGAGGCTGAGGCAGGAGAATCGCTTCAACCTGTGAGGTGGAGGTTGCAGTGAGCCGAGATCGCACCTCTGCAATGCAGTCTGGACAACAGCAAGATTCTGTCTCAAAAAAAAAAAAAATCCCAGAAATAAATTAAAATGATTAAAAATTCTCATGGACACGAAAACACATTACATGAAAAAAAAAACACATTAAATGGAGCTATCACTGCTCCACATTTGTAATTTTTAAGTAATTAGATAAACGATTTTGGGAGACTCAATGGGCAATTCAACCCGAACCACGATGTGGCAGCTGCACAAGAAGCTCCATCTGCACCTGAGACGCCACAGGTTTCAGTGGTAAAATCTCCCAGACTCCGAGGAGAACATTCTCAAGATAGAAAGCTTGTTTCCAAACATGGAATACGGTGAAACTGTAAATAGAAGTTGATTACCAATGTTTTTTAAAAATAGAAAAAATGGAAACTAAAATTATACAGACAAATCTCAGTCATAAAGATAGCTATACAAATCCTACAAAGTATTGGGGAAAATGTAACAGAACAGTAACAGTAACATCTGTAAGAATCCAGTAGAATATACATTTCATCAACAGCATCATATTATGAAAGGCAGTGACAATAGTATCATCTCTGTGTGTTTATAAGAAAAACAATATCCCATCAATCGACCACAGGAAGATGCATCGTTTGATAAAAATGCAAATGTAACAGCCATTTAAAAAGTCAGAAAACTAAAGAATGAAGGTGAACCAGATACAGAATAATTAGCTAAAAAACGCCACACTGTTACCAGTCCTTGGATAGTCGGAGTCACTGTTTATTGTTTTACTGAAACTGTTTTCAGGAAGTTCTAGCCAATGCAATAAGAAATAAAATAGAAATATGAAATCCTACTTGGTTATATACTTTTACATTTTGAGAACTGGAGACAGTCAACTTAACAACTCAGAATTAAAAGACCAACAAATGGATTGATAAAATATTAGCATATGAAAATAATATATTTTCTACATATTAGTAGTTATTTAGATGCTGTAATTGAAGAAAATACTCTATTCACATAGCATAGAAAACTGCACAAAATACCTATGAACAACTATCAACACAGGTAGATGGATCATAACCTTTACTTATGTGTGAAATCTAAACAGAGAAAACGACAACATTCTGAGAAGTAATTTTTTTTTTTTACAGTTACTATGGTCTTGGATGGGAAAGTGGTGCATTTAGAAATGCTGTTTATGGAGGCCGGGCGCGGTGGCTCACGCCTGTAATCCTAGCACTTTGGGAGGCCGAGACGGGCGGATCACGAGGTCAGGAGATCGAGACCACCTTGGCTAACACGGTGAAACCCCGTTTCTACTAAAAATACAAAAAATTAGCCGGGTGTGTTGGCGGGCGCCTGTAGTCCCAGCTACTTGGGAGGCTGAGGCAGGAGAATGGCATGAACCTGGGAGGCGGAGCTTGCAGTGAGCCGAGATCACGCCACTGCACTCCAACCTGGGAGACACAGCGAGACTCCGTCTCAAAAAAAAAAAAAAAAAAAAAAAAAAAAAAAAAAAAAAAAAAAGAAATGCTGTTTATGGAATATACACATGAGATTATTAAAGGTATCTATCTATATATATCTTGGCTATATAGGATCCCAGACAGATATATATGAAATATATGGGATTAAAATTATTCTAAAGTTTACATCAGTTTTTTAAATATGTGGTACTGACATAGTAATCTACACATAGGTCAATGTAATGAATTTTACAATCATTGTTATATATGACAGTTTATTCTAATATTATAATAAAAATAGACATAAATGGAAGACAGAATAATTATAAATGATCCTTGTGCAATATGTGGCTTACTCATAAGTCATTCAAGGAATGTAAATTTAAACCACCAAGTGGAATGTTCTCCTTAAATTAGCACAGATATCAGAACACATTGCCTCTTTACTCAGCATTCACAACAATGCCATAGTTAGTGAATTCTTTCTCGTGCTGTGTGGGAAGTGGGATGCAACGGGCCACGCCTGCAGCATAACTTTTAGATCCTTTAAATAAGCCAATATGACTTCATTCAGTGATTCTAGCTCCAGCGAGGTTAGAGAAGGAGCATGTGTGTATGAACCGTGGTAGTGCGCGACATTATTCATAATGCCAAAAGGAAAAATAAAACCTCCAATGTGGTAAGTGTTTACGTGAATTATGGTACATCTACATTAAAAAATGTATGGCCTTCAGTCATGAATAAAATCATACTTAGAACATCACTTACAGTGACAAAAGAAAATGCTGTTGTTTTGTTTTAATGTTAAGGTTTTTTTTTTTTTTTTTTTTTGAGATGGGGTTTCACTGTTCTTGTCCAGGCTGGAGTGCAATGGCGCGATCTCAGCTCACTGCAACCTCCGCCTCGTGGGTTCAAGCAATTCTCCTGTCTCAGCCTCCCAAGTATCTTGGATTACAGGCACCCGCCACCACGCCTGGCTAATTTTGTATTTTTAGTAGAGAAGGGGTTTCTCCATGTTGGTCAGGCTGGTCTCGAATTCCCAGCCTCAGGTGATCTGCCCGCCTCAGCCTCCTAAAGTGCTGGGATTACAGGCGGGAGCCACCATGCCCGGCCTAATGTTAAGTTTTTAAAAGTAGGCTTCAAATTGAACAATAGGATCCAAATTTGGAGAACAGTATATCCGTGTGAACATGTACACACCTGCTCGCACACAGCAGTGCACACATACACTCTCACACACACCGATAGGAGATGGAGGCAGTGCACACCTCACACACAGCAGTGCACACATACACACACACACACCGATAGGAGATGGAGGCAGTGCACACCTGCTCACACACAGCAGTGCACACATACACACACACACCGATAGGAGATGGAGGCAGTGCACACCTGCTCACACACAGCAGTGCACACATACACACACACACCGATAGGAGATGGAGGCAGTGCACACCTGCTCACACACAGCAGTGCACACATACACTCACACACCGATAGGAGATGGAGGCAGTGCACACCTGCTCACACACAGCAGTGCACACATACACACACACACCGATAGGAGATGGAGGCAGTGCACACCTGCTCACACACAGCAGTGCACACATACACACACACACACCGATAGGAGATGGAGGCAGTGCACACCTGCTCACACACAGCAGTGCACACATACACTCACACCGATAGGAGATGGAGGCAGTGCACACCTGCTCACACACAGCAGTGCACACGTACACTCACATTGATAGATGGAGGCAGTGCACACCTCACACACAGCAGTGCACACATACACACACACACACCGATAGGAGATGGAGGCAGTGCACACCTCACACACAGCGGTGCACACATACACTCACATTGATAGGAGATGGAGGCAGTGCACACCTGCTCACACACAGCGGTGCACACATACACACCGATAGGAGATGGAGGCAGTGCACACCTGCTCACACACAGCGGTGCACACATACACTCACACACACACCGATAAGAGATGGAGGCAGTGTACCACAATATCATAGGTGTGCCTTTCTGGATGCTGGGATAAGTGGGCACTTTTATTTCCAACTATATCGTATCTTTTATTTTTCGTATTTAATGAGTCTGTATTTTATAATCAGAAACATGCCATAAGTATATGAAAATGCATCTTTTTTTCTTTATGCTGTTGAAAAGGAGAGTATCACCTGCTGTTAGACTCTTCTCCGTCACGTGACGCTCACGAAATGAAGATAACGCTGTCTTGTCCATCTGTTCCGAAAAGAAACGCCTGTGTTAAGGCGATGCTTGATTAAAAAAAAAAAAAATCAAGACTTTTACTATAGCGAAGCAATCTGTTTTTAAAATTCAGTTTATCTGAATCATGTTTTGTCAGGAAATAGGAAGAGCTTTTAATAATTCTGTAACCCTGACTTTTGAAATTTTGTATCACTTTTGGGAATGCATAGTGGATTCCGTGTCTAGGGCTGCGGTAACAACATTCCACAAATGGTGTGGCTGAAATTCACAGAAACATGTTCCCTCTCAGCTTGGGAAGCCAGACGGTGGAAATGTCTGAGTCCCAGGTTGGCTCCCGCTCGAGGCGCTGAGGGAGGGTCTGTCCGGTGCCCTCCCCCGGCTCCTGGTGTCCTTTGCCTTCCTGGGCAGTTCTTGGCTTGGAGCTGCATTCTCCAACCTCTGTGTCTCCGTGGTCACGGGGCCGCCTTCTCTGTGGGTCTCTGCGTGGCCTCTCTTTTTCTTACAAGGACACTTTGGATGTAAGGCCCTCTCTCATCCAGCATGATAGCATCTTAACTCATTTCATCTGCAAAGATTCTACTTCAAGTAAGGGCCCGTTCCGAGGTAATTTTTATAGGCACAGAGCTTGATGTCTGGACGGGACTTCCATTTTCTCCGTGCAAAGAACCCTGTTGATAGTGGGGTGGAGGGCAGGCCCTGGGTGGTAGCACCCACCTCCCGGCACAGCGGGTATCCCACAGTGCGTCTGTCCTGAGAGGGTCGGTCTGGTCCCACCTGAAGGTCTGCATCCACGTGACCATAATGAGATGAGGGTGGGAGAGTAAAATGCTGGTGGTTAGTTACTCCTAGTCAAGAGGAAGCACCTGCTTACTAGGAGATTAAACTGTGGGGTTGGTTTCTCAAACCGGGTTGGGTGCCCGGTTCCGACTGGTTTCTGAAGTTGTAGGATGAACAGATAAATCATTCTGAATCTGCACTTTTCCTTAGAGAGTTGGGGGGAGAAACACTTCTTTTGTGTTATGTAAGAACAGACTGATTTTACCATCACAGACAAGCCTTCAGAGACTGGCAGGCTTGTGGTGGCCGGTTCAGGCTCTGCCTCTTGTCCTGCTGGAATCGTCACAGGTCCCCAGTTCCAGAGAAAGCTATGGAGAAGCACATCCAAAAAAGTGCTGTAAATTACACCATCTGGAAGAAGTCAGAAAAATACTTGTGTGTGGAAAACATTTGTCCAGAGCCACCTTCTAGTCTATCGTTTAAAATTGTTGTTGAATGAGTGACATCATGTCATTACTGAGAGCACAGACTTTGCCCACAGACTGCCGGGTTCAAAATGGCCTGTCACTCGCCAGCTGCCTGACCTTGAGAAGTTGACTGAGCACCCCTGTCCCTCAGTGTTCTCATCTGTGAAGTGAGATTATTGCAAGAGTTAATTGCATTATGATTATTTTAATAATTGATGTGAATGGCTGCTGCTTGTGTGGTATCTGCAATGCCCGGCCTATTTAGACCGTTCCCATAGATGCTCCCTGAGTAAGCCCGCTCTAGATGGCAAGGAGGTGGACACTGGCTTGGAAGTAATCTAGTGAGTCAGACAGACCTTTGGATCACTTTATATTTTCTCTATATCTGGACTGTACTTCAAGGTGCCATTTATATAAAAAATGGTTATGTCCCCAGACCCACTGGCAAATTATTCAGACATCAACTAAAATGGGCAGACTGCATAGGTAATGAAATTAAGTGAGATTTGTATTTACCAACATAATTCATATCATTTTAAACAACTAGGAATCTGTCCTGGTGACCATTATATTCCTTGAATTTGTGAGCGACAAGCCACAAAATAATGAATCAATTTGCCAAAAGATTGAAATTCTAACTTACAGATAGGATACAGAATCACTGTGTTAGTGTTGAGACTATTAAGAAAATAAGTATGGAGAGGTCAGAATTCCATGACAACTATGGACTTTAGCATCTAAATGTGAGATTATTATTCCCCTACTTTCTTCTTACTGGAAGTTTCCCGTCTCTGATACCTATTCTAAAGTAACATTCTCCAGCAGAAATATAATGCTAACATCACATGGAATTTAAAATTTTCTGGCACTCATGTTTGTAAAAGTATAACAAAACAGGTGAATTTTAATAATTTGTTAATTTAGTTCAATATATCCAGAACATTATTATTCCAGCATGTAATTATGTAAAAGTTATGGGTGAGATATTTACCTTCCTTCTTTGATATTATCTTTGAAATTCAGTGTATATCTGATATTCGCAACACGTCTCGATCTGGGCTAGCCCAGGTCAGGGGCTCTGTAGCCACATGGAGCTAACGCCTCCCATGTGGGAACGGCAGTGCCGGAAGATAACAACCAAGCTCATTTGCGAAGATCTCAGAGATCTATTTGTGAGTATAGTTTATAGATAATTCAATGAGGCCTAAAGACAGCATTTCAAAGAAATTTACTTCATGCTCATTTGTTACCAAGTGGAACCCAAATGTGACCTCTCTATTTCTTTGATCTTATGAGAATAGCTAAAGGATCCATTTTAAGCTACATATATGGTATTTAAATGGTGTACACTTATATAGTATTTATATACACAAATGATTTGCTTTTTATTTTTTCCAGTATAAGAATAATTCATATTTGTTAGATATGAAACATTTATAAATTATTAGAATGCGGAAGGAAGGGAAAAAAGTCACTCCTAGCTCCAGTTAATGTTTACAAATAAGGCTAGTATGCGGGTGCATTACCTTACACAATACGGTATTGTAACCACAGGTTTGTATGTCACTTCTGACTTAATATTTTAATATAGATTTTCCATGATATTATAAATTATTATGCCATCTTTAATAAATTTTAAAAATCCAGCTGATGAATCAGAGTTCACTTAACATAAATACACTGAAACAACTATTTCCAAACATTCACAGTGCCTAAGTACTCCTTAGGCATTAAGCATCATTTTCTTATAAGAACTTCCCAGACGTTTTAAAGGCCTCTTAACCCAAGTTGTCCAAGTATTTCTTCTGTTTTAAGGGACAAAAAGAAGACTACTGTGCAAGAGCCACGGACGTGTTAATGTTCAGGAGTGAGATTTCTTTCTTCTTTTCCGTTCTTGTGCTTTTTAAAATTTAAAATGTTAAAATATTATTTTTATATTGATTATCTAGAACTTTCAGTACAGTGTGTGATGTGGTAGTGATGGCTGGTACCCCATGCTGGTCCTGTTTTGGAGCAGATGCTTCAAATGTATCCTGTTCTCAATATGCTTATAGGTTTTAACCACCCGCCACTGGGCTTAGAACATTCCTTCCATCTGAGTTTCCTGGTGCTCATTTCTTGTTATAATATTTTAGGGATGAATTTTTTTCAATGTTTTACCTTTTTAGATTAAGATAGCCACATTTTTCTTTTTTTAATCTGTTACTGTGGTGTATGATATTTTAAACTGTTATAATGTTAAATCACTTACATTTCTTGAATCAACCCAAAATCTTCATGTTGAATTGCCCTTTTCATATACACAATGCTGCACTTATCTCTATTACAGCGTTTAGCGTCTTTAGTCCACGTTCTTGTGTGAAGCTGCCCTGCCATCTCATTTTTTTTCTTTCTTTCTTTCTTTTTCTTTCTTCCTTCC